>NC_000005.10:159700717-160003748 GCF_000001405.40 Homo sapiens
GGCTTTGCTTTCTCCCCTGTACGATATAGAAAAAGTTGGATTATCAGGGGTCTGCAAACTTTTCCTAGTTTATAAAAAATAGTAAATAGACTGGGCTTCAAACATTCTCTTTTGTAACAACTCAACTCTGCCATCGAAGTTTGAAAACACCCATAGACAATATGCAAAGAAATGGATGTGCCTGTGTTCTGGTGTAACTTGATTTACAAAAATAAACAATTAGCTGGATTGGATCCATAGGCCATAGTTTGCTGACCATTGGATAAGTCGATATAAAGACAAAGCTAAGCAATAAAAATAGAACGCAAGCCACAGATGCAAGCCATGTATGTGATTTTAAATTTTCTAGGAGCCCCATTTCTTTAATAGTTTTTTAAAGGTAAAATTGATTATAAGAATGTTTTATTAACTCAATATATTCAAAACATTGTCAATTCAACATGTAATCAATATGAAAAAAATGTATCCATGAGATATTTTCCCCTCCTTTTTTAATTCTAGGTCTCTGAAATCCAGACTGTCCTTTACATATCAGCACATCTGAGTTGAACTCATCATATTTTAAGGATTCAGTATCCACATGTGGCTGGAGGAGTTACCATCCTGGACAGCACAATTCTAAGAGGTTCTTTTTTTTTTTTTTTTTTTTTTTTTTTTGAGATGGAGTCTTGCTCTGTTACCTAGGCTGGAGCGCAGTGGCGCAATCTCGGCTCACTGCAACCTCTGCCTCCTGGGTTCAAGCAATTCTTCTGCCTCAGCCTCCCAAGTAGCTGGGACTACAGATGCCTGCCACCATGCCTATAGCCTGGAAACAAGGAAAATTAGCCACCACGCCCAGCTAATTTTTTGTGTTTTTAGTAGAGACAGGGTTTCACCATGTTGGCCAGGCTGGTCTCAAATTCCTGACCTCAGGCGATCTGCCTGCCTTGGCCTCCCAAAGTGCTGGAATTACAAGCTTGAAACACCATTCTTGGCCCTAAGAGGTTCTTTCTACCCTACACCTACTCCTTATATTCTGCCAGAAAACATACAGCAGTGTGGTGGTGTTCTGTTTCCTCATCTCTGATAATTTAACATATAAGTCTGCAAAAGATGTGATAATGAATGTCAGGAGGTCAGTGCAGCTACTGAGTGACTTATTACTATCTCCACTGTAATTTGTATATAGCTGATAATGTCTTCATGCAGGGCTTCAAAAAAAGCCTCCTTCCACCTACCCCAAGCACTCTCCTAATGGGAGAGAAGTGTGAACATTTACTCTAGTGGTGAAGGGGAGTGGGAGTGCTTGTAAAAGCCACTTTAAATAAGGTATTACTCTGACATCTCATGTTTTACTTTGATGTGTATTCAATTTTGCTTTCTACTCCGTAATATAATCTGTTTGAATTTTTAATTTGAATTTCTTATCAGTTAAAATATTCAAACTCCCTGCCCTGCAAACACTCCCTTCATCACCTGTCCTTCTCACCACAAATCGGTGAGTAAAAAATTCATGCTCCAAAAAGATGCATCACAGTTACCATCGTACCCTTGGGAATGGGTTTATGTAACAAGGTGTTAAATTAGAAGTGTTAACTGAGGACCAAGACACAATAGGTATCAAATGCTAAGGTGGGTTGTGGCAGACCGAAAGGCAGACATTTCCTTTGAGAACCGTTCGTCCAGAGTGAGGGTATAAAAGGACTGGGAGAGAGGATTCATGGAGAGGATTTCTTTGGAGAGGGCTGTGCTGTGAGTCTCATCCTCACTTCCACTTTGCTATATCCTGGTGACAGGAGCTGTCCAAGGCAGCTAGGGGCTTGACAGTGGCACACAGAGACTAAAATCTGAAGGGCAAAAGATGGGCTGCTAAGGAGCCCATCTAAGGGGAGACGGGCTAAGGAGAGGCTGCAGTAACCAGCTAAGGAGAGGCTGCAGTAACCAGCTAAGGAGAGGCTGCAGTGCTTGGGTTTTCTTCTAGCCCTATAATATTCCAGAGCCATAGAGTTCATGTGGACCAGACACAAGCCATGAAAAACAAGGAGCAGGTGGGCAGGGGGAGGGAGGATAGGGAAAGAACAAGGCTGGTCCTCTTTCCTAGTGGAGGGTGCAGCGGGTGACAAATATGAATGAAGGTAGGAGCTTTGACCTTTTGACCATCTTAGGACCAAGTGAGCCTGAAATTCAGGAATTACAGTGATCAGGGCACTTCATATTGTCTGACAGTGTCCAGAAAACTACTCCTCCCCTCATAAAAGAAAGAATATGAGAACAGACTATGATTGTGTCATGCACTGGTTTAAGACTTCTGGCTTTAATATGTTACTACATACTCATGAGTAATAAATTCACATTAAATGAGAGATAGGTAAGAGAAGAGGAAGATTACTGCCTCCTGGATTAACTCCAAAGATTGGAATTTCAGGGCCCATTTGCCAGGCTGGTCCAGGAGCTATGCGGTACAGGTGGTGGTCTGTCCAACTCCTCAAATGATACAAAACTCCTTATGACAATACTGATATCTGTGATGTGTAGATAGCACACAGACTTAGTCTAGAAGAAAAATTAGTAACAATAACAGATAACCGTTTACTGAGGAATCACTATGTGCTACACACTGTACTTTTCTTACAACAAAAAACAAATGATCCCATTTTATAGAGAGGAAAGTGAGATTCAGAGGGGTTACTTACTGCTTCTTGTAAATCATAGAAGCAGTAAGTAGGAAAGACAGGACTGGAACACAGTTTTGTTCACTGAAACCACTACCCTCTGCTGCTTCTCTTTCCCAGCCCAGCTGTGCCCTTCAGCCGTTCGTTGCCTTTTTCTTTTATGCTCCTGTTCTCTTCTTCCTACATCCTCTTCCCTCTCTTCTAAGTGGTGGGATTCCATTCCCAGCTAAACAGAAACTCTCCTTCCCTCTTACCTGGGATGTATGAAATGAACAAGAACTCCCTGAGACTCACTAATTTTCAGCCAACTAACACCTCAGCTACAGAGAGCACACCAAGAAGCTTCACCGAATCCTGCAAAATGCTGGCTGAGCAAAGGCATGAAGATAGGCAAAAGCATGAAGATATAGAAAAGCAAATTCTCACTACTTGATGCAATCAGCTCAGAGTTCTGTTAACATGGGGTTGGATTGAAGATGAAGAAGTGTCCTTCTGTGGGCTCTAAGCAAACATCATGGTTGTGGTCAATAGGATAAAAACAAAATGCTACCATCTCATTACTGTTTCCACCCCTGCTGACCATCCTGAGATGGCTTCTGTTTGGTGCCCACCTATCAGAGCAGTTTCCCAGTGGAAAATGGATCAGCAACTGGCCAGATTCTCTTGTGTCCTTTCAGGGCAATGCTGGAGCACATTTTATCCAAAGCTCAAGGAGCGGACAGGCAGCAATTGTTAAGCACTCTCAAAGTAGCTGCACCCCATTTACATTGTCTACAAAAACATTATCTCTTGCTTTTTCTTCCTTTACTCCACTGAGTTATTAGGCTTCCATTATAAAATTGTAAAAATGAGTGTTTAGGCAGCCAGCATAATCACCACTTCACCAGGCCTCATGTTAAAGCAGGACGAGATCTTGAATGACATTTTTTGATGAGCAGAATCAGATTTCTTACTTACACAGGACTCTTCCCAGAATGAGATTCTTGACTTGAGAACATGCCAGAAGAGCATTTTTTGCCCACGTCTTCATGTGAACTCTGCCCTTGGATGTACATTTGAAAGAGAATGATAGAAATTCCTCCCTGCAAGGAGCTGATCTGACCCGGATTAAAATATGTTCATCTCTGAAATTAGTAAAGATCAGGGAAAAAAACTGGATGATATCTTGATTCTAATGCTGGAGTGTCTTGACCAGGAAGGGGCAAGCCCTAGAGCAGGAAGAAACAATAATAAATCATAGTGAAGCAGGACAAGCTATGATTTGAAGAGGACTCAAAGAAATTCATCCACAAATTCCTTGATGCTTTAATTTTTTAAAAAATGTTTATCGAGCACTCTGAAGGAAAAATCAAACTGTTTTTTTTCTCTCTACTCTCTTATACAGTCACTCAACACAACACTTCTGACACCAGCTTCTCCAGTGGAAACTAACTGGTGTCCTATAATTTGATTTAATTCTGACACCGTCTAGCTGAAAATGGCATCAGATCCTATGAGTTAAGGGTTAGTCTCACAAGAGTGCCCCCCGCCACCCTCTTCCCATTTCACATGCCAATTGCAAGTCGTAGGTTGTGACCCATGCTTCTGACCAACCAGCTATAAATTAGGGTTCCTACAACTGCCTCTTTGGGTTCAATTGATTTGCTAGAGCAGCTCACAGAACTTAGGGAAACGCTGTACTTAGATTTACCCGTTTACTACAAATGATATTTTAAAGAACACAAAGAGAAACAAAGGACAAGGCTAGAAGGGTCTCCAAATGCAGGACCTTCCAGACCCAGGGAGTTGGGGTATGCCACCCTCCCAGCACATGAGTGTTGTCTTGTTCACTAACTCGAAAACTCCCTAAACCCATTCTCTTTGGGTTTTTAGAGGCTTCATTCCATAGGCATGATTGATTAAATCACTGACCATTGGCAATCAAGTCAACCTTCATCCTCTCTCTCCTCCCCCAGAGGTGGTGGGTGGGCTTGAAAGATCCAATCTTCTAATCACTTGGTTGGTTCCCAAGGCAACTGGCCCCCATACTGAGGCTGTCCAGAAGCCCCCAGCCACCAGTCATTTCATTGGCACACAAGACACTTTTGTCGCTCCAGAGAGGCCAAGGGTCTTTCTTGGTATGTGCCAGGAACCGGGGACAGAAACCAAATATACATTTCTTATTATGTCACAATATCACAAACACCTAGAAGATATGACATTTATTTTAAAAAAGCAAGATGGATTATAACAAAAGAAAACATTTCCTAAGTGTGTAACTATGAGCTGGACTCTGAATAATGGCTTTAAATGATTGATATATAATCTATCTAATAACCTTATGATGTAGACACTAGTATTATTCCTATTTGATAAATGAAAATTTTGAAGCTCAGAGATTAAGGAATATTAATTAAGATCTCAAACCTATTAAGGGTGAATCCAAAACAGGAATCCTGCCTGTGATCTTTACAACTATGCAATTCTGCTCTAAAGGATAGAAGCTTAGGCTTAGGCTTTCATTTATGAATGAAATGAACATATAAATCCAGGGAGAAACTTCAAATAAGATTTTACTTCCAGCAACATTTTGGACAAATACGCTGAATATTACTGTCTCATAAATCTATTGCTTCACAACATACCACCCCAACATTTACCAGCTTAAAACAATAATGATTTATTATTTGTCATAATTCTATGGGCTGGCTGGGCTCAGAGGGAGCAGTTCTTCTCCTCCACATGGTGTTATCTGGAATCACTCATGTGACCGCATTTACCCAAAGCTCAGATGAGTCTGAAACTTCTATGATTGCCTCTCCTTCTCACCACAGGGCCTCTCCAGCAGTTTAATCTGAGCTTCTTAAGTGGTGGATCTGATTTTTCAAGACAGCAAAAGCAGAAACTCCAGGCATCTTCAAGCTTATGCCTAGAACGGGTGCAATGTCAACTCTGTGGCAATTCTGTCTGTCAAAGGAAGACAAACAAGCCCAGATCTAAGGGAAGCAGAAATATGGCCCACCTCTTGATAGGACAAGCAGCATGTGTATATTGGAAGTTGAGAAATTGTTTGCATCATTTCTGAACTTTGGGCCTGCAAGGTGGAGGAGCTGAACCTTAGACAATTTCATTAAGCTGGGCTCTTCAGAGGCACTAATGTATAATAGTTCCAGGTCAATAGTGTCTCTCAGCTTCCTGAAGAAGCAGATATAAATCCTCTTTGGAGGAAAGCACTTTCAGCATACTTCACCAAGATTCTTATTAAGTTTAACAAAATACGAGCTCAGAATTTTTAAAATCTCCAAAACACAAGAAGTAAGCCATCATGAATAATAAGCAGTAAACACATCAAAAAATACAATTAGACCTCTCCAAAACTTCAGATTTTGAAATTTTCATATATAGTATATAAAATATGTATAAATGTATATATTTTTAAATAGTTTTATTTTATAAATTAACCATGTAAATGACTTAGCCAATATGAAAAGTGAAAATTTTACAAATTATAAGTGTCGTTTTTGTCATTAAGCTAGCATTAAATAACATAGTAAGCATAGCTTAAATAAGAATCAGTAAACAGGCACTTTGGGAGGCCAAGGTGGGTGGATCATGAGGTCAGGAGATTGAGACCATCCTGGCTAACACGGTGAAACCCCATCTCTACTAAAAAAAAAATAATGATAATAATAATAATAATAATCAGTAAACTGGAAGATGGAGCTAAAGAAATTACCTGGAATGTAACAGAGAGACAAGAAGATGGAAAATATAACAGATTGATAGACATGAAGAATAGAATGAGGAAGTATCATTGCTTCCATTGCCTAGTAAAGACCCAGAAGAGGAGAATAGAGAAGATGATTATTCATAGAGATAATGGTTTATAATTTTCCAGAACTTATAAGTAACCCAAATCCATAGATACAGAAGGCAGAATGTGTACTAGGTAGGATCAATAAAAAGAAATGCATGTCTAGACACAGTGCAATGAAACTGAACACCAATCAAAGACAAAGGAACGATCTTAAAAGCAGCCAGAGAGAAAATGCATGTCCCTCACACAGATGGATGTTGATTTCTCAGTAACCACAAGGGATATCAAATACCTTCAAAGCATGGAAATAAATTAAATATCAAGCTAAAATTGTGTGCTAATAAAAACTATCTTTCAAGAGTGAGGACAAAATAAAAAACACTTTCAGATAAACAGAGACAGTTTACTTTTAGCGGATCCTCATCAAAGAACTGTTGTGTTTCAAGGAGAGAAAAACAACCCATTCATAATTGTAAAAAAATCATCAGCACATGAGAGATGGAAGAAAATTTCCTTAACCAAATGAAGAATATCTATCAAAAACTCTACTGCAACCTTATTCTTCATGGTGATACAGTAAATGCATTCTCATTTGAAAATGAGGCTACACATAAAGTGCTGTCATAGACAGTGTTCCACAGGAAGCAGACATTGAGCTAGAGGTTGGGATACAAAATGCTTACTCAGGAGTGCTCCTGGGATTGATGTATGTGGAAAACAGAGGAAGGAAACTGGCTTGGGCAGAGGAAAAAGTTGATCTAGGACACAGTTCCAATGAAGACCTCAGCCAACCTCATGGAGGGTACTGGAACTGGCCTTTTAGAATTGTACCCAATTGGGAAATGAAGGCTAGGCTTTTATATCCCCATGTCAATCAGTCATTGGATGCTGATTGGTCCTGGAAGAAGGCATACCTTGTGTGAGACAGCTTTTTTCAAGCAAGACGATCCCTGAAAAGGGCTTAAAGCTGAGGGTTGTCTTCAGGTAGCACTCTCAGTAGCTGTAGGCATGAGTCCTTCATTTCCAAAGAATCTAGGCAGCGTATAATAACAGCCATCACAGATGCCCATCACCAAAACTTCTATTCAGTGTTGTCTGGAAGTCAATACTGCCAATGCAATAAGACAAGAAAAACCGTAAGAGTTACAAGGATTAGAAAGAAAAATTGCCATTATTCACAGATAATATGATTATCTTTAAAAAAACTCAAAATAATGTACAGAAACATTATTATAATGAATAAAAACAATTAAGAACATGGCTGAAAATAAGAGTAATATATAAAAATTAATTGCATTTCTAAATACCAGTTAAAACAGAATTCCTGAAGAAACTCTTACATACACACCAGGAGACATGTACAAGAATGTTCATTGTTTCAGTATTTGTAGTAATGACACCGTAGAAACAATGCAAATGTCTGTTCATGGAGAATAATAGATCAATTATGGTATATCCACACATGAAATTGTATGCAGCAGTGAAAATTAATGAACACACAACACAGATATATCTGAGAAATAGTTTTGAGCAAAAAAGGCAATTTCTTGAAGACTACATAGAGTGTAACTTTTTTTAAATGAATATAATCAAAAGTACACTTTGAATTATTTAGATAAATATACATGCATAATAAAATATTTTTTTAAACAAAGATCATACAAAGGAAAATTTCAACATAATAGTTGCTGGGATAAAAGAGGAGAATGGAATTGGAAAATAACACACATGTAACCTTAATAGGGAAAGTTCTTACATCAGGTGGTGGGTTCATGGGCATTTGTTTTATGATTATGCTTTATAAGTTGTACATATATTACAAATGCTCTTTTATAAGTATCAATAATTTTGAAGTTGTAAAAAATATTTTTAAAGAAAGAAAATTCAGCATCACAACATATAGTAGATATGGTCTGTTAAGGAAAAGAAATTCAATGACCCTTGTTAAAGCACAATAAGGGAGATTTTATTTAGGACCATCCCAATGCAATGCGATTTTTCCATGAAGGAGAGAGATTGAGCTCAACTGTGAATACAGCATGGGCAAGGGGGAATTTATAGCCAAGAAGTAAGGTAGGAACCAGTGGTTGGAAAATCAGTGAGAAGTAACATCAGGAGCGACGGGGATTTTGACTCAACCATTCTAACATGATGTTTGCTGAAGACAGGCCAGTGCGACCAGACATCACCTGGGGGATGGTGGAAGATGAGGAGCCTGATCAGTACTGAGAGTGATCAGGTATAGAGGGTAGGGATTCCTTGCTAAACTGATTTAGCAGGGTTTTTGCTAAAACTGGATTTTACAAGGAAGTGCACAAGTGAGTCTAAAGGTTCAGGAGGCTGACTTATGTTTGGTTAACAAAGAATCTTTGCCAGAACTATAGTGGAAGGACTAGAAAAGCCTTCGTGGAGAAGATGGATGAGATTCTGGCCTTGAATTACAAATAAGATTTGAAGAACAATTACATTAATCTGAGAGCCAAGAGACCCCCAGGGAGGTCAGAGTCTTCCCTGATTCCTTACCTGGTAGGTGATGAGGGAAGCAGTACTTAAAGATTTCTTGGGCAAAAGTGCAACCTTTTCCAAAATAAGGAGAAAAACTCACTCTTGCTTCTGTCTGTGATGGCTGTGGGGCCTTTGTGAAGTGTTGGCTTGAGACACAAAAGCATGGACAATAGAGAGACTGCCCAGGATGACAATATTAACACATTAGACCTGGGCTCAGGTACACGTACCAGGGAGCATTCTAAACTTCTGGAATTTGAGCAGGACAAAGTTTCTAATTGATATATAAAGCATGATCACAAGGCTAGTTCTTTGAGAATATTATGATGTTAATCAGTGGATGTCTATTGTTTTTGCTGCCTAATCATACCCATCTACTTTTCTTCAAGGCACCAGACCTGACTTTTGCTTATAGCACTATTCCCTCAACTTTCAGCCCCTGTAGTTTAGATGGGTTTTTCTCCCACCAGCTCCAGGAGTGGGTGGCTGACCCAGGTCTAGAAAATCAAATCACTTCTTTCTAATTAGCCATAATGATAGCTTAGGGTTGGGTACTTAATGAAAGCCAAACCAAAAACATACACTCTTGGGTTTTTACTAGGGCAATAGAGGAAAAGAATTGCTCTTCCTATTGGAGTTGCTGAAGGAATTGGTGCAAAGTCTGGTGCTGATGGCAGCCGTCTTGCCGCCATGAAGCGAGGGACTGAGAGCGAAGTGGAAAGCAGAGCCACTAGAGAAGAGGAACAGCTTGCTCATGGTGGGTCTTCTGTTAATTACACTGAAAGAGACTTGGGTAATGCCTTGGGGTGATTTGAGAAAAGCCCTGCAGTGCTGGATTGAGAGAAGCAGTGTGGCGTGGTGGAAGAAGAAAGAGACGTGACTCACAGATTTTCCTCTTCTTCAAACTCACTGCAGGACTCTGAAAAAATTATTTAATCCCCCTGGCCTAAATTTTCTCATCTATAAAAGAGAGATTATTAATAGATTGTCATAGTTTGTCATGATTAAATGTGTGAATGCCGTGTTTGATACACAGAAAGTATCCAATAAATATTATCTTTTATTCCTTCTATTAGCATTCTTACCTCCTTTTCCACCCTCTGCAGTGCCTTACTTTCCCTTCACCACAAAAAATAGTACTTTATTTCCAAAAAATTGACAGAGAGAGAGAGAGAAGAGATTGAGATTATTGATCTAGTATCCAAGACAAATACAAGCTATTTAAGTCTGAAACAAGACAAGAAAAAGTAGTTTCTTGCCAGAGAAAGATGCTAGCAATGACTGCTTAACAGATGCCAGCCCTGTTAGGTTTTCCTTGACATTGTGAGCCAAGCTTCACTCAAGCCTAATCCGATTGTTCCAACCCCAGAGAACTTGTCTGCAAGTTGGAGAGGATTAACAAAAAATACCTCACAGCTCCTGCAGTTGTGCAAACATCTAATGCTTTTCATGTCTGATGTGTCCAGACACATTCAATGTCACCTGAATCTTGATAAGTTATGAAGCCAGAGATTTGTAATAACAGTGTATGTAATAACAGGTGCCCCATTTTTCAAAAAGGGATAAGAACATCTAGAATCCACAAAACACAGAATGCTTACATGGAGGAGCCCCAGGAATTCTCCGCTTACAAATCAGCACCCAAAGTAGGTAACCTGCCCAAGGTCCCTTATCTGTTTTAAATCACAAATCCTTTTTTTTTTTTTTATTGCTTTTCTCTGCTTGAATCAGGAGGAAATTTGAGCCCAAGATGCAAATAGACTTCAGCTTACATGCCAACTCCAATCAATCATTGCTTTTTGGAGAAGCACTATATTGAGAAAGATTCCCAGTCTAGCCTTAAAAGAAAATGGTGCTATCATCAATAAGCAATACCAGCCATGGACAACAGTTAGGATGGGAGGCCTGTCTGCCACATGTTTGCTGACCTTGAATTCTGGGCCAACAAGGTAGTTATAGCAGGGATGGGGACGGGAAGGTAAAATTTTAGGTTACTTGTACTCTCTGCCCTTCTTCCTAGACAGGCCCTGTATTTCTACTTATCCCACTGTGTATTTTATTTTTTGTGGTGAACCTGGTGGTTAGGGTGGCTGTGAATCCGTGCTCCAGTTTTTTTCCATCCTACATTAAATAAGAAGACAAATTGCAACATTGGGTCTTGAACCAGCCAGATAACAAGTTTTGTTTGTTCCTCCTCTTATGGGGGATGATCCCCTAGCCAAAGATGTCACAGATTCTGGAACACAGGAGAGGCTTCATGTATTATTTGATAAGACCTGATTTTATAGGTGAGGAAACTGAGTCCTGAAGTAGGGAAATGGCGTTGAAGTTATAGAGGGAAACACAGACTACCGGTCTTTCCACAATACCATAGACATTTGCTTTATTCTTCCCCCAAATTTATTTCCCCAGTTATGGTAAATCTAGAAAATTTTGGGAAAAAAAAAAAGCTAAATTACTGGCCCTGTGGGATACTGCAGTTTTAGCAGAGAAAATGCAACATAGATACAAAGTGGCAATGACTAGCTTATGTCTCAAAAGCAAGTGACAGAGAGTGACAGGAAGACTTTGAAATGACAGTGGTAGTGTTATTCTACTAAGAAGCACCTCCACTTTCTAATTATATCAGGAGTCACTCAGAAATCTTTTCCTATGGTCCAGAATGTAACACATCGCTTTATGGTAATATCTGCTAAAGACAGTATATGAATATATTGATAGTCTTGCATTTTGATGATTTTGAAAGTTTTGATGTTTTTGTATTTGTTTTAGCCTCTACTCTGGGCTGGGTGTGTTGCTAGGTGTCAGAAAGACAGAGATGATAAAGCACAGTCCCCGCTTTGCAAAGCTCACATCTAGTTGGAGAGACAAACAGGCAAAAATAATAATAATAAGGTATGGCACAATATAAATGGAATTATAAATGTGTACATAGGTACAATATCACAAAGTCTAGAATGATTAACTTTGGAAGGCACTAGGAAATTTTTTACAGAAACAACATCTGGGCTAGGTTTAAAAGGGCTGGGCTTAACATGAAGAGGAATTCGTTACTAGCTTTTATACACTTACCCGTTCAATAAACATACTAACTCACCCAAGGCATGTCAATCACCGTGTTAGGCACTGAAGATTGGGAGATACATAAGACAGGGTCCTGAACTCTCTAATCTCCAGACTAAACAAGAGGCGCTTACATAAACAAAGTATTACATTACAGTGTGTTCAAAGCAATAGTCAGTGGGAGCACCAAGTAAAGACATAGGAAAGGCTGTGCTTAGGAAAGGATGTGACTGGTCTTTTTTTCTCTGTGTTTGGAATGCCCCTTTTCAGCGAGTATGTATGGATCATTATGACAAAATTGGAATATCAAGGGGACAGTGACTATTTATGAGCAAATCAATGAGCAGATAAGGAACTGAAAAAAATGACTGAAATCCAGCTATCAACCTCCATTTAACAAAAATTCCTACGCATTTACCTTGTGCTAGGCACCATACTAATTTCAAAAAACACAAGAGAGAGAAATACTAAGCAGCCATGAAACCAAGAGGGTAATGGTATAGGTGATAAGAGTCAGTCTTCCTGGGCTCAAATCCTAGTTTCCCAACCCACTAGCCTCAGGATCTTTGACAAACTGTTCTCTGTACTTCAGTTTTTTTCATTTACAAAAAGCAGATGACAAATAACTCTGCTAGTTGTGATATTAAAACCATAAAAGAGGCAAAGTGCTTAACCCAGTCCCTAGCAAATGCTAAGTACCCAATAAAAATGTCTTCAACAAAGAAGACATTAATCATGCTAACAGTCTAAGATCCAAATGATAAGTAGAACTTTGTCAGAAAAAGAGCAGGGAACATGCAGGTTTTAATCAAAGAAATGACATAATTAGATTAAATTTTTAAAACATTTTTATTAAAGAAATTTAAAACAATATACAAAAACAGAGGACATAATATAACAGAGAACATAATATAACATGCTCTAATATTCATACCTCTCAGATTCCACAATTACCTAGATTTTGCCACATTTGCTTCATCTGTCACATTTTTATTTGCTTAAAAATTTTTAAATGTTATAAATTAAAGACATAATTTTACCTTTATATACCTAAGCATGCATCTTTTTAAAATATGGATATTTTCTTACAAGACTCACCTTGCTCCTTTATCTCTCTGCCATGAAGAAAAATGAGAGGGCATGTCAAGATAGACTCCCATCAGCCTGGGCCCTTAGTAGATAAATAGTTCCTAAGATTTCGGTTATTTTCATTGCACTATAATCTACTCTATTTTGTCTAATGTAGGTGGTATTGTGAACCACCTGTTGCATCACATCACAGGGCACATAATTTCTGGTTGTCCCACTTTCAGTAATGCTAAGATTCATTAGCGCCTTCCCTCTTCTCAAGCACTTATGAAATATTCTCCAGAATGGATCACATGGTAGGCCATAAAATAAGTTTCAACACATTTTTAAAAATTGAAATCATATAAAATATGTTCTTCAAACACAACAGAATTAAACTAGAAATCTACAGCAGAAAGAACTACGGAAAATACACAAATACTTTGAAATAAAGCAACACATTTCTAAATAACCCATGGATCAAAGTTGAAAATGCAGGGTAAATCTTAACTGAATGAAAATGAAAACACAACATATCAAAATTTATGGGGTGCAGCTAAAAAGGTGCTTAGAGAGAAATGTGTAGCTTTATATGATTGTGTTTTTAAAAAGGAGAAAAATCTCAAGTCAGTAACCAAAGTTCCCACCTTAGGAATCTAGAAAATGAAAACAAACTCAATACAACGTAAGGAGATGAAAGGAAATAGCAAAGATTAGAATGGAAATAAATGAAATATAAAACAAAAAAGTAAGTTAATAAAATCATAAGTTGATTTCTTTGAAAAGATCATCAAAATTGACAATCTTTAGTGAGACTAATCAAGAAAAAGAAATCAGAAAGGAAAAAGTTGATACCACCAGCTCTACAGAAATTAAAAAGGTAAGGAAATACACAAACAATTTTACACCAACAAATAGATAATTTATATAAAATAAACAAATTCCTAGAAAGACACTGGTTACCAAAACTGATACAAGAAGAAGTAGAAAATCTGAATAGATCCAAAACAAATAAAGACATTAAATTAGTGATTAAAATATCTTTACACACACACACACACACACACACACACACACACACACAAAAGCTCAGGCCTGGATGGCCTCATTGGTGAATTCTATCAAACCTTTAAAGAAATAAGAGCAATCCTCTACAAATTCTTCCGGAAAATACTGAGAAAAAGATCACTTCTCAACTCATTCTATAAGACCAGTATTACTCTGATACCAAAGCCAGACAAAGTTACCACACAAAAAGAAAATTACAGACCAATATCTCTCATGAATATAGACATTTTAATTATATCAATTATTTCTATCTATGAACATGGAATGTTTATCCATTTGTCTGTGTCATCTCTGATTTCCTTGAGGAGTGTTTTGTAATTGTCGTTGTAGAAATATTTCATCTCTCTGTTTAGCTGTGTTCCTAGGTATTTTATTCTTTTTGTGGCAATTGCGAATAGGATTGCATTCCTGATTTGGCTCTCAGCTTGGCTATTATTGGGTGCATAGAAATGCTAGTGATTTTTGTACATTGATTTTGTATCCTGAAACTTTGCTGAAGTTGTTTATCAGCTGAAGGAGCTTTGGGGCCGAGAATATGGGGTTTTCTAGCTATAGAATCATGTCGTCTGCGAACAGGGATAGTTTGACTTCCTCTCTTCCTATTTGGATGCCTTTTATTTCTTTCTCTTACCTGATTGCTCTGGCCAGAACTCCTAACACTATGTTGAATAGGAATGGTGAGAGAGGACATCCTTGTCTTCTGCTGGTTTTCAAGGGGAATTCTTCCACTATCCTTTGCCTATTCAGTATGATGTTGGCTGTGGGTTTGTTATAGATGGCTCTTATTATTTTAAGGTATGTTCCTTCAATACCCAGTTTATTGAGAGTTTTTAATATGAAGGGATGTTAAATTTTATTGAAAGCCTTTTCTGTGTCTATTGAGATAATCATGTGGGTTTTGTCTTTAATTATGTTTATGTGATGTATCATATTTATTGGTTCGTGCGCACTGTACCAACCTTGCATCCCAGGAATAAACCCTACTTGATCATGGTGGATTAGCTTTTTGATGTACTCCTGGATTCCTTTTGCAAGTATTTTGTTGAGGATTTTTGCATCAAGGTTCATCAAGGATATTGGCCTGAAATTTTCTTTTTTAACTGTGTCTCTCCTAGGTTTTGGTATCAGGATGATGTTGGCCTCATAGAATGAATTGAGGAGGTGTCCCTCCTCCTCAATTTTTGGGAATAATTTCCATAGGAATGGTACCAACTCTTCTTTGTACATCTGGTAGAATTCAGCTGTGAATCCATCTGGAGTGGGTCCTTTTTTGGTTGATAGGTTATTTATTGCTGATTCAATTTTAGAGCTCATTATTGGTATGTTCAAGGAATCAATTTCTTCCTAGTTCAGTCTTGGGAGGGTGTATATGTCCAAGAATTTATCTATCTCTTCTAGGTTTTCTACTTTGTGTAAATAGAGGTATTTATAGTAGTTTCTGATGGTTGTTTTTATTTCTGTGGGGTCAGTAGTAATATCCCCTTCATCATTTATAATTGTGTTTATTTGGGTCTTCTCTCTTTTCTTCATTATTCTAGTTAGTGGCCTATCCATTTTATTAATTTTTTTCAAAAAACAAAATTCCTGGATTTATTGATCTTTTGAATGATTTTTCTTTTCTTGATCTCCCTAAATTTAGCTCTCATTTTTGTTATTTGTTGTCTTCTGCTAGCTTTACTACCCCCACATGTTTTAAAGAAATTGCTGGACATTCTATCATCTGAGTACTTTCCAGCACCTTGAAGAGACATCATTATCCAAATCCCTGTCCCTTTTCTCAACTTCTGCCAATCTGGTGTTTCGTTAAAGTTCATTTCTTTATTGAAAGATTTTGATTTCCTTTAAAAATTCAACACAGCTTGGCCGGGCACGGTGGCTCACGCCTGTAACCCCAGCACTTTGGGAGGCCGAGGCGGATGGATCACGAGGTCAAGAGATCGAGACCATCCTGTCTAACATGGTGAAACCCCATCTCTACCAAAAATACAAAAAAAATTAGCCGGGCATGGTAGCGGGTGCCTGTAGTCCCAGCTACTCGCGAGGCTGAGGCAGGAGAATGGCGTGAACCCAGGAGGCGGCGCTTGCAGTGAGCCGAGATCGCGCCACTGCACTCCAGCCTGGGTGAGAGTGAGACTCCATCTCAAAAAAAAAAAAATTCAACACAGCTGTGTTTCACAGAGATACTTAATGCACAGTTTGACTTAAAAATAGAATCCTTCTGTTAGCCAGAAGATAGCGGAGAAGAAGGTCAGATGTAATGGTAACTTCATTCTCAAACCCTCTTCGGATTCCTGACTTTCCCATAAAAATACTGAGGTTTGGTTGGCACTAGACAGCCCCTAGTCAAGTGCACCTGTGTATGGGGGCAGAGAAAAGAAGCACCTCATTCTTCTTAGAAAAGATCTTGACTGATGGCAACCGCTCAGCCTCTTGTCCTCGACTTCTTAGAGTCATGGTTCAGAGACAACTTCCTACTCACGTCCCCAAACACTTGGATGTTGTGTTACAGCCCTGCATACTTGTTAAGTAAAAAAGCTTTTGTCCCACTTGGAGTCTTTTTTGTTATTACTTGCAGTCTGAAGCTGTTTTAACTTATCTCAATGCCCTTTGTCACTGATATCTGCTTTGTTCTATAAACTGTGCCTACATGAGGGCTGAAGCTCAGTGCTTAGTTGCCAGTGATTTCCTTAAGCTCCCTGAGACCTCCATTTCCCCACCTCTAAAACAGGGCTCATTTTCCTACCTACTTCATATAATCACTATGATGATTAAATTAAACATGGTACCCAAAGAAGCATAGCACCATGCCTTGAATATGCTGTTATTGTTGTACTTACCCATTTATCTCATGTGTGTGGTTCAATCTTCCACATTTATCTCCTATTCTGAGAGACCTTTTTCCTGTCCACTTAGGTGATGATGGTTAAGATGATTATGATTGGGATTATGATGATTATGATTGTCTGTCTAAGGTAAGGTTCTTAATCATCATGAGTCTGAATATTCTCATATGTAAAATGGGATTTTAACGTTTTGTAAAGAAAAAAAAAAGTTGTAGTGTGGATTAAACAAATAGTGGATATAAAAGCAGCCAACACTGTGCCTGACACATTGTAAGTACTCAACAAAGATTTGAGTGATGGTAAGAGCCTAGGCTGGGTCACTGGTTTAGGTGGAAGTATTTTTCTGACAAAGTGAAAAGATTCAGGTGTCATCCTTTGGGTGGGTGGAGAGACACAGTTCTCCTGTGCCTGTACAGGGGACCCAAATCAGTGTCATTTTCAAACATAAAGTTATTTGAGCTAATCTGAGTAGTTTAATAAATGTCACAAATTTCCAGAGTTCTCCAGGCACATTAAAATGAGGTTATTCCATTATTGTCAATTCTCTCCAAATTATCAACCATAGTCAACTAATCATTTATCTGTTCCCAGAGCTAGAAAATCAATCCATTTTAGGTAGGTTATGAATCTAGTTCTAGAACTCAGTAGCCTTTGTGCTACTAAACTCAGCTGAACAGGCCCCCAGGGATGAAGGAGTGGGAAGGAGACAGCACTATACTGGAAAAAGTGGTTTTAATTTTAACTTTTATTCTGTATTAACCATTTTCCCACACTGCTTTGTAAATCACAGCAAGGAAAGAGAACAAAGTAATAAAAACAAAATATATTCAAATAAAGCCCCACAGTACAACATAGCAGTAGGTGATGGTGCCCTTGGGGGGCTTATTTTTTTTAATGCCTCATTTGCGTCTGATTTTGAAATTTCAGAAGGCAGAAAAAAACCTTAGTTTTGACTTGTTTAAAAAAAGTAGAAGTTTAGATTGCCTTTGAATCAATGTACAAAACATGGTCCCTTAAAGCTCCTTTTTTTTTTTTTCCAGGACACCATTCTGAGGACCTCATCCATTTCTTAGTAAAAATCAAAGAGACTGTTAAGGTTCTTACTTCTCAGATTTGTTTAGGGCTATTATATTAATCTATCTCTACGTACAATGGAGTTGCATCATATACACACTCAACTCCATGAATTCGACTTTGTGTATTTGGCAAAAGAGAACTAGCTAGAGAGGACTGGGAAAGTTCTGGCGAGGCCACCTGCCATTTTTCTTGCCCCTGAGCAACACTGGTTGGTTTCAGGGTAAACTCTCATTGCAAAAGTGCTTGTCCAGGCCAAAAGTGAATCTGTGATGGAAATTCATATTTTTTGCCTCTACACTTCTTTGTTTGGTGATCAAAGGAAGAGACAGCAACATCTTCTCATCCTGGAGGGAAATGTAATGGACTTTCAAGAGTAGTTTTAGCTATATAGTCAACATCAAACCAACCCACAAAAAGATGTGACTCTCCTGCACACCAGATGCAGGAGACATGAATTGGGATGGCTGCCCAGATCACAGCAGTTGCCTCAGTGGCACCTTATGTCCCATGTTCGTGGCTGAATAATCCTGGGACAGAGACATCTGATCTAAGCCAGAACAATCAGCTTCTCTCTTAGGAACCTGAAACCCTAAAACCCAAGTGGAAAGGTGCAGAGGGGTGTCTCTGCAGCAGAGTCATTTGAGTGATATTTCCAATGACCCCCAGGGCTGAAATCCCCCAAACTGCTCTGATTTTGGCTCTTTTCAAATCCTAATTGTTGGGCAACTCTTACAATTCTATGAGCTTTCCTAATATCTTCAAGTAAGTTAGCCAGTTTCTTTCTGTTTGCTACTAACAGAACCTTAATTAATACACCAAGCTATCATCCCCTTAAGTTAACAGCTTCTTGGAATTAGAACTAAGTCATTAACAGAAGCTCAAAGGGCCCAGAGGGTGCCTAGTGCTTTAACAGCTCTGAATGGCACAAAATGAAAATGTCAAAAGGCAGAATCAGAGCAGTTCAGCGACATAGGCTGGTGTTTCCCAAAGTGGTTTCCTCAAACCCTAGTTCAGCAAGATGATCTCTGATAAAAAGGTACCATGGTCAAATAAGTTTGGGAAATGAAGTACACTCTATTCCTCACCTTCAAAGTCATACGAATAAGCCTTTCAGATGCACTCAAAAGCCCTGAAGTAGACATTCGATTTCCTTAAACCAGAATTTCAAAAACATATTAAAAATAGCATCTAATCTTCTCTATCTCCATCCCTGTACCTGACTCATCTCGTACCCCAAACCCTATTAACACACACTTTGAGAAGCATTAATAGAGGCTATGGGGAGAAAACCTCTAGTGCAATGCTGCCTGGGAGCTTTGGCTTTTACACTGATAACTCTGGTTAAACGTTTTGGTCCCTCCATCACTTCTCAGGTGTTTACTGAGAATTACAAAGGGCTCAGCCCTGTGTTGGATGCTCTGGGAGCAATCATACTGTGATTAGAGGCGTGGGAGGACATGATGGGAGTCTTAACTCTGATCTGGAGTTCAAAACTGACTTGCTTTCTTGGGAAAAACTTGATCTCTTTACGACTCTGTTTCCTCATCAAATGGGGCTATTGCAATCAACCTCACCTCACCATTGAATAAAACAGATCTACTAGAATAATGAATATAAAGGCACTTTGCCAACTTCCAGACATCAAATAAGTATCAGCTATTACAGAGAATAAATAACTTAGAGAATGATGCCAGATATTATGGAGAGAAAGCCTGCTAACCACAGGATTGCAGCCTTATGCCTTGTGATTTTTGAACGCAATAAATACTTTAATATCTAAGCCAGGAGTGGTGGCTCACGCTTGTAATCCCAGCACTTTGGGAGGCTGAGGCAGGCTCCTGAGGTCAGGAGTTTGAGACCAGCCTAGCCTGGCCAATATGGTGAAACCCTGTCTCTACTAAAAATACAAAAATTAGCCAGGCATGGTTGTGGGCACCTGTAATCCCAGCTCCTCTGGAGGCTGAGGCAGGAGAATCACTTGAACCTGGGAGGAGGAGGTTACAGTGAGCCGAGATCTTGCCACTGCACCCCAAACTGGGTGACAGAGTGAGACTCTGTCTCAAGAAAACAACAAAACAAAACTCTAAAATCACAGCTGAGTTTTAAGTCCATCGATAATTTACTACCAAAATGAGAATTTTCATTTGTACCAGTACCTGTTAATTATTTTGCAATAACAAATCACCTTGAAACTCACTAGCATACAATAATCAATATATATTTCTCAATCATGTGTCTGGGGATGGCTGGGGTTCTTTGGGTCTAGACCAGGCTTGTTCAGGTTTGGCTCCAAGCCATGAGTTTGTCCACATCTGCTTCACGTGTCTCATTCTCCTTGGACAAGTGGCAATGACAATGGCAGAGGTAGAAGAGGGCACACCAACTACATAAGCACATTTCAAGCCCTAGTTCGGTCAGGTCCATTAATATCCCATTGAACAAAGCAAGTCACATGGTCAAGTTCAACATCTGTGGGTGGGGGAAGAAGAAGACTCTTCTGGATGTGGGGTGGGGGGAGAGGAAGAGAATATTTACTGAACAATAATCTAATCTACTACAGTATGGTTTTTGCCTTCTTTCATTTCAAGCAGGTAGTCAGACCCATAAGGAATTACTTCCTTGGGGATTATGTTGTGTAGAAGAGGCAGAGGAGGAGGTGAAATTACCTGAAGGCAACAACTTTTTCTGTCTTTCATAAGAGCTTAGAAATTATTGAAGAAAGCCATACCTTTGAGGTCAACCAGAAATGAGAGAATGTCTTTGAAGTAACTCAGAGGGGAAAGGAAGGCAGTTTGCAAAATTTAAAGAGATTAGTGTTAGAATGGGGAGATCATCTGCTAAAACATGGCTCCCAAGTGCAGAGCTACTTTATCTTCAAAAAAACAAACAAAAAAAATCCTTCAGCCCCATAGGGAACTCAAAATACTCAAAATAGAGCCCTCATATCTACAATGACCACTGAGCCCCAAGCTGTGAGCACATCTCTGGCCATCATGATAGCATGGGGTTTGGAGCCCCATCCCTGTCCTCTGGACACTATCTAAGAGTCCTGGATTCAGATGGGACCCTGGGATGGCACAGGGCCTTATCATAGCTGAGGCTAAATTTCCTGCTGGGTTACACACTCAGAGGCAGAATAGGTTTCTCTCTGAAAAATTAAGGAGATGATACATCATACATATCTGTATTTATGGCCTAAGATTCCATACCTACTGCATGGATAATTAATTTATTTAATTTTATTTTTGCTACTATGAATGGTATCCTGGCCTCTTTGGGTGACTTGATGTTGGTTGTCAAATTTAGCAAATATGTATAGGATGTCCAGTTAAATCTCTATTTGAGATAAACAATAAATAATTTCTAGTATAAGTGTATTCCACATAATATTTTGGACATACTTATACTAAAAAAACTACTCTTTGTTTATCTGAAATGGAAATTTAATTGGATGTATTTTATCTGGCAATTCTATGTAGGGCTTTATAAGCTTGAAGAATTCTTTGACAAGTAAAGGATAACTTTTTGCCAGCCTGGCCTGTTCTATAGCTATACACCATACTTTGAGGACTAGGGTTGCTCAGAAGTCAGCGTGGAAGAAGCAGAAGGTAGACTCTCCACTGGGGACACGGAGGAGTGGTGAGCTCTGCTGTCCCTAGTGAACCAAGTGCTTCACCCATGACGTGCCCCTTCGTTTGGAAGACATGTCAGACGAGAGCAGCGGGAATTCTCACATCCAGCCTACTTCTTCCCTGACCTTACTAATTTAAGATGGTTTCCACAATTTTGTGGACATAACTGGGTAATCTAATAAAGGTAGATTAAATTACAGCTGAGTATTTTCAGATCCGAACATGGGAAAAATGTATCTTGTTTCAAAAAACGATAAACCGCCCCACACTTGTTTTGTTTTTCTTTCATCTGGGAACTGGGCAAACAGGAACTATCTCGAGTTATTATATGTGAAAGTCTGTGCAGTTGGGTTGGTTTTTCTAACCAAAAAAAAAAAAAGGGGGAAAAAAGAGGAAGAAAAGAAAGAACAGAAAAGAAAAAATTTAAAAAGAAAACCTTTAAATCCACAAAATTTTTTTTTCTCATACCAAAAATGTAAGGGACCTGAACTACAACTTTAGAAATAGATATTTAATTTTTTAGAAAGTACCAATGTTTCATCAACACACACACACACACACACACACACACACACACACACATTTCTAACCAATGTTTCAACACACACACACACACACACATTTCTAACCAATGTTTCAACACACACACACACATTTCTAACCAATGTTTCAACACAAATACACACACACACATTTCTAACCAATGTTTCAACACACACACACACAAACACACACATTCACATTTCTAAAGGCTTGTTGAGTAAAAAAATGCCAGCTACCAAATCACTTAGGTAATTCTGTGAGCAGAAAAACAAAAAAAAAACAAAAAACAACAAAAAACAACATGGGTTTGAACCAAATGAAATATTGGCCCTGTTTAGGTTCAGCTGGCAGCATATTTAAATACAGAGATTTTGATCTGGTTCAATAGGTTTAGAAAATTAGCATGGTGAACTCTAGGTTTTAGTTCACATTGGAGGTTGAGTCCCAAGAGAGAAAATGATGGTCTTTTCTAATTTGCGTCTTTAAGCCAGTTTGTTTAAAGTTTCCCTTTACTTACTTTTTGTTCAGCAATATTAGGTTGGCATGGTGGTCTCACAAATAACAGCATATCTCCAGTGAAGCGGAGTTTCTTTGCTTAAAACTTGTGGGTATTTCTTGGGCATTTTCTCATGAGCAGAGTGTGATGGACAGGACCCATGTGGAGTCGCACAGGCCAGGGTTGACCAGAAGACCATTGGCAGTGCAGTCTCATTCTCTTTCAGATTCCCTCCAAGAACTGTTTTTCCTTCTTGCTTCAGCAAATGAATTTGGAGCTTCCCAGAACTCAGAAGGTTCAAGACGAGATGCTCAGTGCTCCAGAAAATGCAAGATGCTTTCCTTAACTCAGACAATGCAAATTCTCAATCTATTGGCTGATGCTGACCTTTCCATGTTTTAGGAATAAAGTGTCTGAAAACAAAATGAGAATATGTACAAAAAAGCAACAACAAAAAACTTCAGGGAGTATAAAATATCCAAGAGAACAAACTGTTTTAAGCACTATAGAACTCTTCAGAAACACCTATATATTCAGTGTACAATTACAAATAATTCATAGGTGGTTTCTGAAATATTTTAAGTTCCAGGATACATGTGCAGGATGTGCAGGTTTGTTACATAGGTAAACGTGTGCCATGGTGGTTTGCTGCACCTATCAACCCATCACCTAGGTGTTAAGCCTCACGTGCATTAGCTATTAGCTATTTATTTTTAAAGTTTAAAATTTTTTTTTAAATAGGTAAACCCTCTCCCACCACCACCACTCCCCAAATATACCCCGCACATCCAAAATGTATTTACAAAGCAGGAGGGGTGTCTATCCTGGTTTGATCATACACTCAGCCTAATATCCTAAAATTGCTGTAAGTACAGACCTTTAAATTCAGCCATGTAGGAACTTCAAGCTTTGCGTGGCTACAGTTCCTTGATTTTGCAGTTGAGTGAACTGAAATTCAGAGAAGTCAGGTGAAGCGACTTACCTAAGGTCACATGGTTCATGATTTATGAGGGCAGGATCAAAGCTTAAATCTCCTGTTCTTGAGTCAGAGCATAAAAGGAATCAAAGCTCATAACAGTGTTCCTGAAGCCTCACAACAATGCAAATCATACCAGGACAACTGACCTTTAGCCATCCTCCAGTCCTTACTAGGCCAGAAAGAGAACCTGGATGTTCTGGAAAGATGTTGAGTAATCCCAGGATTGGAACAAAAGCATTTTCTGCTTGACCCTTAATACTTTTAATACTCTGAAATACTCTTAATGTTCTGAAACAACTCAATTTCTCCAAGTATTTATAGCTGTTTTGCATTGTGTGGGGAACCCTTACATTCTAGGTACCCCACTTTTCCATATCAATCAGAAGGGTCTTTGTTAACACACGCTTAAGCTAGGGTTTTTCTAAGCTTTCCTATGAGAGTCCCGCGCAACTGAAACTTGCTTTTCATTACAGTTTGGGGGTCTTGACATTTAGGACACCACTGTCTATCATGGGATGATTAATTAATATTTTGCCATCTCTCTGATTCCATGAGCAGAACATCATTGTTCAGCTTCCAGTCTTTCTTTATGCCAACAACAGCAAACCCTGACTCTAGGTTGACAAAGAAGAGAAAATTTGTAAACATCCTGGGATTAATTACTACTGGGATCTGTCTGCCCATCCACGCTAATAAAGTATGAGACTTCCCCCTATTTATCATCTTTATTTCCTCAGAGACATCAGAAAACAGCCCTCCCTAACAAAATGGAATGAATCTGATTAATGCAGGAGCTCAGCAGCCCGAATCCTTCATCACACCATCAGAAACAAAAAAGGAGGGGGGCATCCAATACAAAGTGCCTGCATAACCTTTTGTCTCTCATAGCCCCCTGTCACCAGCCAGATTAGCATCGGAGGCAGGGAGCGTAAAGGCCTGACATTCGGCTCTGTGTTTTAGCTGAAACTAATTTCCTTTCCAGCATTCGAGGCCCTGGCCACTGGACCTTCCTGGCAGGTCTGGTTCTTTTGCCAAGGAACGAATGTCAAGGGCTTTCTTGTCTTAGAAAGGAACGCACTGTTTCACTGGCCTGCAGCAGGTTGCAGGGGACCCAAACACCAGGTCAGAGCCCCGTATGTGCTGGCTGTCCCCTTGAGCAGGTCTTTGCATTCTTTTGAAAGAGAAGGGGACAGCAGGGTTAAGGGAACAGATTCTTGAGAAAGAAGGAGAAAGACAGGAGTCAGCAAAAATAAGCCATAAACTCTGGTAAACATTAGGTCCCTAAGGACCTAAAACGGCCTTTAAGCCCCTGCATGGTTGATCTGTGTCCTTTTCCAGCTTCCCCTCCTTTCACATATCCTAACATCCTGTGCCCCAAACACACTGACCTTATTTCAGAGCCAAGCTCCATCCTTCCACAAGACTTTTGCACAGGGCTGTCCTCACCTCTTCAACGTCACCCATCCCACTACCACCCCTCTCCCCTTTATCTAGCTAACTCCACCAAACTCTTAGGTCTTAGTTCAAAGATCACTTCCTCAGGTTGTCTTCCCTGAACTTTTAGGCTAGGTCAGGCCCACCTGGGTAACAATTCAGAACACCTGCTTCCATTGGGATTTTACATTTATTAGCGGGGTCGTTTGAATCATGTCTGTTCCTTTTACAAGACTGTAGTCTCCATGAAGCTAACTCTTACATCTTGTTTCCATGGTATCTGCAGAACCCAGGCCTCTTCATGGTATGGAGGAGACACGACTATGCAGGAATCATGAACAGCATTTTTACCAAGAAGAAAACTAAGTCCACTTGGCTTCTAATACAATGTTTTTATAATGCTTATAACCAGGTAGTCCAGAGGACCCAGATTTTAATCTTGACTCTCCATTTCATTGCTGTGTAAATTTGGCCAAGTTACATAACTTCTCTTAGCCTAATTTTCCTCTTTTACAAAATAAGATTAATAACATACCCTCATTGGCCAGGTGTGATGGCTCACGCCTGTAATCCCAGCACCTTGGGAGGCCAAGACAGGCAGATCATTTGAGGCCAGGAGTTCAAGACCAGCCTGGCCAACATGGTGAAACCTGTTTCCACTAAAAATACAAAAATTAGCCAGGCGTGGTGGTGCACACCTGTAATCTCAGCTGCTCAGGAGGCTGAGGCATGAGAATCACTTGAACCAGGGAGGTGGAGGTTGCAGTGAGCCAAGGTCATGCCACTGCACTCCAGCCTGGGTGACAGAGCAAGACTCTGTCTCAAATTAAAAAAAAAAGAAAAAAGAAAAAACCTTCACCATAAATTGACAAATGGGATAATATATATAACTAATATAATAATTATCAGCTATTATTAATCCAGGAGGGCTCAAAAGCTCAGACTTTATTAATTAAGAATTTATGATAATTCAGATAAGAACTTGACTGGCGCTGACTTTTTCAAAATCTATGAAGAACGTCAAGCTCATAAGAGTGATTCAGAACTTATTTGAGGGGAAGACGGACAGAAGAGAAGAAAGATTTAGAATGCAAATGGAAGGTTAACATTGTGGAGAGAGTATGTTTAAACTGCTTAAGAGGACAAATTGTTTTTAAAATGTCAAATTAGGCATTTTTAGAAGCATTTATTTACAGACAATTCTGTTATGGTAATTACAAATAGTTATTATTCTCTATGCATCAAAATAGGTTCCCTAAGGATTTCTACAGTACAGTTATTTATTAGCCTACTTCCTATTAGTATTAGTGCTTAAAAGTAAGAAAACTGCACACCCTTTCAAATATTTTATATTATAATTGATCTCAGTGGTTCCAGCAAGCCTGTCTCTCCCAACTCCAATGCTGCCATTCCTTTGGCGTCTTGCACAGAGTAAGCTCCTTCCTGCCTCCAAACTTTTGCACTTGCTCTTCCCTCCACCAGGAGCACCCACCCCTAAATCTTCACAGGGTATGTTTCTTCCTGTCACTCAGGAGCTAGGACAGGTTTGTTGCTCAGTGAGCACTTTTCTAAGAGGGCCCTCTCCTACTCACTCTACTTTGCTTGGCTTGGTTTAAATTATTTCACAGCTCCAACTTTTGTTGAAAATTACCCTAGATCCATGTGGGTTTCTTTAATGCCCAACTCTGCCCTCTAGGCTGAGGGCTTCCTGAGCAAAGTGGCTTCTCCTCTTTATGTCCCAGTGTCTGGCAGAAGGTCTGGAATGTAGTGAGGGCTTAGGAATTTTTAATTGAATGTATGATATGTACAGTTTCTACACCAATTTGAGTGGGTTAGGAAAAGCTGATTCGAGAGCTAATCCTGATAGATCCAAACAAATAAACAGAAAGTCCTTTAACCTCTTCAGCATAAGAATGCTTTCTTTCAGAAATAGTATTCAATTTGGCATTTTTACAGAAAATCAGCTGCCATACCAGCAAACATTGTGTAGTCAGGGAGACAGAAACTGTTTAAAGGGTGGTTAAGATTGACTGATGATTTAATGAAACAATCGACAATAAACCTCACCTTTCTCTCTCTCCCTACCCCACCTACACAGCTCCACCACCCTTTATGAAAGCTTTAACTTAGAAACACTTAGGACCAATTGTCTTGTTTTGTGAAATTAATATGAGCTGGAAGAAAGCAGTAATGGTGTCGTTATATGGTAGTGCAAATTCTAAGCTCAATAAACATTGCATCCGTCATCCTAGAAAGCTAATATAAACAGTGTGTTGTCATTGATTAATTTATTTAAGAATCTCCATCTGATTCACTCTCAGAGGAGCACCATGGAGAATTCATTATTTGATGATGAACGTGTTGATGCTGCCTTGCACTAATGAGGAAAGTTACTGACCCACAAAGATGACATGTCTTTTTCAAGGAAATTGAGGGGGGCCAGTTGGGCCAGGTGGGAAAGGAAAATCCTAATTCTTCCTGTTCTCTCCACCTGTCTACCTTCCCACTCCCTTGCCCTGGATTTTTCTCTTCCTGCTTTCAAATTTTCTTTCCCCTTTCATCTCTACTGCTTCCTTTCCACCCTTCAAAACCATCTCTTAGTGACTGCCTCTGTGCTGAGGTCTAGATTCGGAGAGTAGCTGGAAAAGAAGAAGATATTTCTAATACTAAAAATGACACAAATAAGCAAAGGCTCCCAACCCCAGGTACCTACAGAGACTGGGCAGATAATTTAAGCAAGTGAAGCAGACTGAATGTGACAATAGAGAGTGGTGGGGACTGTGGTGACCTGGAGAGGAGATATGCCTCCTCTAGAAGGAGTCAATGCCACCCAGCTCCATTCCATGTTGCCATGAAAAAATGTTACCCTCGCATGACCAGAACTTTCAAGCTGGAAATCTGAGTTTTTATGGGAATTTTTCCAAATTTTGAAACCCTATGTGAGCCCCCAAATTAGTGTTTGACTAGATTCAGCCCACAGACTGCCACTTGCAGCCCCTGATGTTAATTGTTCCTGGCTCAGAGTCTCTCTCCATGGCTAACCCACTCCACCTCCTGAGTACTCATCTTCCCTTCTTACCCCCATTTCCCCTCGTGCCCCAGCTCTTCTCCTTTTTAGAAAATTTTACTTTCTCTCTTTCATTCCCTCTGTGCCCTGTGTCTCTTTTCCTTCCATTGCCTCCAATGTTTTCAGAGTCGCATCCCCTTTCAAGGCTTGCTCAGACATCAGCAACACAGCGTTAGTGGAGAGGAGAAGAAAAGTGGAGCTAGAAGCATTAGGACCAATTTACCAGGCTGGGGAGGTGTGCGGTGGAGTAGGAAGGATGGGGAGAAGAAAATTAGCTTGGCCAGAGCCCCGGGCCCTTTCAAAGACCCATCTTAGAAAAATGTAGAGAACAACAAGGAGAGCTACAAGACACAGCTAAAAGAAATCACAGATGACACAAAGAAATAGAAAAACATTCCATGCTCATGGATTGGAAGAATCAATATCATTAAAATGGCCATACTACCCAAAGCAATCTACAGATTCAATGCTATTCCTATCAAACTACCAGCATCATTTTTCTCAGAAGTAGAAAAAACTATTCTAAAATTCACATGGAATCAAAAATGAGCCTGAATATACAAAGCAATTCTAAACAAAAAGAATAAAACTGGAGGCATCACATTACCCAACTTTAAACTATAGGCTACAGTAACCAAAACAGCATGGTACTGGTACAAAAACAGACACATAGACCAATGGAACAGAATAGAGAACCAAGAAATAAATCTCCACACCTACAGCCATCTGATCTTTGGCAAAGGTGACAAAAATAACCCTGTTTAATAAACAGTGCTGGGATAGCTGTCTAGCCATATGCAGAATAATAAAACTGGACCCCTACTTTTCACCATATACAAAAATTAACTCAAGATGGGTCAAAAATTTAACTGTAAGAACTCAAACTATAAGAATCCTAGAGGAAAACCTAGGAGCATTATTCTGGATGTAGACCTTGGAAAAGAATTTATTATTAAGTCCTCAAAAGCAATTGTAACAAAAACAAAAATTGACAAGTAGGACCTAATTAAACTAAAGAGTTTCTGCACATGAAAACACACTGTCAACAGAGCAAACAGACAACCTACAGAATGGAAGAAAATATTCATAAACTATGCATCTGAAAAAAAGATCTAACATCCAGAATCTATAAGGAACTTAAACAATTGAACAAGCAAAAAACAAATAACCTTATTAAAAAATGGGCAAAAGACATTAACAGACACTTCTCAAAAGAAGACATAACTGGCCAATAAACATGAAAAAATGCTCCACATCACTAATCATCAGAGAAATGCAAATCAAAACCACAATGAGATACCATCTCACACCAGTCAGAATGGCTATTATTAAAAAGTCAAAAAACAAAAAAAAAATGCTAGCAAGGCTGCAGAGAAAAGGGAACACTTATATACTGTTGATGGGAATGTAAACTGTGGAGTCCTAATTAGGGAAAAGAAGTCAGGCTGATGGGAGCAGAGGAAAGCAAAAAGAAAAACCAGATAAGCTACAAGTCTGCCTTTCTTCATGGTCCAGGACACATAGCCCTCCCGCACAAATTACTCACAATCTTCCTCCACCCAGCTATCATCAGACCTCTAGCTAATACAAAAAATTACAAGTTAGTTCACTGCAACCTTGGTGTTATTGATACTGCACAAGCCCTCATCAGCACACAGCACAGCACTTATTCTATTAAATGTCCAGCAAGCTTTTGTTTCTTTGCAGTCAGCCCCTCTTCTGCTGATTCTGCCCATTGCCCCTTGCAACGTATTTTCATACTCTCTAATGAGGTTGCCTTTCTTTACCTGCAACCATCTTGGTAATTTCTTTTACCCCTGTGCTACTGGCCCAGATAGTCAGTGCTCACCCATGATATAAACTAGTTTAGCCACTGTGGAAAGCAGTTTGGAGATTTCTCAAAGAATTTAAAGCAAAACTGCCATTCAACCCCACAGCCCCATTACTGGTATATATATCCAAAAGAAAATATATTGTTCTACCAAAAAGACACATGGACTCACATGCTCATCACAGCACTATGCACGACAGCAAAGACATGGAATCAACTTAGGTGCCCATCAATGGTGGACTGGATACAGAGAATGTGGTACATATACACCATGGACTACTGCACAGCCATAAAGAAAAATGAAATTATGTTCTTTGCAGCAACATGGATGCAGCTGGAGGCCGTTATCCTAAGCAAATTAATGCAGGAACAGAAAACCAAATGCCACATGTTCTCACTTATACGTGGGAGCAAAACATTAAGTACTTATGGACATAAAGATGGGAACAATAGAAACTGGGTACTCCTAGGGGAAGGAGGGAAGGAGGTGAGCAAGGGTTGAAAAACTAACTATTGGGTACTGTGCTCAGTATCTGGGTGACAGGATCATTCATAATCCAAACCTCACCATCATGCAATATACCCCGGCAACAGACCTGTGCGTGTACCCCTGAATCTAAAATAAAAGTTGGAAAAAATTAAATTAAATTACAGAGTTGTACACACAAAAAAAAATAAATAATAAAATATCTAGGTTCTGTGATACCACACTCTCCTCGTATATCTGTCTTCTGATACTCTTTAGTTTCCTTTACAAGTTCTGTTTTCTGCCAGGCCCTTAAAGATTGACATTCCTCTTGGTTCTGTTCTTAAGCCTATTCTCTCCATACACTCCCATACCCTCCCTCTGCTCTCTCAACCCCTCATGTAGCTGCAATGCTCACCTCTATGTGGGCTCTCAAGTTAGTACCTCCATACTAAATCTCCCTTTTGATCTTGAGAGCCACCACTCTCTCGTCTGAATGTCTGAAACAATTTCCTTGCTTCTGTCTTTTCTCCAAAACTTGACTCCATCATCTTGCACTGTAGCCAGAGTGATCATTTTAAAATGCAACTCTTGCCATGTTACTAGATCTTGTAATGACGTTCCGTTGTTCTCATGATAAATATAAACTTTTTGACAGATCTTAAGAATCCTTCATGGTCATGTCCCTATAAAGCCTTCCATCCTTACTTTTTCCTACTTCCCCTCTTCCATGCAATATGGTAGCTTAATTGCTTATACCAGTTCCTCCAGAAAAAAATGTCCTGAATGCACTCATTAATGTTGCATAATGTCTAAGTGTTGCTAAAAAGTAAAAGTATCTGGCTTCAAAAATAAAAATAAAAATTTTTAGAAAGCAAAAATATAGAGAACAAACATCAAGGCAAGGAGGTAGGGGTTGCCAGCACCCCTCTCACTCCCCATCCTGTACTCTTCTCTGATTTTTCTCCCAGCTTCTCCCTTGCTGATTCTCTAGTTCTATGATAGCACTATCTGAAGGTTCCAGAGGGCTTTTCACATGCTTGGGAATAGGTAAACAACCAAGGAAAAAGTATCTCTAATGCCTTCTAAAGCAAAATTCCGGACTAAGCTTGTGAAGCCAGAAGCATCTACCAGCCCACATCCTGTCCTGTGGGGAGACTGTCTGCCAGCTGGGTCACGGTCCCAGATGGTGACTTGTGAGAAGCGAGTTGATAGCAACCACAGCTTGGTCTCCACATCCTAAGGCACTACTTATTGGCCTGCCTTCTAAGAATGAAGAAACAGGCCCCAATAATGCAGAAGGCACAGTCGCTAAGGGAGGACTCCAAGTGCTTTACATGTATCATGGCATTTAATTCCAACAATGACTCTATGAGGTAGGAACTACTGTGGGTTCCGTTTTACAGAGGGGGAAACCAAGGCACAAAAAGATTATGTACTCTTCCCAAGATTACTGTGGAAACAAAGTGAGATTCTTAGTGCGTTACATTAATAAGATACAAAGAACCAAAGAGGGTTTTTTTTTTTTCATTTTAAACTGGTTTGCACAAAGCTATTAGCAGCAGATTAATAGCTTTATTAATAGTCCCTTTATTTATAGTAACCCTAATAGGTTAATATATTACCCTTCCCAAGGGACTCATTCATCCAATACATACTGATTGAAAATCTACTATTGCACCCTAGATAGGGATGCAGAGAGAAGGTTCTAGACTCTCCATGCCTCAGAAGGCCTCCCCCTCCTACCACGTGGCCCTGGACTAACGACACCACTTGGCTTTGTCTTTAAGCTAAGATATACCTTCCAGAGAGCACCTAGTGCAGTAGGAAGGGCCTGCCTTGATGGGGCCCTCTATTCTTTGCAGGACTGTGCTGCAGCTCTCTGCCTAGTCTTTTGTCTGCCTCTTGAGTCGATGATAAATTATCAGGCCCTTGTTCCACTCAACACCACCTTTGCTGTCTTTGCCTGCCCTGCATCAAGCCTTTTCTTCCCCACCTTCCCTTTCTTCTCTCATTCTAATTCCTGGACTCCACAGCCAAGTCCACAGTCTGTCACTTTGACAGGATCGTAAGTGGTCAAGTCCCAGGAAAGTCCCTGGATGGTCCTGCTTTCCTTTCCCTTTTCATGGGGCAATCCTTTTCTTTGACTTTTTAGGGGCATTTCAGGGGCATCCAGAAAGATCGAGTGATGTAGTGATGTACCGAGTGTAGCATGATGGTACATATAGGGAGATACTGGGATTCAGGCCAGCTCGTGCTTGTCAGCTTGGAAGGGGACTCCCCTTTGGCAGTTGGGGGCATTTTCTCCATTTGTGAACTGAGAAGGCTGGTCAAGATGTTCCCTGACCATTCTCACCATCAAGTTCAAATGATCTTCTTAGATGCTCAGACAGACCAAAGGGGAGTAGGGTGCTCTGGGCAAAACCAGAGTTTCTCACAAGAGGGTGAGCACCCCGCTCTATGGTACAATTCCAGGGGTGGAAAGACCTCCCACCTTTCACCCTGAAGCTCCTCCCTTCTCTGATACCAGAAACTGTCTCGTGATATCATTTTGGGAAATAAAATCAATTTTATTTTATCATTTTGGGAAATAAAATCAATTTATAATGCAATATCATTACAGAACCTTAGCTTTAAGGATCCTTAGCTCATGAGGACAATGCACCTTGAGTTTGCATAATAAAATGTTCACCGGCCGGGCGCGGTGGCTCACGCCTGTAATCCCAGCACTTTGGGAGGCCGAGGCGGGTGGATCATGAGGTCAGGAGATCGAGACCATCCTGGCTAACAAGGTGAAACCCCGTCTCTACTAAAAATACAAAAAATTAGCCGGGCGCGGTGGCGGGCGCCTGTAGTCCCAGCTACTGGGGAGGCTGAGGCAGGAGAATGGCGTGAACCCGGGAAGCGGAGCTTGCAGTGAGCCGAGATTGCGCCACTGCAGTCCGGCCTGGGCGACAGAGCGAGACTCCGTCTCAAAAAAAAAAAAAAAAAAAAAAAAAAAAAAAAAAAAAAAAAAAGTTCACCATGATGTGAAGCTGGCAATTGCCAGGGATCATAAATAAGATAGGACTTTTGGGAACATCAGGGAGAAAACTTTAGCTTAGAAACAGTGTTTGCCTTTTGCACTGCTATATGCCTGGTATATCCATGGCCCTTTTCTGTCTTAAGCCCATCCACTTTATTTGACAAACAAATGAAAAACAAGACTCAGCTTTGGATGAAGGAAGGTGGAGAGAAGTTCTGGGAAGGACCTTTTGCTTTCTGGCAGAGGGGGAACAGAACCTACCCATGAGGGCAGGGCTCTGATCTAAGCGCCCATGAGAAACTCATGAAAAGTAAAACCCACTTCCTGCCTGTTAGGGGTTTATGATAAAGTAACTGCATGCAAATAACAGAAAAGCAAGACTGACCATGCAATGCATTTCTAAAGCTATACGAAGGACATACATGGGAGAGGCAGAGTTTAATTTTGGTAACAATGAAGTAAGAGAAAGAATTGAAAATACTCCTGGAAAAGGTAGATTTTAAAGGGTGGATCAACAAGTGAAGATGGCATTCCTGGTGGAGAACCAGGCACAAATGCGGGCACAGAGGTGGGGAACTGCATGCCATCTTGTCTGGTCCAGCAGTTGAAATGTGTTGTCAGGCAAGGTGGGAAGTGGAGACTAGAGAATTAAATCAAGTCTTGATGGTGGAGAGCCTGGATTGTTGGGTCAAGGCTGTGGGATTTTATCCTGAAGACAACAATTGATGTGTTAGAGGGATGGGAGCATCGTGCTTAAGAGTGTGGTCTGTCTGGCACCATGCAGCTGCCCTTGCTTCCAACATAACATCATTTACTTAACGTCTCTGAGCTACAATCTCCTCATCTATAAAAGATAGATGATCATAGTCCTATTTTACAGACTCCTGGTGAAGATTCAATAAAGCAATGCATACAAATGCTTGCACAGGGCTGGCCACACATTAAGCATTTACTAAATGCTCATTTTTAACTTTAAAGGTTTTGACATGGGAAGTGATAAGATCAAGTCTTGTCTCAGGATGCCATTGAAAGTAATGGCAAAAACCACATGCCAAAAACCTGCATGCCAAAACAATTAGGTTGGTGCAAAGTAATTGAGGTTTTGCCATCGAAAGTAATGGAAAAAACTGCAATTACTTTTGCACCAACCTAATTGTTTTGGCATGCAGGAGAGGCTGATCTAGATTTTGGGGCCAGCCAAGGAGAAGCATGTGAAAAATCTGTAGCTGGGGTTGGGCCCAGGAGGGATACCACAGTGGAGAGTCCTGGGAAGAGGCAGCCAAGGAAAGAATAATTTGCTTTGCTTCTCTTAGAGGGAGCAGCTTCTCTTCTCGAGGGAGGGTAGAAAGAACCTCAGAGGGTCCAGAGTATCACTCAGGAGCTACTCAGCCACAGGGGCAAGGATAAAAGCAACAGCTTGGACAAAGTCCTGGAGGTAGGATGGGATGTGTGGAATAGCCACTGCAAGACAAATGCAATTGCTCAACACCAATGCAGTATCCTGGTACCAACACTAAAGGTGTCCAGAGGGTGAGACTGGCACCCTATGTACTGTACTTGTCTCATTTATACCAAAGCCTGCAATGTCCTCCTTGGCTCCTCTGTTTTTACAGATTCTACTTCTCCCTGCTTAAGTCACACGTCCTCCTTGGGACCTTTCCCAACAACTCTAGCCTATACTGAGCTCTCCCTTCTCTGAACTCCAGAAGTACTTGAGACAGACTCACTCTGTTCAGCAGCTAGTTGTTCTTTCAACTACAAAACAGGAGAAAAAGTACATAGAGGTTTCTCATGTACATTAAATGAAACAATCCTTGTAACGCACTCAGCATAGTACCTATTGCCTCATCAGTGCACAGTAAACATTAGCAATTCTTCTGCTGTTGCTCCTCCTCCTCCTGCTTCACACTGACATTATTATGATTGCCTAAACACATATGGTAGATGACATCTTTGGGAACAACACACTCCGGGAGACAGGGGTGCGTGGGCCATAGCTGTTATGCCCACTCTTTCTCTCCCACTCAGGAAAACATCCTAGAGAACGAAGTGAATGAATATGACATTATTATTGCGATAACCTTGAATCTACTCTAATTCATGTTTGTTTTTTAAATCATCTGTCAATAATATTGGTACTTTAGCTTCATGAGTCACAAATTACTTGTGGTACAACTCATAATATATTGTGACTCACCAATGTACCGTGGCCATGAAGGTAAGAACTTCTGCTTAAAGTATTAACCTATGTTAGTTCAGCCTTCCTGGCTAGACTGCACACTCAATGAGAACAGGGACCCTAGTCGGCCCTGCTTCCCACCATGGGTACACAGCAAGTGCTTGCCAGCTAAGCTCTTGATTGTCATGTGCTGATACACTGATACCTAACAGCACTTCTAGAAAGGTACTGGTTGCTTAAAACTGGCACTTTCATAGTTATGTCTAATTCTGCCCAATTCCTGTGAAAATCTCTGTGAAGGGAGAACATTTCATCAGGACTTTTCTGTACATTCATCAGAACTTTTTGGGGTGCAGGTGACAGAAACCTAATTCAAACTTCCCTCAGCAAAAAAGACATAAATTTTTTCATATAATTGAAAAGTCTAAAATTGTAGTTAAATCCAGGTGAGGCTGAATCCAGATGCTCAAATCATATCAGTGTAAATGTGTTTCTCTCAGTCCCTCAACTCTGCTTTTCCTCTGAACTGTATTTTCTAGCATGTTCTATGCTGCTTGTGGGAAAGATAAGACACCAACGGCTCCAGGCTCATTTCATCAGCTTGACAACAGCCAGCAAAACCCTGTCACTTTCCTAATCACTTCAGCAGAATCCCAGAGCTGACACTCATGGATACAGAATGGGTCACATGTCTATAACTAAAAACTTCCTGTGACTTAGTTTGACCAGGTATAAGTCACATGCTCGGCTTAGGGCTGGGGTAGAACACATACTATCTAAAACAACAGGTTTGGGAGTTCAGCAAGGATGACTTCCCAGAAGATAATCTTGATGCAGTTCCTAGAGGTAGAAAAAATGGATGCTGGGCAGACAAATATTTTCAACATTTGGTAAGCCTGGGTGAGGCGTAATGGTTATGTGTAGAAGCAAGAACAACCGTTTCCATGTCAACTGCTGTCCCCATGGTGAGAAAGACACTGACCCATTGCATCATCTGTGGACAGAGGGTGGCCTTTGCAGACAGCTCTGCGCCCTGACTTTGGTGCCAGCATTGCAGAGCTGCAGTTTCAAGGCTCTCGCAAGCAGAGACTGATCCCATCAGAATGAAGAGAAGTTAATGGCATCTGCTGAGCTTCATAGAGAAGGGCTTTGCATGTGGGTGAGCCCGGCTTACATAACCAAAATGGGGGGCATCTGGAAACAGCTGCTAGCCAGTTAGCAAGAAGGTGAACACACATTGTTCTGGTGTGATTAGTCTGTCTCAGGAATTGCCTTTTCATGGGGCCCTAAAGAAGACAGTAACTGCTTACCCCATCCCACCTCCATGCTTGGCTTTCTCTTTTTCATTGCTTTCCATTCTCTGTAAACAAGAGTTGACCCTGGCCAAGATTACCACTGTCTATAACTATGGAGAAATGTGCAAGGTGAAGTTTTTCTTGGCCAGTTTGCTCTTTAAGAGAAAAAATTACAATGACTGAAAGACAAGTCTTACTATGTAGACACCTTTTGTCTACATAGACACGAAAGGTGTCTGCACAGAAGACTTATGGGTTTTTCTGCTAGAGAACTGGACTGAGTGGTCCTAATGGACATTGCTGATATTTTACAATAATCCATTAATAGTGATTGGTGGGCAGAACAAGAACGACTAAATTTTAGGATAACAAAGCAAGAAATGACCCTAGTAATCATTCTGACTCTGTAAGATTTATGAGTTCATCAACTGACTCTGTCTTGTTCACTGCTATATTCCCAGTGCGCAGCACTCTGGCACTCTGGCACCCCATCTAGCACTCTGGGAATTCCACCATACCTCTTTACTGTGTTCACAGCAGACATCACTAATCAATCACCATGCTTTTTCCCACTGATGAAGGATATGTCCTCAGAGTCATTTCTCAACATGGAATTCCAAGAATCTAATTCCAGTCAATCAATAGTGACACATAAACCAAAACTGATTTTTCATTCCTGACTAATGGCCTCTCAAAAGTTTGTAGGGTCTTAAGGACAGATGACTTTTTTTTCAACCATGTAGCTTCCATTTGGGAGAAACCAGAAACATAAGCAGTTTTGTTGGTCATATTGAATGGTGGCTTCTTCAGGCTTTAAAGTTGGTACAGAACGATTTCATTTTATACCTGTAGCATCACTTCTCAGAAGAAATTCAAAAATCAGATGTTGTATGGCATAGATTAATTTGTAGATGCTGTATATGCTTTCCCATGAATATTAACTCTTTAGTAAACTGTAGGATAATAATTAGCATGTAGAAACCAGTCTATTTCAGAGAAGGTTAGAGATTTAGATGCTAAAGAACATCCCCAGGAGTTCTTTTCCCTCCTTTGGTACTGGCCATTTAGCATTTCAAGTGATGGAGAAAGGCACTCAGAAAGAAGTGCTCACTCAGGCAGCACACTCCCTTCCTTTGAGATTTTAGCCTAAGTGGCATTAGGAAGTAGTCAACATGGACAATGTGGGCTCCTGCAAATAACTCTACAAGTTAAATTGACTTTGCATGTAACAGAAACATGCACCTGGAAGACATTTATTCAAATAACTCATTGTGCAAGGTGGTGGATGCAGCCAGAAAGATCTTTAGCAGGCTTGTCAAATTACTGTAGTAACAGGAGTAAGAAAGGGGCTGGATAACTTAGATAATTGAAGCTGCCAGATGATCAAAAACTCGTTTGTTGAATTGGACTAATAGGCTCCCGATCAGCATCAGTCCTAGTGAACAAGGACTACAACTACATATACTAGCAATAAGGTAGTGCTTCTAATATCTGACCATTAAATTCAAGAGAAGAGAAAGGAAAGAGCCATTTCAAGGCAGGTTGACTTAAAGGCTGTTATGCAAATTCCACAGACATATAAATAAATCATACTAATCCAGAGGCTCTCTAAGCATCATTGGGCTTTAAGGGACAATCAGCCATTCCCTGCTAGGAAGAGGCAAAAACACCTAATATCAGTCTTTGTTCTTGGGTATTATTAGAAAGATCTGGTGATTGAGCATCAGTCAGCAGCAGAGCTCAGTAGCAAGTTTCTGACTTGAATCAGCAGTTGGGCTTTGCACATTTCTAACCATCAGACAGAACTCACCTTTACATCTGTATTAGCAACTGATGCAATTGTGTTTATGCTAGAAAGGAGCAATTTAGGAGATAGATTTCAAGACTTTGAGAGAAAATTAGCGTCTGAACTCAGCCTCTTTAGAATGAGTGGTCCTACCCAGCTTATGAGGAATGGATGTGGGTGGGTTAATCATGAAAGAGTGGTTAACAGCTTGGTTTTGGTGTCAGATGAGAGCATATTCCAGTTCTCCTATTTAATAGCTGTCTGGCATTGAATATATTATTTAAGTTGATTGATTTTTAGCCTTTTCTCTTTAAAATAAGGAGGACAGTATCATCTATTGGTTCTTTATTAAAATGGAAATGATAGTACCATTCTTATAAAGATTAAATATATAAAAAGGCATTTAAGGTGCTTAGTTATATGGAACATCTACCAAGTTATACCATGTTCTGGTACATAAAACAAGTCTTAATACATTTAAAAGGATACCAATGATACAATATGTTTTCTGACCAAAACAGAATTAAATTAGAGATCAATAACACAAAGATATCTATAAAATCCCCCGAATATTTGAAAATTATATAAAACACTGCTTAATAATCCTTGGATTAAAGAGGACATCAGAAGGAAATTAAGAAAGTATTTTGAACTGAATATAAATAAAAATAAGGCATGAATTTATGAGATGCTGCTAAAGCAGTATTTAGGAGAAAATTTATAGCACTAAGTGCCTATACTAGAAAATAAAAACCACAGTGAGATACCATCTCACACCAGTCAGAATGACTATTACTAAAAAGTCAAAAAATAACAGAAGCTGGTGAGGTTGTGAAGACAAAGAAACACCTATACACTTTTGGTGGGAGTGTAGATTAGTTCAACCATTGTGGAAAGCTGTATGACAGTTCCTCAAAGAGCTAAAAACAGAACTACCATTCTACCCAGCAATCCCATTACTGGCTATATACCCAGAGGAATACAAATCATTCTACCATAAAGACACATGAATGTGTATGTTCATTGCAGCACTATTCACGATAGCAAAGACATGAAATCAACCTAAATGTCCATCAGTGGTAGACTGGATACAGAAAATGTAATACATATACAGCATGGAATACTATGAAGCCATAAAAAAGAATGAGATCATGTCTTTTGTAGGAACATGGATGGAGCTAAAGGCTATTATCCTCAGCAAACTAACACAGGAAAGGAACAGAAAACCAAATACTGCCAGGTGGGAGCTAAATGATGAGAACTTATGAACACAAAGAAAGAAATAATAGACACTGGGGTCTACTTGAGGGTGGAGGGTGGGAGGAGGTAGAGGAACAGAAAATATAACTATTGGGTACTGAGCTTAATTCCTGGGTGATGAAATGATCTGTACAACAAACCTCCATGACGTGAGTTTACCTATGTAACGAACTTTCACATGTGCCCCCGAACCTAAAACAAAAGTTAAAAAAAAAAGAAAATAAGAAAGTTCTCAGATCAATGACCTGAGATTCCACCTGCAAAAAAAAAAAAATAGTATGTTAAAGCCAAAGAAGCAGAGAAAAGGAAATAATAAAAATCAGGGAACATGTCAATGAAATAGAAAAACAATACAGGAAAATCATTGAAATAAAAAACTAGTTCTTTGAGATCAATAAAATTGATAAACCACTAACTAAACTGAGTAGGAAAAAGAAGAGAAGACATTAATTATGAAAGATCAGAAATGAGAAAAGTAGCAGAATTACAGATTCTACAGATATTAAAAGAATAATAAGAGAATATTTTGAACAACACTATGCCTATAAAATAAATGATATATGCTTATAAATTTGACAAAAAATGAAATGGACAAATTTATTGAAAGATACAATCTATCAAAGATCTCTCAATGATAAATAGCCTGAATTTGTAGTTAAACTTCTCACAAAAATGCACAAAACAAACAAACAAAAACCCCACCAAATTCCAGGTACAGAAAACTTCCTTGGAATCCTATCAAAAATATAATAAATAATATGCAAACTCTTCCAGGAAGTTGAACATAAAAGAATACTTACCAACTTATTCTATGAGCCCACCATTAAAAATGATATTACAAGATAAGAAAATTATAGGCCAATATTCTTGAAAATCATAGAGCAAAAAATCTTAAGTAAAACAGTAAATCAAATTTCAATGAATATAAAAAGGATAATATATTATTGATACAGCTCTGATGAGTGGAGAACACCAGGTTCTTTTTCTCTAGTGGAATTAGAAAAAAAAGACACAGACACATGTTGAGTAGTTTTAAGGAGCAAGGAGTTTAATAGGCAAGAAAGAAGGTGGAAGAAAGAAAGAAGCTCCCCTGTACAGAGAGAGAGGGAGAGGGGCGCCAAAGCTGAGAAATGGAACCCCACTTTCAGGTAGTATCAGCCAGCTATATTCGATGGCTGGAGGAGGCAGTGTTTGATTTGCATAGGGCTCAGGGGATTGGTTAGACCAGGCATGTCATTCATGTAGCCCGCAAAAAAACTGGCCCTCCCACCCTAGTCTTTTAATATGCAAATACAGGGCGCCATGATGTTCCACACATATGGGGATATGTGGGGGCGGCCATGCTGCTAGGCACATATGGGGGCAAGTGCAAGAAGACAAAGGTGGGAATAGCCATGTTGGGTGGACCCAGTTTCTAAAGGTTGGCATTTGCATATCAAAGGTTTCCTGCCTGGGTCTAAGAGCCAGGGCTTTCATGCTAGACAAGAGCTGTGAAAAATCTTCCAAGGACCCCCTTTTTCCTCTCTAGCTGCCTAAAATAATTTCTTAATAATTCCTACCTCATTATGACCAAGTAAATTGAATTATTCTGGAGCTTATCCAAGATATGCAAAATTGGTTTAACATTTGAAAAATCAATCAATGTAATTCACCATATTAACAGACGAAAAAAGAAACACACACACACACACACACACACACACACACACACATACACCCACAAAACCACCAAAAATGCAGAAAAACACGTAACAAAATATAATGTATATTTATGAAAGAAAAAAAATTCTTAGCAAACTAAGAATAAAGGAAAATTCCTCAACTCAATAAAAGGCCCATAAAACACCTATTTTGTATAATAGGTGTTTCACAATAATAAAATTAAGTGAAAGATTGAAAGCTTTCCCCCTATAATCAGAAACAAGAAAAAGATGTCCATTCTTTTCTTTTTTTTTTTTTTTGAGATGGAGTCTTGCTCTGTCGCCCAGGCTGCACTGCAGTGGTACTATCTCAGCTCACTGCAAGCTCCATCTCCTGGGTTCATGCCATTCTCCTGCCTCAGCCTCCCCAGTAGCTGGGACTGCAGGTGCCCACCACCACACCCGGCTAATTTTTTTGTATTTTCAGCAGAGACGGGGTTTCACTGTGTTAGCCAGGATGGTCTCGATCTCCTGACCTCGTGATCCGCCCGCCTCAGCCTCTCAAAGTGCTGGGATTACAGGTGTGAGCCACCGCGCCTGGCCAAGATGTCCATTCTTACTACTTCTATTCAACATTGTACTGATGTTTTAGCTAATAAAATAAGACAAGAAGAAGAAATAAACAATAGATAGAATAGAAAGGAAAAAGAAAGCCGTCTTTACTCTCAGATGATATAATCATCTACATAGAAAATCCTATAAACCTACCAAAAAGTCACTAGAAGTTGTAAATACGAGCATGGTTTCAGGATAGAAAATCAATATAAAAGATTACATTTATATATCATGGCAGTAAACTAAAATTAAGAAACTATGTCACCTATAGTAGAATCAAAAATATGAAATAGGAAATATTTTTGACAAAATATGTGTAAGATGTACACTGAAAACTACAAAACACTGTTAAAAGAAATTAAAGAGCTATAAATGGAAATATATACAATGTTCATGGATCAATGAAGATGATGCAATATTAAGATGTCAGTTCCCCCCCAAATTAATCAATAGTTTTAGTGTAATCCCAATAAAAATCCTTGCAGAGTTTACTGTACAAATTTACAAGCTAATTATAAAATTTATATAAAAATGCGAAAGACCTAGGATAGCCAAAATAACTGTAAAAAGAACAAAGTTGGAAGGTTAACACTATCTGATTTGAACACTTATAAAGATACAGTAATCAAGTCAATGTGATGTTAGTGTCAAGACAGGTAAATGAAACAGAAAAGAGTCCAGAAATAGACTTAACAGATATATGGGCAACTGATTTTTGGTAAAGGTGCAAAGGCAATTCGGTGAAGAAAGGATAGTCTTTTTAACAAATTGTGGTGGAACAGTTGAGTATCTGTATGGAAGAAACAAAGACAGAACTGCATCCATCTCTTGAACCATATACAAAAGTTCACTCAAAATGAGTCATAGTCCTAAATGAAAAACCTAAAACTGTAAAACTCCTAGAGGAAAACATAGGAGGAAATTTTTATGACCCTAGATTAAGCAAAGAATTTTTTAGATGCAACACCAGAAGCACAATTCATGAAAGAAAAAATTGATTAATTGTATTACATTGAAATTAAAGACTTTTGCTCTTTGAATTACATGGTTAAGCAAATGAAAAAACAAGCCACAGAATGAGAGAAAATATTTGTAAATCACATATCTGACAAAGAATTGTATTCAGAATATATACAGAACTCTCAAACCCAGTAATAAAAAAACAAACAACTCAAAAAAATAAAGAAATCTTTTACATTTATAAAAAATATGTAAAAGGTTTACCAAAAAAGATACATGGATGACAAATAAGCACATTACAAAAAGGTTCAACATCATTATTAAGTAAATGCAAATAAGACAATGAGATACCACTCTACCCCTGTTAGAATGACTACAATTAAAAAGACTGATCACAGTAAGTATTGCCAAAGACAGAAAGCAACTGAAGTTCTCATACACTGCTGGTCAAATGGTCCAAGTACATTGGAAAACCTGTTCGGCACTTTCTTAAATAGTTAAACATATGCCTACCCCATGTCCCAGCCATTGTACCCCTAGGTATTTACACAAGAGATATGAAAGCATAGGTCCATACAAATACTTGTGCATGGGCCAGGTGTGGTGGCTCACACCTGTAACCCTAGCACTATGGAAGGCCGGGGTGAGTGGATCACCTGAGATCAGAAGTTTGAGACCAGCCTGGCCAACATGACAAAACCCCATCTCTACTAAAAAAAAAAACAAACAAAAATTAGCTGGGCATGGTGGCGCATGCCTGTAGTCCTAGCTACTTGGGAGGCTGAGGCAGGAGAATTGCGTGAACCAAGGAAGTGGAGGTTGCAGTGAGCCAAGATCGTGCTACTGCACTCTAGCCTGGGCAACAGAGTGAGACTCCATCTCAGACAACAACAACAAAAACAAACAAACAACAACAACAAAAAAAACACTAAAACCTTGTGTATGAATGTGTATAGCAGATTTATTTGTAATAGCCCAAACCTGGAAGCAACTCAAATTTTCATCATCTGGTGAAAAAAATAAACAAAATTGTGTTTTACATTGAAATGCTACTCAACAAAAAAGCAATGAACTACTGATACACACAGCAACATGGATGAATCTCAAAGTCATTACACTGAAAAAAAAAAGACAAAAATTCAGACTTATTGTATGACTTCATTCATCTGAAATTCTACAAAAAGGAAACTAATGTCTACTGATAGCAAATCAGTGGTTATCTGGGAATAGGAGAAGATGGGATGGAGTGGACAGAGGGATTATAAAGGACAAGCAGACTTTGGTGAGGATGGATATGTTCATAATGATGCTTTTCATAATAGTTGCATAGATGTACACATAAGTCAAAGCTTATAAAATTGTATACTTTGAACATGTAGTTTGTTACATGTCAACCATATCTCAATAATGCTGTTTTGATTTTTTTAAACATGTTCAGCATATGGCAGTTGCTTTCTTTTGCTTCCAGTTGTTCTCTGACTGGCTTTGTTTTGTATCTTTCCTGATGAATCTCCAAAGCATGGATAGCTTTGACTTCACGGCCCAAATGGATTTCATGTCTCTGGTGAAACTCTGACCCACTAATAGTGGCTGCCTATACCACTGCATTGAGCAATGTAGACAGAATAACGGCCCCCAAAGATGTCCATATCCTAACCCCTGGATGGCAAAAGGGATTCTACAGATGTGATTAAAGTTAGGGATCTGGAAATGGGTAGGCAATCCTGGATTATTCAGTGGCCCAATCTAATCACAGTAGTCCTTAAAAACAAAGAAAACTTTCTGGCTGTGGTCAGAGAGAGACAGCAGTGTGAGAAGGGTGTGGCAAGCTGTTGCTGGCTCTGAGACATAGGGGACTATGTGCAGGGACCAAACAGAGGCCTCTGGAAGCAAAAAAAAAAAAAAAAAAAAAAAAAAAAAAAAAAGGCAAGGAAAATAGATTCTTTTTCAAAGTTTTAGAAAGAAAGGCAACCCTGCTTGATTTTAGCCCAGTGAAACCTGTATTGGACTTCAGACCTATAAATCTATAGGATAATAAAGCTGTGTTCTTATAATCCACCAAGTTTGTGGTAATTTGTTATAGTAGCAACAGAAAATTAATCCAAGTAGCAAAGAATATCGTCATTGGTTAATGATGTCTACCTGGAATACCACAGGGGAAAGAGGCATGTGTGCTGCTTTTCTGCCATCTTGGTTCTCTGCTGAAGGTATACTGGCAGTGGCAGCTAGGAAGGCACCTTCATTTATGGTGTCTACTGTGTGCCAACCTCTACATGAGGTTCTTTGAATATGTTCCTTCAGTCATCTTCACACCAGTCCTTTCATGAAGTAAATATGACTTCCTCCTTTGAGAGATGGGGATCAGAGAATTGAGACCTTATCTAAGTTCTTAATTTCAAATGCTGTTTTTTATTCCTCCTTGCTTGCAAACAAAGCGGGAAATCCCAATAAAACATAGGTGAACAAGGTTTCAAGTGTTGATGGAAAACAAGAACAAACACAGATGAAGAGCCTTTGTCTTGGAACAATACTTGTGGCCCTGGGAGTGGTGCACCTAGCGTTATTATCTCAGCTGGAGATCCTAGAAGTGTCTTGGGAGTGGGGAAGGAACAATACATATCTAATATTTGCTAATTATCATGAATCTGCTTGTTTACACTTAAAATTCAGCACAGAGGAATACCACTTATTTTCTCTCTCAGCACGATATGTGTGACGCATCCAGCCAGCTGCCGCATTGGGCTCCTGGCCCCTCTGGGAGTGGGGACTTGTTTATGCCCCTGCTGAAGAGGCTTCACTGCCTGCATCCTTCCTGCCTGCTCTCTGTCTTCCAAGGATGCTCCAGGCAGCCATGCTGCGGACAGCACTACTGAAGTCTCTTTCTTGGAGTGAAATTGCAACAACATGTGTTGGGGCAAGTGAGGGAGCAAGGCCCCAGATAACCTTCAAAACAGAGCTGTGGAACCAGGCCAGGCCACTGTCATTTGCCATTGCACCATTTTTCTTTCAAAAAATTGTTAGTAGTTGGGGAAGCACAGGGAAAGGTTGAGGGCCTGGGTTCGGCCCTGAATAATTCCATGACTTAGTCTTTCTGAGCCTTAAATTTTTTCACTTATAATGTGAGAGTTATAACAGCGCCTTACATGGATACAACAGTGGCTACCATTTACTAAGCATATACTATGTGTCAGGCACTGAGCTAAAAAGTTCACATGCAAATCTCACCCCAATAGTCTTATGAAAGACAGACCATTGCCCCTAGAGATGAGAATACAGAGGCTCAAAGAGAATTAGTTACTTGCCCAAATTCACACAGTAGTAAAGGAAACTAAGCAAGACACCTGACTCTAGACTCAGAGAACTTTACTGCCATGGTAAAGGACTTAGCATAGCACCTTGCATATAGTACATGTTCAGTAGATTTTAGCTAGAGTTACATGGGCTTTAGTGTTAGTATTCAGTGTTAGTTGGGATCTGAGGTCCCCTTAACCTTCACTCCTTTTATTATTTGCTTACAGTAAAATAAAACACAGATATAGAAAACCTTACAAAACTGCTGTCTGGCTCAATGAGTTGTTATATGACACACACCATTTTAGCCACCACCAGGTCAAGAAATAGAACTTTCCAAGCTATCCGAAAGCCCACCATGGGCCCCATCAAATCACAGCCATCAATCAAAAGTAACCACAGTCTTGACTTTTGTGGGAATAACTTTGTTGGACTTCCCTTTCATTTCATCACCCAGTGTGTGTCCCTAGACACTATAGTTTATTCTTTGGTATATGTCTTGTATGTCTCTTAATTTACAGGCATCCATCCCCACCTCAACCCCTCCCCCAGTTCTTTCTTTCTTTTCCCTTTCTTTCTTTCTCTTCTCTTTCTCTCTTTCTCTCTCTCCCCTCCCTCCCTCCCTCCCTTCCTTTCTTGAGACACAATCTCACTCTGTCGCCCAGGCCGGAGTGCAGTGGTATGATCTCAGCTCACTGCAACCTCCGCCTCCCTGGTTCAAGCAATTCTTGTGCGTCAGCCACCCAAGTAGCTGGGATTACAGATGTGCCCCACCACGCCAAGCTAATTTTTGTATTTTTAGTAGAGACGGGTTTCACCATGTTGGCCAGGCTGGTCTCAAATGCCTGACCTCAAGTGATCCACCTGCCTCGGCCTCCCAATCTGCTGGTATTACAGGCATGAGCCACCCCACCCAGCCAGTTCTTTCCTTTTCTTACAATTTACCTGGCTTGCTTTCTAGGATTTTCTCACTCTTCCTCCCCACCCATCTCCTTGTAACTGGACTTCTTTTTCTTCATCTCTGTTGTCTGTATCCTGCTCAGTTTTTATTCTACTCCCAGCAGTTTTTCCCTTTGTGAGCCCATGTCCTAGAAGGGAGACCAAGGTGTCAGTTTAGGGAGTTCATAGGGGCTAAATTGCTCCAGATCCTCCACCTTTTTCTCAGATCCCTTATGCTCCCCAGCTGATGGCTCAGGCAAAATGCCTCCTAGTTTTAGCTGCCACTCTCAAATTGCTTCATGTGTTCTGCAGTAAGTTACTGCTCCTGTTTTGAGTTTCTCCTGTTCTCGGGTCTATCAGATACTACATTGCTTCCCTTCCCTCTGCATGCCCAGACACCAACACTGTGTGAGTCTTGGGGAAGTTGCTGCTTTATCCCCACAGCCTGTATTTGGGATTCATGGAAATACCTTGCCATTAATTTTTTTATTTTGTTATGTATTTTATTTGTTTTTATGTGGATATCAGGTAAACTGAAAAAGGGTACTACCAACGCTCTTATCTACCAAAGTCTCCTAGAACCCTTGATTCTTCTTTGATCACAGGATCCTGTTCAGATCTTGCTTCTCCTTGTGTGCATGCAAGACCACCAAAGTTACCCTACAAGGACTTGCTTCATGATCCACTGAACTCTGCTTTCTATCACTGATGATGGAAACATTGTGTTCTAGCGAGACAGGTTCATATTCCTTCACAACAGATTTTCAACTCAATTTAGCCATGAAAGAAGCTGCCAGGCAGAGAAGAGATCAAAGATCTTGTAGTAGGAGGCAGCTGGACTGGAAATTTAAGATCCCTTCCATCTCTAGTATCTTGGAGTCTCTGACAGTTCAGGAAGGACCCACCAAACATCCCCAGCTTCCTCTAATTAATCTTATCCTGAGAAAATAGTAAAAGTCTCTGGGGATTAGACCTCTAAGCCTTTGAATATGAGATTTCCAAAGGTCACCAGAACAAGACTGGAATCCTCTTCTCCCATTTTCATCATCATAGGTATGTAAGTGGTTTTATAAAAGAAGTTCCCATTTTTACTTAACTGAATTAGACACTATCCAAAGAAGTAAGCATTGTTCCTGCTTTTTATGAACTCATGGTCTGACTCAACAGTATAAATTGCCAGTTTTTATATTTGTTTTACTCATACTTTTAAGGAACCATGAAATAATATTTGGCACAAGAAGGAAAATTCTTATATGATCATAAGCATTAATGGCTTGTCAATGAGTTTTCCCATTTATAAAAAAATAAAACTTAAATACAACAAGGAGTTTTAGGATTTTGCTGAACACCTCTCACCAGTTATCTTTTGGAAAAATATTCAAGACTTTTTAGAACTCTGATGTTGGAGGAGGAAGAAAGGAGAAGATGTTAGCTTCTCTCTCTCTCGGCCCCTCCCTTTCCATCCTTTTCCAGGAGAAAAGAATAATCTGATGGATCTCATCTGAGGATGCTAATTAGGTCCCTATAATGTGTCCAAGAGTCACTGTGTATGTCATGTTTTGTTCTGGTGATAAAAGACATGTATTAGAGACCTAGAATATTCTTTTAGACTGCTTCCTGTTTTGTTCTATCAATAGTTTTTCAACCACATCCTGAGGACCCAAAAGATCTAAAGGACATCTGAGGGATCCTTAAAAATATTCTTCAAATTTCATGTTTAAATACATATAAACCACTTTAAAATCTGCAATAAACAAACATACCTTCAAATGTGCCACATATCAATTTTTAATGCTTTGAGTCTAACATATATATTAATGTATCTCACACTTTTGTGTCAAAGTATATATAAATCTTGAAATAAGTCTTCTGCTATCTTTTTATTAAAGAATTTCCTGACATTACAAGATGAACTGCTTTTAAAACCATATTATTATTACAACTAATCTGTTTGAGCCAGATTTTCTTAATATTGGATATATTAGATATGTTTTGGTTGCACAAGATAGAAATCCAAATCAAACTGGCCTAAAAGACAAAAGGGATATTACTGGTTTGTGTAACAGAAACGTCTAGGGGTAGCACTGGATTAAGTTCCAGCTAGATCCAGACACTTCAGTGGTGTCCTGTGCAGTCCTGAGCCCCTGCTCATCTGGGTAGTGCTTTCCCCTTGGTTGGCTTCTTCCTTTACGTAGTGCTGAGGTGTGGTTGCCCCCAGCAACCCCAGGCTGATGCTCTTCCAGCTTCGAGGCAGCAGGAAGAGCCTCTGTTTCCTGGTGCTCCTGAATCCCGCCTCCCAGACCTACCTCTCTAGCTGGGAGTGGGACCACCTACTCCAGAACGACATGACCAGAATTGGGGGTGGGGAGAGGTATGGAAAGTAGACAATAGAGACTAGGTCCACAACAGCAGTCCACTCTAGTGGGCAGGCTAAACAAATTACAGGAGCACACTGGACCCCAAGACTGCACTGTCCCCATTTGATATCTGTCTTTGATTTCAAACACCTGAGTTCCCCAGAATGGCCTCATTGTTCTTATATATTGATTGCATAATAGGTAAATATTATGCATTTGAATCTAAAAATAAAGTTAGGATATAAAATAGCTTTTTATCCATTTAAATACTTGGAGGTTCTACATAAGATCTGTCAAAAAAAAAAAGGGTGGGTTTGGTACCTTAAAAAAGTTGAAACTTATTACTGTACATGCATTTACTTCCAAGGTAAGTTCAGTCAATACAAAGGCTTCTTGGCCACACGAGCTCATGGTGATACCTGTCTCTTTTGTGTGTGTTTTACTCATTTGGATCTTGGTCTAAGAGGCTGTGAGGCAAAGCGGAAGCTTGTCATCAGAAGTTCAAGTCCAGGCTTTACTCGTTACTGTCCTTGTGACTTTCCTTATCTGCAAAATGGGAACAGTGACGGGAATCATAGAGGATAATTAAGCCAGAAGGTTTTGAGGGAAAGTTCTTTAAAATCAGTAAATGCTATGTGATTACAAAGTATTATCTTTCATCTTATGTTAATTATATATGTATGTTTGTTCAATGTGTTTATATAAAATTTAATTATCTATATATTTATCTAGTTCCCTTGAAGTAGATTAATTGCATTAATGACCTCATTTATTTATCCCTACCTTCATCCATATCCTTTGACATGCAGGTATATATTCCCTTCATACTGATTCTGCATTTAACCACATGACTTGCTTAGGCCAATAGTATGTTAAGTTAATGTGACACAAAGGCATGAAAAGCACTTGTACAATTGGGCTTGCTTACTCTTACTCCTGTACCTTTACCATGAGAACAGGCCTAGGCCAATCTGCTAGAGGATGAAACACATAGAACAAAAGCCATGTTGACCAGGCAGTCACGCCCATTGAGGTCATCCTAGACCAACGAATAGTCAGTCAACTCCCAGACATATGAGCCTAAACCAGAAGAACTGCCCAGCTGAGCCCAGCCTAAACTTCCAACTTGCAGATTTGTAAGCTAAATAAATACTCACCATTTTAATCCTCTAAGTTTTCGGGTTTTTTTTGCATCTTGTTGTGGTAATCAATAACTATTTCACTCCCTGATAAGGAGACCAAGAATTTTGTGTTACATCTTATCCATCACTGTGTCTTACAAACAGAAGTTAATAAATATTTGCTAATGGAAATATGTTAAGGACTCTCAGCTTTCATAAGGTGTCAAACTCTGAAGCTCTCCAATTTCTCCAACCCTCTAAAGTGATATGAGAGAAGTGGAATTCCAATATTATTTAAAGTTTTCTAACATTCAGATACTCTCTGAGGTAGTTTTTCTGCAGTACTTCATTTAATCTCCACAGTACCTTTGAGAGGCAGGTATGAATTTTCCCATTTTAAAGATGAAGAAACTGAGGATAAGAGAAGTGAAGTAAGTTACCTAAGGTCACACAACAAGAGTGGTAGAGCTGGATTCTCCCTGTAGGTGAGCCTGCTTCTCAGGCCAGTGCAATCTCTGCTACATTTGAATGCCTTACACCCCTTGCTCTAAGGGTTAGAACCACCTCATTTGGCCTTTCTCTAAATACCATCTTTTTCTCCAGTGGTGTCATATTTGTTTATCTTGGATCCTAGACCTTTATTAGATTTTATTTTCTCTCATCATACTGGAAGATAATCTATTTATTGATTAGCATACTTGTTTGATACTTTAAAAATTACAAATTGTTGATTTCCTTGTATTTGTTTCTAAGAAACTTTATTCATTGTAAATAAATGAGGGAAGAAGTTGCTTTCCAAAGATCTCGAGAATCTAGCATTTTCTTAGCCCAAATTTGGCCCTTACTCTGGGTTTCTGGCCCCAATATTTGAGTTGTTCTCCTCTCCACACCCAACAGAAGTTATTTTTAAGTTGCATTTTATCCAAAGAGCATTTTTCAAAGAATGCCTTGGAAGGTCCTGGAGTTTCTCTTCAGCTCAAGAACTGTCCCTTGGCCCCACCCCGTCAGTCTAGGGAGTTTATTTTGGTCTATGCAAGAGTCGCATGTTTTCTTTTGATGAAGTCATCTGGGTATTTTGCTTCCATGCCCTTGGTCCTATTTCCTTAAGAAAGGCTGGTCTCTCTGTGATCTGCCAGGGACAGAGAGGTGGGCCCTCTTTTCTGTCAGTTAAGAAGCAGAATCACCACGAAGACCCTGCCTCTCCAACCCCAACCACACCCATGGCTTCCCCTGGGTACCCCCCAATCCAAATCCTTCTCTTTCTTCTGAGCCCAGCCCATCCCCCTCTCTGCCACAGTGAGCTCCCTGACTCATGAATTTGTAACAATATCCCTCTTTTCTGAATGATTAGAAAACCTAAAACACTTGATTGTCTATTTATTTAGCACATACAGACGGTCCCCAGTGAATGATGATTCAACTTACAATTTTTCGACTTTACGATGGTGTAAAAGCACTACACATGCAGTACAAACCGTACTTTGAATTTTGAATTTTGATCTTTTCCCAGGCTAGCAATATGCAGGATGATACTCTCTCATGATGCTGGGCATCAGTGAGCCATAGCTCCCAGTCAGATGTACCATTAGAAGGGTAAACAACTGATAAGCTTCAGTGTGCTATATCCGATAAATTACCTAAGATAGTCAACACTTTATTATGAAATATGAAATAGGCTTTGTGTTAGATGATATTGCCCAATTCTAGGCTCATGTAAGTGTTCTGTGTATGTTTAAGGTTGTCAAGGCTAAGCTGTGATATTCATTGGATAGGTTAGGTATATTAAACATATTTTTTTAAAAAAAATTTATTTCGATAAGTTTTGGGGGAACAGGTGGCTTTTGGTTACAAGAGTAAGTTCTTCAGTGGTGACTTGTAGGATTTTGGTGCACCTATCACCCGAGCAGTATACACTGAACCCAATTTGTAGTCTTTTATCCCTCACCCCCCCACACACTTTCCCCTGAGTCCCCAAAGTTCGTTGTATCATTCTTATGCCTTTGCATCCTCATAACTTAGCTCCCATTTATGAATGACAACATGTGAGGTTTGGTTTTTCATTCTTGAGTTACTTTACTTAGAATAATAGTCTCCAATTCCATTTAGGTTGCTGTGAATGCCATTAATTCGTTCCTTTTTATGGCTGAGTAGTATTCCATCATATATATATAGCACAGTTTCTTTATCCACTCGTTGATTGATGGGCATTAGGGCTGGTTCCATATTTTTGCAATTGTGAATTGTGCTAGTATAAATATGCATGTGCACGTATCTTTTTTGTATAGTGACTTCTTTTCCTCTGGGTAGATACCCAGTAGTGGGATTGCTGGATCAAATGGTAGTTCTACTTTTAGTTATTTAAGGAATCTCCACACTGTTTTCCATAACGGTTGTACTAGTTTACATTCCCACCAACAGTGTAGAAGTGTTCTCTTTAAATGTATTTTTGACTAACACTATTTTCAACTGACAATGGGTTTATCAGGCCGTAACACCACTGTAAGTCGAGGAGCATCTGTACTTACTGGGTGTATACATGTGCCAGGCTATACCCTCATAGAGCTTACAGTCTACCATAGATGAAAAACCACAAATAAATATGATACATTCAGGTGGTGACAGTAATTATTTTAAACACAGGATAATGGAATGTAATAAACAGGAGGATGAGGAGGGTTACTTCAGATAGGGTGATCAGGGAAAAGAACTCTGGAAAAGTGACATGTGCATTGAAAGGACTCCACCTTTCCTCTGAGGGAAGAGTGGCCCAGGTGAAGTATATGATAAGTGCAAAGGCCGTGGGGCAGAAACTAGCCTGATGTGAGCAGAAAGAAGGCCTGTGTGGCTAGAGCAGAGAGGTAAGGGGACACTGGTGCTAGATAGGGTTGAAGGGGAAGGGTGGGCCTATCAAGTACACCAGAGGAATTAGTTTGGATTTTGCACTAAATTCAATGGAAGTATTGGAGGGTTTTAGGCATAGGAGGGATATCTAATTAATATTTATTAAAAATCTCTTTGACTGCTGTGTGGAGACTAGAATAACTAGAGGGATGCAGGAGGGTGATGGCTATTCTAGTAGAAATAATAGAGATTTGTACAAAGATAGAAGAAAGATTGTCATGATTTTTTTTACCAGCCTTTCCCTACATGTAATAATCTCCTTTCTATGTATATTAAGTTCATTTACTTTTAAACTTGGACTGTGTCTTGTATTTTGTTCTATTACTTACAAACCCAAGCCAGACTAGAACCAAGGCAGGTACTTAGATACGTGACCAATTAACTCTGTTTAATTAATTAATTTTTTTTTTCTTTTTGAGACTGAGTCTCAGTCTATCATCCAAGCTGGAGTGCAGTGGCGTGATCTTGCCTCACTGCAACCTCTGCCTCCCAGGTTCAAGTGATCCTTGTGCCTCAGCCTCCCGAGTAGCTGGGATTATAGGTGCCTGCCACCTCGCCTGGCTAAGTTTCGTATTTTTAGTAGAGATGGGGTTTCACCATGCTGGCCAGGCCTGTCTCAAACTCCTGACCTCAAGTGATCTGCCTTCCTGGACTTCCCAAAGTGCTGGGATTACAGGCGTGAGCCAATGTGCCCGGCTAACTCTGTTTAATTTTAAATTTCTATGTATTTAGATTAGGCATCTGGTAAACCACCCCTCCCCCAAACTGTAAGTTAAATTTGGAATGCACCTTTGAAGTCTTTGGGTCTAAGTCTACATTTCAATTTGCCACCTACTAAATCTTTGCATACCAACCTTCTTCTAGACTGATTCACAACAGAAATGCCCATGCCATTGGCACCAGTGTGAAGCAGTGTCTGCCTACTTGCAGATGTATGATTACCTGATAAAATAAACCCTGTCTTGTATAAGACATTCTCCTCTGGTCTCTGTACCTTGCAGCCACTCACAATCCTAACTGATATAATTGATCACTTGAACATTGTTCAGACATGCCTATACCTTCTTCCACTCTGTGAAACAGTCAATGACATATGGTGGTAGGTTCTGGGGCTCTGCCAGACACCCTTCCAAGGATTTCACACATTTACAAGGCAGCAGGTGACACCTGGGAAGTCTCCGGGCATTTTCAATGCCTCCTCTTCAACAATTTCCTCACTCACTGTCAGATCTCACATCTCACCAGCAAAGCTTATTATTCCAGGTGGCTAAACTCCTCCAGGTGAAGTGAGAATATCCTGACCTTTCTCTGTGAAGCGTCACTCTTTTTGTAAGCTCAAACAGTGTTGCTAATGGATGATGAGATGATCTACCGTGCACTTTGGTTCCTATAGGTTTCTTAGGTTTATTTGAACAAGTCTTTTCTCTGCCCCTGGTAGTTGGCTGGGTCGAGGAAAGGCAAGCCAAATAAAACCTCTGACAAACTTAAAGTTTCCTCTTTAGCTAGAGGGTACTTTTAGGGTAAGGGACTATTTGATTCTTTAGTATAAGATTTTTAGAAACAGAGGACTTTAGAGTCAGAAGAGCTCTTACACATCATCCAGTCATTTGGCAGAAGAAAAATGGGGAGCAGAAAGTTTAATTCCCTCTGACATTGGAACTATGCACTATTCTGAGTACCAAGGCAAGGCAATCTCATGTGCATAAAATATTATTTTACACTAGGCACTATAGTAGGTTTTATACACAAATTAATTTTATTTCTTCCTCCCAACAATTTTAGAAAACAAATGCTGATATCACTGTATTGCACAAGGGATAACTGAAGCCCAGAGTTTCAAAATCTTTAGACAATGTGGTAGCTTGCATTGTTATTTTCCATTTTCACCTCCTTCTCCCCATATTGGTATTTATCACTACCACATAGATGTTGGTCTTGGCAATTTGACTTGCTTTGACCAATGGAACATGAGCAAACACAGCATAGGTCACATCCATCCAAGTAAAGGCTTTTAATATGATTGCATGATTCAACTTGGTTTATTGTTCCTGTGCCCTCTGTTATGAGAAGTCATGTCCCAAAAGCTGCTTCTCCATTAACTTGGGTCTTGCAGTAAGAAATGAATCTGAGCCCACCAATGCCTGAGGAAGAGCTACAACTGACCTGTAGCCAACACTATGTAATATGAGAAAGAAAGAAATATTTTGTAAGCCATTGAGAGTTGGAATCTATTTGTTACACAGCATGGCCTAGTGAAAGGTAATGAACACAAATGGACAGAGCCGGGATCTATATCCAGACCTATCTGCTTCCAAATGCCATATCCTTTTCCCCACCAAACAGTCCTTTCTGTCCACTCCGGTATGCTTTAGCCTCAGTAGCAAATACTGCTTTTTCAGACCCATACCTTTAAACTCCCCTCTCCAGCACCCAAGACATTTTCCTTGACCATTTTCTTTAGGCTCAATATCTTGCTCACACAAGTGCCCCCCTACCAGCTCTCACAAAATGATGAACCGCCCTAGCCCACAAAGAAAAAGAGGGGCTGTCGTGCATAAACCCCTTCAGCTTCCCTCTTGCATTTCTAGATGTATCGATACCACTGCCTATTCTTCCTCATCACCTCTCACCTCCACAGAAAAGCTGTTCTATCTCCTGTCTAAGGCTGACCTCCCAAATGTTCTCTTTATCCTCCAGAATCTCACTCCAGCAATTATCGCTTTTTCTTGTTTCATTCCTTCATCTCTCTCCACTTCCTTTTTCTGTCACCCTACAAGCACGTTAAGTTTTCCTATTTTTCTAAAAAAATGCAAGAAACATCTCTAATTTTCTTTTCTTCCCAGGCTACTTTTTTATTTCTCACTTTCTTTTGACACCAAATCGATTCCCTTACCAGTTTTGCTGTTCTATATTTTTTACTTACAAAATCTGACAATCCTATCAACTTGCTTCTCTTCCAATCTAATCTCAATAGCAGGTTTTTCTTCCTCGAAATCTTCTCTCTCGAGGTACAATGATATTTCTCTTCCTACCTCTGTGACCACTCTTTTTCTATCTCCACAAGGGTTCTTCTGTTTTTACCTAGGCCATAAAAGTTGGTGTTCCCAGGGTTATGTTTTCAGTGCCCTTCTCACTCTAGGAAAACTGATCCACTGTTCTGGATCAGTTATGGGTGAAACCACTGTTACGGTTTCATCTCATTAATGCTGACTTCAAACATTCACTGCCAATTCTATTTACTATCTCGCCTTTTGAACATTACATCAACATACCCAGTAATTAACTGAACATATCCTCTTGGGTGCCTGCATGAAAATCTTGACCTCAACATTCTTTAAACCATACTAGGTCCTTCCTGCAAATACGTTCCTCCTCCTATGTTCTCTTCCTCAATTAAAAGCATCAATCGTCAAGCCCAAAAATCTCAAAGATGTCATTGATTCCCACCCTGTCCCTTAAGCATCTCATGAACTTAATGTCTGTCTTTATTCTGCTCTCTCCTATCTACACCATGGCTACTGTCCCAGTTCAGGTCCTCATTGTGACTTCCCTGCCCATCTCCTGTTCGCTAGTCTTATAACCCCTCCTGGCCATACTGTGCACTATAGCGAAAGTGATCTAAGTTCTTTACCTCTCTCCTACTTAATAACGTGATTGTTCATAGGACAAATCCTAACCACTTAATATGATATTCAAGGCTCATCAAAATCTGGTGTCACTGTATTCTTTCGGCATTACCTGCTGACACACCTGTTCTTGAACCCTATGCTGTAGCCACAATTGATGACTCATTATTCCTTAATCACAAACTATGTTTCACTTAACTTACTTATGCACGTTCCTTTGCAAACATTGCAAATATTACAAAAATGTTATTATATTCTCTGTCCAATAATCTTACCCCTCCCCTTCTACACACATACTTTGTTTCTCTGTAAAAAAATTACATACCCTGCAAAGATCATTTGAAATGGCAGCTCTTCTGCAAAAGCTCCCCGGTTCCCTCCATAACCAGTTTCCCTAAATAATGTAGCACGTAGTAGATTCTACTTCAGATTTGTCAATGAGTGAGTTTTCTAAGACATGCTAATATTAATGAACACATCTTATCTCTTTTTCAAAGAGAATATGATACTACCAGAGATGTGTCTTTTATGTGGTACTCGGGATTAGAAGGTAAAGTCAAAGGGTACAAATTTGCAGTTAAGTAGAATCAATAAGTCTAGAGATCTAATGTACTGCATGAGGCCTATAGTTAATCACATGTATAATGAAAATTTGCTCAGAGAGTATATTTTAAGTGCCCTTAGTACAAAAAAAAATAAGGTAACTATGGAAGATGGTGAATATGTTTCTTTGTTTGACTGTAGAAACTATTTTACTATGTATGTAAATATCAAAACTTCATGTTGTATACCTTAAATATATACCATAAAAATAAATATTAGAAAAAGAGTACAGAATTTAATGTCAACTCTGAGGGTGGTTTGGCTCTGTACTCTGTCACCCAAGTTGCTGAACTGAATTGACCACTAATTGAGCAAAAGCCCCTTTCATCCCTTCTAGCTCCACACATGTGCCCCCTGAAGCTCTCAACTCAGTCAAAGAGGGCAACTCTCCAAAGCATAAAACAGGACCACAGGATGCCAAACAGGCTTCATTCTTGGTCTAACACCTTAATCAATTAGTAATATCTTCCTAAAATACTATATGGAGACAAATTCCAAAGCCATGTCCAGACTTAGCGAAAAGGGTGGTATGACATTAGTTTTGCCTGCCACGGACCTGGACAGATGACTAGTAGCACTCATGTCATAATTTTGCCATTTTATCAAAGGTATTTGAATAGCTACAGTACCATTCTATAATCACCAAATAAGCCTCCATGGTTATGGTCTTAATGTGAAAATGTGTGTGTTTGCCTAAAGTCCTATTGGTACTTATATTCCCTTTAAATCACGTTTTTATTCATTACAGTTTATAGCTCTGATAAAGAATATTTAATTATAATATTTAAGTCAAAGAAAACTAACAAATACTTTTTTGAGCATACAGTATTAGACAAAGAAGCATGAAATATAGTCTCTGTCTTTAAGGAAATCACTATCTGGATAGAAGATGAGCCACAAATTCATTAAAATATTTCAAAGCTTTTGAGAGTTAAAATGACAATACAAATAAAAATGTAAACTATATTGCAATCACTGCATGGTTAATTGCCAAATGAGTGCTTTGAATTAGTGTGATAGAGACAGCATGAAGGTATTTGTTACACCCTTGATCACTTTTGCCTCTGGAAGGAAATGATTGGTGAGTTTAGATCCTTGCTAGAAAACACATGATGTAAAATGCACGCATGTCTGTGAGATGTGAGTATATCATCTCTGAGGAACAGTAAGACAGTAAGGAGGTTTTGCCTAATAGATTACTGTTCGCTAGTAGTAATGACTGATTTCGATTTTTTTCTGAAGAATTCCTCACTGGTTAGTCTCCCTGGTGGATATTTGAAGTGCACATCATCTGATGATCCAAATGGGGCTCTCCATTTCTTGCGAGGCATAAGCCAGTTCCATTCCTTGGCCACAGTGCTTGGTTCAGGAAAGAAGTGTGGCCACACCAAACTAATCAGGCTCAATTCTAGTTAATTGTGGGACTTCACTTGCAAGGCAAGGAAGAAAGAGTCATTCATACTTTCCCACCAGGCTTTCACTTGAAAGGCTATAACCACCAGCCTCTTTACCCCCTCCAGCCACCTTGTCCGTATGTGGAGTCTAGGAATGAAGGCACCACACAGAGGAGAGGATTGCAGAATCTAGAGACAGGGTCCTAGTAATATTTTTTTGTCCTGAACCCATCTGTGCCTGAAGCAAGATCCAATCTTGGACTTTTCAATTACATGCACCAATAAGTCCTTTTTCTTGCTTAATCCAGTGTGGGTTGAATTTCTATTATTTATAACTAAGAGCTCTTACTGTTAAAGTCCTTAGTCTCATTTCAATAGAACATCTTGAATATATCGTCTAACATACTTTACCTATAACATCTCACACTACACCCTTCTACTATTCTCCCAAAACTTGTTCATCCATAACTGACTCAACTCCTCCCACAATTTTCTGAAGTAAAAATAAGATTGGACAAGCATCATTGGCTTGTCCAGTTGATAGAAGCATTGACCTTAACCAAAAGGGGCTGAATTACTGATGCTCTGAATGGGAGTCCCCAAGTTAAAAACAAAAAATGCCTGGAGTAGAGACCAGGTCTCTTGATTCTTAGCCCTGGTACTAAATCTTACCCCCACCTCCAAATTTTCCCCCACATTTCATTTCTGCACCTGCTCACTTGTAGCATCATTCCCAGAACTGTGATTCCTAGTCTGATGTGGGTAGAATAGAAACACCTTTTCTGTTGAAAAACCTTCTAAAGGTTGCTGCAGGACCAAGGAGATTCTGTTGATTAGGGCTTCTTCAGCCAGAAAATTACCCCTGTTAAAGGATAATTAGTGCTTTGTGATGGTGATTATGATGATGATGATGGTGATAATGATGATGATGACAATGACAACACAGCATCAGAATGAAGAACTCTTCAAACGAGTAGCAGGCTCTGAGGAACCAAGACCCAGAGACTGACCACATTTGCAACTAGCAGTGACCACCACTGACAACTCATTGCCCTCAGCAGCCTTCACCCTCGCAGTGACATCTTGTGCTAAATTAAAATGTACTCAAGCTGGCCAGGTGCAGTGGCTCACGCCTGTCATCTCAGCACTTTAGGAGGCCAAGGCAGGCGGATCACAAGGTCAGGAGTTCGAGACCAGCCTGACCAACATGGTGAAACCCCGTCTCTACTGAAAATACAAAAAATTTAGCCAGGTGTGGTGGCACGTACCTGTAATCCCAGCTACTCAGGAAGCTGAGGCAGGAGAATCACTTGAACCCGGGAGGCAGAGGTTGCAGTGAGCAGAGATCACGCCATTACTCTCCAGCCTAGGCAACAGAGCGAGACTCTGTCAAAAAAAAAAAAAAAATGCACTCAGGCTGAGTGATGGAGTGCAGCATCATTGGAAATCAGAACCCCAGGTTCTGGAAGCCACTAGAGCCTGGCACGTAGACAGGGCCACTTGGCAGTACAATATCCCCCTAAGGGAGCGCACTGGAAGCGAAATAGATGAATTTGACAGTGTGAGCTATCACCAAACATAAAACTATTTCCCATGCAAGACAGTAAGACAATTCTGTCCTCTAGAGAAGGGGTTCCCAGTGAAAGGTCAGAACCTGCCTGGTGGGTCTCAGTCTTCCCAGGAGATCTTAGATGCCAGGGTGTAGCCTCCCTTATCCAGCCTACTGACATCAAGAGCTGATTTGCCTCTAATCCAATAGTAACCACCACTCAACCTACCCTCGCTCTTCTTCCACACTTTGATGGGTCTCCCACAGGGAGGTTAATTCTGGGCCTGAATCTTAATCCGACCTCCCCACTTCACTCAGAAATATTCTCCACACCTCTTCTCATCCCCACTCTTCATGGAATAGTATTTACTACCCTTCCAAGAAAGACCGAAATCATGTATTTATAAAGGCAACTTCATTGTTTTTAAGCCAATTTACCACAATCAACTTCAAATCAGTTATGAATGTCCATGCATTCACTCCTTTGGCACAAATTTATTCATCATCTACTATTGCAAAGCACCAACATGTCAGAATTTAAGATGTTAAAATTTAAAAGTTCTAACTATGTCAGGTTCACTATCATATCGTAGTCCCTAATCCGTGACTTGGCACATAATAGCATTCAATAAATATTTTTTGAATAAAGTAATAAGGAAATTTAAAGAAATTGAACATTAAAAACCTATGCCTCAAGAAGCTTATAGAAAGTCCTCAACTATATAAAAGTGAAGAAAATATTGCTAAGACCCTTCCTCAGTCCAAAATCCTAAGAATCTATGATTCAAAGTCTTAGTTAGAAGACAAAAAGGTTAAAAGACAGGGCAGGGGTTGTCACAAAGAGTCAATAATAAAAATCATAGGGCTGGGCATGGTGGCTCACACCTATAATGCCAGCAGTTTGGAAGGCTAAGACAAGCGGATCACCTGAGGTCAGAAGTTCAAGACCAACCTGGCCAACATGGCAAAACCCCGTCTCTACTAAAAATACAAAAACAATTAGCCAGGTGTGGTGGCACGCACCTGTAGTACAGCTACTCCAGAGGCTGAGACACAAGTATCGATTGAACATGGGAGGCAGAGGTTGCAGTGAGCCGAGATCACGCCACTGCACTCCAGCCTGGGCGACAGAGCGAGACTCTGTCTCAAAGAAAAAAAAAAAGAAAAAGAATAATCATATGAGAGTTAAAGATTGAATGTGTTAGAAGTGATCAGAAAAGGGAGAGATCTTTTAGGCCCACAGAAGGAAGTCAGAAAGAAAAAAACGTGGAGGAGATGGAACTTGCACAAGACCTTGAAGAAAGGAATTGTTGGGAAGGGCACAGAGCTAACAAAGCTGGGAATTATTCCAAGGGAACAGAGGAGCTCAGCCTTCAGGGGGCTCAAATGGGACAGAACTTTCTGAGCTGGAAGAAAAAGCAGCTAAAAGGAATGCAACACTTACTCCATGGGAAGTACTGTTCTACTTAGCTTATCGAAAGTTTTGCAAACTTTTAACATTATTTATTAAGTACCTATTATATTCCAGATGCTCTCCTTAGATGCTAGGGACACTGCAGTTAACAAAATGCTCCATGGCTTCATAGAGCCTCTCATGGGGAGAGCAGGCAATGCACAAAATAAGTAAAATACAGAGTGTGCTGAACGACGCTAAGTGCAATGGAGAAAAATAAAGCAGAGAGCAGGGATGAATGTTTGGAATAGAATGAAACAAAGTGGTCAGGAAAGAACTCGCTGAGAACATGATATCTGAGTGAAGACCTGAGGGTAGTGAGGGAGTGAGACTTGCAGGTGAAGAGCACTGACAGCAGAGGAACCGCGAGTGCAAAGGCCTCCAAGTAGAACATGTCCCATGTGCATGAGGTCAGCTGGCTGGAGCTAAGGAGGGGAGGGAGAGAAAGTCAAAGAGCTAACACGGGTCAGATCAGAGAGGCCTCGTAAGCTATTGTAGTGAACGGTGAGCCTCTGGTTGACTCACAAGCTACCCGTCATTCATTTCCCTTTACAAGGGGACTGAAGCTCTGCGAGGCCATGTGGCTTACCCGAGAGCACACAGATAACAGGTAGCAGAGCCAGGGTCTAAACCCAGGCCTCCCTGGCCCCTGCTACTTCACCTGACCCCACCCTCCCCTCTCTTCATGATTCATTCTTGTGTGTGTGTGCACGTGTGCATACACATGCATGCACACTCACACCTCGCCCTACTATTTTCATTCCTCCAACACCCCCAGGTCCTCCTTGTCTTCCCTCGTGCTGTTCCCTTTAGCTGGAGTGCCCTTCTCCTACTCTTGATCTGATGGGTACAGCTTTCGGGCCTTGGTTCAAATTTAATGGCCTTTCCTGACCCTCTCATATAATTTAGCTGTGCCTTGCTGTACCTTCTCAGGGCCTCCAGTTCTACTTTCCTTTGTAATTACATGTTTATTTGTGTATTCGTTTTTCTTCCCCCACAAATTCTCCCGCCCCAGACTGTGTCTCTACCCAGCACCCAGCCCAGTGCCTGGCACATAGGAGGCACACAATAAACATGTATTGAGTAACTGAGAAGACCAAAAGGGTAAAGACAAAGTAGGAAGACCTCAGAGAGGTTTCTGGGCATCAGTAAGAAAAGGAAACCAATGGCTGTTGCAAGAGAGATTTGGGGTTATCTGTGGCCCAGCCTGTTTCCTGCCTGGTTTTGGAATGAGATGCTGCAGGCTGTCTCTGGCTGCTCCACAATCTAATACATTCATCACGTGACTCACCACCACCCCCCAGCAGCCTCTGGAATGAATGTTATTTGGAGTAATTGGCCAAGCACTTAGAAAATGCTAAGGTTTATTTTTAAATATGATTACGACCTGTCTTTTGCTTTCCGGAAAATCACGTGTGCTCTTCAGAGATACAAAATCCGATCATTGCACTTTTAAAACCAACGTTTTAATCTTGTCCTCTAAACAAACTTGCTAAGTTGGTTTAGGGGAAAAGCATAACCATCCCCATTTGATTGATAGGAAAACTGAGGCTTAGGGGAGATTAAATGCACCATCTCAGGCCAAATAGCTATTGAGAGTAGCTATCTTGAAACCAGAGAAAGCTGCATCCACTCTACTATCCTGCCTCCCCCATGCAAATAATGCAGATGGTCCCCCAAAGAGAAGAAGAATCTAGAAAGAGGAAACCATGGCCTTCTTGGTTTGGTGTTTTATGTGGCAGCAGGGCAACCAATCGTTCTAATTAGGCCACAGGAAGCCTGTTTCTCTTTAAGAACCTATTAGCAAGCTGGCAAAATCTCATCCCATTACCATGTAAATAAATAAGGATAAATTTTCCCACATCAGCCTCCCAGGGCTGAACCAAAACTCTCCTCCTTTGCATATTTTCGATAACCTGCTTATTCTGGAATACCTCACAATTAAAGATAGCATGCTCTGGACATCAGTAATTCATCGTGGAATGGGAAAAAGGATGAGATAATTAACATTCTCTGGCTGGCTTTGGCTGGGAAGTAGCTTAATAAGCACAAGGGCGTGTTTTGGGCTATTTCCATCATGAGGGTAGAATAAATAAAATGGATCCTTTCGCACACTAGACTTGAAGGATTCGTGTCAGGCTAGTTGGCCCCAGAGCTTTCGGAGTTGGGTTTAGATCTCCACTGTGGCAAAGGCAGCTGATCAGCAAATGCAGCCCCAGGGCCGGACTGGGTAGGTGGGTTACAGGGAGTAAGGGCAGCATGTCTCAAAGCCACTCTTTAAGCTTCTAGCTCGTACTGTAAGCTTTAACTTTTCGGTGAACTGCTCTCTGACCTTCCATTTTTTTCTTCTCTGATTCCTTTTATCAAGCCATATAACTTTGATGGGCCCTCCTTAGTTTGCCCTTCTGTAAAATGGGAAAGATAATGTGATTTCGAGTAATTGGCCAAGGACTTAGGCAGGGGTGTCTAATCTTTTGGCTTCCCTGGGCCATATTGAAAGAAGAAGAATTGTCTTGGGCCATGGATAAAATACACTAACACTAACAATAGCTGATGAAAAACAAAATCACAAAAAAATCTCATAATGTTTTAAGAAAGTTTACAAATTAGTGTTTAGCCTCATTCAAAGCTGTCCTGGGCCACATGCAATGCGCAGGCCTCCAGTTGAACAAGTCTGCCTTAGAGCAAGCAGGATTACTGAGGATTAAAACATCATCATTATCATCATCGTCATCATCAGTGTCATCACTATCCCTTATGAATCATTTATGATGTGTCGGGTTTTATCATGTGCTAGATGTATTTCATTTGCATTATTAAGTTTGATGCCTACTGGGATAGATGATCAGTCTTCAAACCTCAAAATAAGCTGGAAATAGAGTTTTTAAAATTTTGTATCACACGGTTGAAAATAAACTAATGAAACACAGAACCCCAAGGGGGATAGCACAAGCAGTCAGAGAGTTTGAGTATATTTATGCATGACAGAGCCATAAATGGGTGCTGGGATATACCTAACCTTTATGGTTGACGTCATGGGGGAAATGGTTTCTCTGTCTACTAACTGAGATCAAGGAAGGGTACAGCATGACTGTGCCCTCTGGGTGCCCATCCCGTGGGACCTCTGTTGGCAGCAGACTATGAGCCTGTGTGGACTTGTGTCTGTCCCAGTATGGCAATTCCTATATTTTATGTTGTTATGATTCCTAAGAGAAAAAAATTTTTTCAGCTGAGACTCTTGTTTCTACGATGATGCTCTGACGGGTACCTTTATTCCTTCTACATTCTATTTTCTTAATCGAAGTAGTGAAAATTAGTAGCAATTTACTACAGCAAGTCAGAAAGGAATTGTCCTAAAATGTCTGAGCATTTTAACCAGCACATGGAAAACTGTCCCCCACCTCTGTCCTATTTGCACACTGTAACATCCCTCACCCATCTTTGCCTCCTTTCCTTCAGGCCTTGTTGAAGGATCACCCTCCTCTAATCTAAGAATTTAAGACTAATCTTGCCACTTGCACTTCATTTTGGTACATACTGCTCAGGTATCTGACCTTATCTGTAAACTCTTCCTCTGTCCATCTTCAGTTGCGCTCAACTCTCTGGCTGGCTCCTTCACAGAAATAAACTTCTTCATCTCTCCCACCATCTTAAAATAAGCCCTCATCTTAAAAATAAGCCCTCCCTTGATCCCTTATCCTTTTCCAGCTACTGTCTTATCTCTTGCTCCCCATCAAAGCCAACAGTCTGAGTTGTCTTCCCTTATGTCTCCACTTCCTCACCTCCCACTCTTGCCCCTGCAATATAGGCTGGTTCCACTCCTGGTTGACCTCTGAAATTGCTCTCACCGAGATTATACGCTTGGTAGTCCAATCCAACAGGCACACGGAGCCACCTTATTCAATGGCTCTGTGGTAGTTGACAGGGAGGGCCTCCTTCTTAACACTCTACTCTTGGACTTCCCAGGGTGAGATTTCCTTGCATTTTTCCTCCTCATTTTTCTTCAGAGGTTATTCCTGATTGAACCTTTTCTAGGCTGTCTTCCCCTTTCACTTCACATCATCTTTTTGGGAAATTTGATGTTATCATCCAGTCGATATGCTCTCTCCCAGACAGAGCATGTCTATCACTCTGCTGTCCATATCTCCATCCCAGATGTTTTCTCCTCAGTCCTTGGACACTTACTCCTGCCCGGACTTCCCACAGGCCTCTTGTATGAGTTTCCCACTGCTGCTGTAACAAATTGTCACCAACATAATAGCCTAAAACAACGCAAGTTTGTTATCTTACAGTTCTGGAGGTCAGAAGCCCAAAATCAAGTGGCTAGGTGGACTAAAATCAAGATGACAGGAGAACTGCATCCTTTCTGGAGGCTTCAGGATAGAATCTATTTCTTACTTTTTCCAGCTTCTAGAATTGCCTGTATTCCTTAGCTCATGGCTCTGCACACTCCAACCTTGGCTTCTGTTGTCCATCTCCTTCTCTGACTCTTACCCCCTTTCCTCCCCTTATAAGGACCGTTATCATATTGGGTCCACCCAGATAATCCAGAATCATCTCCCCATCTCAAAATACTTGAGTTAATCTCATCTGCAAAGTCTCATTTGCCATATAAGGTAACATATTCACAGGTCCTGGAATTAGAATGTGGACATTTTGGAGCAGCATTTATTCAGCTTACCATCCCCCTAAAACTCAGTTCATGCCCGAATCTGAAATCATTTTTCCCACCAAGATGAACTATGACTATCCATCCCACTGAGCCAGCCAGAAACAAACATGGCATTATCCTGACTCCTTTTCTCGCATCCCTATATCCAATCAACGAGCAAATCCTATCAATTCTTAATGTCTGGCCAATAGAGTCACATCTCTCCACCCCTCCTACTGGTGTCTTGATTTGAGCCACCACTGTTTCTCATCTGGGATACTGCCACATGCTTTTTTCTGCTGTTCTTGCCTCTGATCTTGACTCCTCTCCTCCATTCTGAATGCTGTCCACAGAGTGTTCTTTAGAAAACACAGATGTTAAAGTTCTTCCAACTACTACCACCACCACCATTACCAGGATAGGAAAGGCTCCTTAATTATAACATTGTGATATGATAAAAATATATATCTGGTCTTCATCCTGGGCTCCCAGCACAGAGCTCCTAAAACCCTTGGAATTTCCTGAGTCTTAGGGGCAAGATGAGCGTCTTTTGTTATTCACAACAAGCCTAATGAGGTGACTCCTGGAAGATGCAGGACGGTTGCCAGAGAAACCAACCATGTGATTAGAGGATTGGAACTTTTAACCCCAGCCCCAGAAGGGAGCTGGGCCTCCTTAGAAGGGAGAAGGGCTGGAGATTGAGTTCAATCCCCAATGGCCAATGATTTAATCAGCCATGCCTATGTAACATAGCCTCCATTAAAAAAAAAAAAAAAAAAAAAAACATAAACTAGGGGTTCAGAGAGCATTCAGACTGGTGAATATATGAAGGTGCTAGGAGGGGGGATAAGCCCAGACAGGGTATGAAGCACCAGACAGCCCCTCATCCCCATAACTTGCCCTGTGCATCTCTTCCATTTGACTGTTTCTGAGTTGTAGCCTTTGCAATAAACTGGTAATGGTAAATAAAGCACTTTCCTGAGTTCTGTGAGCCACTCTAGCAGATTGTCACACCCAAGAAGGGTGTCCTGGGAACCCCCAATTTATAGCCAGTCAGAGAATATGGATCATAACCTAGGACTTCTGACTATTGTGTGAAGTGGGCTTCGGTGCTGTGGGACTGAGCCCTTAACTTCTGGGGTCTGTACAACTCCAGGGAGTTAGTGTCATAATCGAACAATGGGGCACCAAGTTGATGACCAGAGAGCTGGAATATTGCTTAATGTAAGGAGGGAACTCACTCATGTGGTTGCCTAAATTGTTCTCGGAGTATAGAGAAAAGCAGTTTATCCCTTTTACTAATGTATAATTAACTTCAAGGTCCTTCAAGACCTGGCTCCCTATTTGCCTTTCCAACATCATCTCCTGCTGCTCTCCTCTTGCACTCTTAGCCTTTAACCACATGGAACCACTAGCAATTCCCAGATAGGGCTGTGGACTTTTGCACTTGCTGCGTCATCTACTCTAAATTACCTTCTCTGCGACACATCTGTCACTCTTCACCTAGCCAACCTCAATTCATCCTTTAAAACTAGCTCAGTTACCATCTCCTTCAAAAAGTCTTCCCTGATGTTGCAGATGACACAACTGGCCTGAATACTTCGCCCCTTTCTACATCCTCACCCTTTGCAGGGTAGCTTAACAGCTCATCCCATTAGGAAGGAGAATCTGGGTGGGGCATGGTGACTTATGCCTGTAATCCCAGCACTTTGGGAGGCTGAGGCAAGTGGAGCACTTGAGGTCAGGAGTTCGAGACCAGCCTGGCCAACATGGAGAAACCTTGTCTCTACTAAAAATATAAAAATTAGCTGGGCTTGGTAGCACACACCTGTAATCCCAGCTACTCGGGAGGCTGAGGCACGAGAATCGCTTGAACCCAGGAGGCAGAGGCTGCAGTGAGCCAAGATCACACCACTGCACTCCAGCCTGGGTGACAGAGCAAGACTCTAACTCAAACAAACAAAAAACAAAAAGAAGGAGAATCTATTTCCATACTCCCCACAATTTTCTCATGTGGCTTGCTTTGGCCAATGGGGTGTTAACAGCTTCACATGCAGAGATGCTTTGCTTTTGGGATTTTGTTTTGCTGTGACAGCAGTTTCCTCATCCTGCAGCTCCTTTGGTGGCCCAGTTCTGTGTCGTGGTTTGCAAAGTTGTCTTCCAGGAAGCTTGCCCTAGAGACTGTTTATTCAGCCCACCGAACGATTGTATGAAGTATTTAGTAATAATACTCCAACAAAAACAACAAAAATAATAATAAACATTTCTATCTATTTATTAATAAATTCCTTCCCACTTAACTAACTAGAATGGATTCTGTTGTCTGTAATTAGGACCTCTAACTATTATGGAGGAGGAGAAAAGGAAAAATGAGAAGAGGAGGGAAGGAGGGAAATAAGTGAAAGCGGAAGCAACTGGCTGGGCGCGGTGACTCACGCCTGTAACTCCAGCACTTTGGGAGGCCGAGGCGGGCAGATCACCTGAGTTCAGGACTTTGAGACCAGCCTGGCCAACATGGTGAAACCCCATCTCTACTAAAAATACAAAAATTAGCTGGGCATGATGGTGCATCCCTGTAATCCCAGCGACTTGGGAGGCTGAGGCAGGAGAATTGCTTGAACCTGGGAGGTGGAAGTTGCAGTGAGCCGAGATCGCACACCTGCTCTCCAGCCTGGGCGACAGAGCAAGACTCTGCCTTGGAAGAAAAAAAAAAAACGGAAGCAGCAACAAAGATGACGGCTTATTTTCTCTTTATACATTTATTTAAAGTACGTTAAATCCATGCAAATATGTTCATGTCATGCTACATTTTTAAATTTTATTTTTTTAAATATATAATATAATCAATTTTTGCAAAGAAAAAATCATGTACACATATATGCATATAGATTGATAATAAACATTTTAAAGAACACAAACATAACATACACGTTGTTATTTCTAGATAATGGAATGAAAGATATTTTCTTTTTGATTATTTTTAATTGTTCTGGAATAAGCACAGATAATAATAATAGGCACTATTTAATAAATGGTGCTGGGAAAACTGGCTAGCCATATGTAGAAAGCTGAAACCGGATCCCTTCCTTACACCTTATACAAAAATTAATTCAAGATGGGTTAAAGAGTTAAACGATAGACCTAAAACCATAAAAACCCTAGAAGAAAACCTAAGCATTACCATTCAGGACATAGGCATGGGCAAGGACTTCATGTCTAAAACACCAAAAGCAATGGCAACAAAAGCCAAAATCGACAAATGGGATCTAATTAAACTAAAGAGCTTCTGCACAGCAAAAGAAACTACCATCAGAGTGAACAGGCAACCTACAAAATGGGAGAAAATTTTCACAACCTACTCATCTGACAAAGGGCTAATATCAAGAATCTACAATGAACTCAAACAAATTTACAAGAAAAAAACAAACTACCCCATCAAAAAGTGGGCGAAGGACATGAACAGACACTTCTCAAAAGAAGACATTTATGCAACCAAAAAACACATGAAAAAATGCTCACCATCACTGGCCATCAGAGAAATGCAAATCAAAACCACAATGAGATACCATCTCACACCAGTTAGAATGGCAATCATTAAAAAGTCAGGAAACAACAGGTGCTGGAGAGGATGTGGAGAAATAGGCACACTTTTACACTGTTGATGGGACTGTAAACTAGTTCAACCATTGTGGAAGTCAGTGTGGCAATTCCTCAGGGATCTAGAACTAGAAATACCATTTGACCCAGCCATCCCATTACTGGGTATATACCCAAAGGACTATAAATCATGCTGCTATAAAGACACATGCACACGTATGTTTATTGCGGCACCATTCACAATAGCAAAGACTTGGAACCAACCCAAATGTCCAACAATGATAGACTGGATTAAGAAAATGTGGCACATCTACACCATGGAATACTATGCAGCCATAAAAAATGATGAGTTCATGTCCTTTGTAGGGACATGGATGAAATTGGAAACCATCATTCTCAGTAAACTATCACAAGGACAAAAAACCAAACACTGCATGTTCTCACTCATAGGTGGGAATTGAACAATGAGAACACATGGACACAGGAAGGGGAACATCACATTCTGGGGACTGTTGTGGGGTGGGGGGAGGGGGGAGGGATAGCATTAGGAGATATACCTAATGCTAAATGACGAGTTAATGGGTGCAGCACACCAGCATGGCACATGTATACATATGTAACTAACCTGCACATTGTGCACATGTACCCTAAAAGTATAGTAATAATAAAATTAAAATAATAACAATAATAATAATAATAATAGGCACATCTCATTTTCTCCATACCCTATTCTTATTCTCTAATCTTGGTGGGTAATAAGTTTTTCAGACACTTCAGTCCTTGCAAATGGATGCAAGGCCTAATATACAGTACACATTTATCCCTAAATGGTGTCCCTATTTTTACAGAAAAGCAAGGCTCAGAGAGATGGCATAACTGATCCAACTGAACTCCTTTTAACATGCTAACCTCTACAGGTAACAAATGCCAGCCAGGACATTAGCAAGAAGCACTGGCTTCTAACCATTTTGGTCATTTAATAGCTATGTAAGCACTGGACTTTTCCAACTTCTGTGAGCCTCTGTTTCTTTCACCTGAAAATTGGGTATAATAATGGCACCTACCTCCCAGGGCTGGTGTAAGTCTCCAATGAGATATACATATGGAAAGCTAAGGACACTGCTTAGCAATAAATGCTCAATAAATATTAGCTGCTACTATTACTATTATTATCCTACTGTAATAGGGTTACTATCATTAGCCTACATTATTACTATTTTATATTACTCTAATTACTATTACTACAGTTCTTATCCTACTGTAATAGAATTCTATCGCTCCTATTTCTTTAATTCTGAGAGAGTCAGGTTGAGATGCTGCCCTAATTATCTGTGTGTTCCCAGTATCCAGCATAACAGATACTAATTTAAACGAGTGAGGGTGTGGGTGGATGGATGGATGGATGGATAGATGAATGGATGGATAGATGAACTGAGACAGGTAGAGAGATGGGATGTAAATAAATGTGTGCTATGGACAGGTGGATAGAGGGGACCTTAAGTAACTTAGTATGTCAAATGCCTGAATAGGAAGGCCGGTAGGTGGTTGGCAGAAGAGTGGACGGGTGGATGAATGATCGAACGGGTGGATGGGTGGGTGGGTGGATGGATGAAAGAGAGGGGTCTTAAGTGACTTAGTGTGAGAGCCTGAATGGCTAACGGTAGAGCAGGTGACTGAATGAGGGGTGGACGGACGCCCAGATGCCTGCTTCCTGGCTTTTCTCCCGCTCTGTCTTCACAGCCTGCCCTTCCTCGGCTCCAAGGCGCCCCCGAGGGGTGAGCTTCCTGGGCGCGCTCCGCAGCGCCCTCCGCCCCTAGCTCGCGGGGAGGGCGTCGCGCGGCTGTTCAGCGGGGCAGCGGCCTAGCGGCGCGGACCTGGGTCTCCTCCCTCGCACCGGGCCGAGCGCCGGGCTCGTCTGCATTGACGTCTGCGGCGGCGGCGGCGGCAGCAGCCGGGCTCTCGGGAGCCTGGGTGAATTATGATGCACATCCACCGCGGCTGCTAAAAAAAGGGCAGTGACTCACCACCGGCCGCGGAAACTTCCACGAGCGCCGGCCGCAAAAAGGCGGGGGCGCCAGGCCAAGGGCGGCTGCGCCCGGGGCGCGCGGCAGCAGCCAGGTGTGTCTCGAAAGCAAAACGGCGAGGACCGTGGCGCGGGGTCGGGCGGGAACCGGAGAGACCTGGGGCCTGCGCCTCGGCTGCTACCGGCCTGGGTTCCACAGCTTGGCGCTCAAAGCCAGCCCTTGCCCGGAAGAAAAAAAAAAAACAGATGTGATGTGGCAGGTGACAAAGGGGAGAGCAATAGCTCATACTCATCGCTCTACTACATGTGCTAAGGTCATAATTCACTTAACCCTCAAAACAGCCCTGAAGGCAGGTCACGTGATTATCCCTGCTTTACAATGGGGATACTAAGGCCAGAGAGAGAAAGGGGCTTGCCAGCGGTGGCAGAGCTCTCAGTATACCCAATAAAATAGTAATGTGGCAGCACTGTGGAATCCCTGCCGTGTGCCCAGGCCTGTGCTGGTGCTACAGAGATGGACAAGAGTGGTCCCGCTGCGAGGAGCTCACCGTATAGCACTCTTTCTGAGATATGTCCAGAAGCATTTACCTGGGGGGACTCAATTCCATCCCCTTCCACCCGACAAATATTTTCGAGCTCTGCTGTGTGCAGAGAACAATGGCAGAGGAGACAGAGGGTTACAAAGGTGACTAAGGCAGCCTTAATTTATTTTTTGTGCATTCACCAAGTAGTTAGTAAGCACCTACCATGTGCCAGGTGAGCGAGGTAACACTGACCTGTCCCAGCTCTCATGGAGCGCACGTTCTAGCAGGGAAGACGGGTAAACAAGGTGTGAGAAACGCTACATTAGGGGGCTGGAGGCACACGCAATACAGCGAAGGAGCACCCAGCCTAACCTAGGCAATCAAAGAAGGTTTCCAGGTGGCAGTAACTTTGAAGCCAAGGCTGGGAAGCTAATTGGAAGTTAAGCATATGGAGAGGAGGTTCGGGAAGAGAGTTTCACTCAGAGAGAACAGCATGTGCCTAACCCCAGAAGTGCCAGAGATCATGACGGGTTTGAAAAACTGAAAAGCATTCAGTATACCTGCAGCAATGGGGGCAAAGGAGGAAAAGTGGAAAACAGGAAGCTGGGAGCGGGTTCACCCCAGGCACCTGTTTGAGGGCTAGCGACTTAGCCAGAGGGCAAACGAGCTAACAGCTCAGACAATAGCCAGCTGCATTTACAAGGACAGAGGGAAATCAGTTCTATTGGTAACAAAGCCGGCAGAATGAATGCCCTACTGGTGGGAAAGGAAGATCAGGGAGAGCTTCCTGGTGAAGGAGGCATTCAGGCTGTCCCTGGTTGATAGAGTTTCTGCAGAAGAGGAAAGGAGAACAACTAGGAAGAGGCATGGATGCCATAGCGCCTCACCCAGGCCCTTCACGGATCCTCTTGAAAGGCCAGAGAGCCATTTGCAAGACTAGGGCTAATGCAGTAAGCTTCTTCTAGGGTCTGGGGTATGGGCGAAGTGGCCTTCAATGAGCTCCATGTGAAAAGGAGGCACAGCCCTGGTCTTTAAAGAAGCTTCTTCTATCCATTGGTGCTGGCAACCGAAAAACGGAATTCATGTAATTATTCTACAATATGTACTGAGTATTTACTGTGTGCCAGGTGCTGTGATAGGCACTAGAAATTCATTGGAGGGCAATAACAGACATGGTACCACTTTCATGGAGATTAATTCTGGAAGGGAATAGGTCAATTTTTAAAAAGACACAAATAACTGTGAAATTCCCACCATGAGAGTGCCCCCAGACACAGGTAAGTGGTCTTATGAGAAGGCAGGTGAGGACTGCTGTATTCTAAAAGGCATGGACAGGATGCTTTAATGATGTAACAGTTGCGCAGGATCTAAAGGATGAGAAGAAAGTAACAAAACATGGGTGAGAGGGGCAGTGCTTCAGGCAGAGGGGACAGGCCAGGCAAAGCCCTCAGGGAAAGGCCAGTGTGACTGGAATAAAGAATGGGGAGAGGGTTGGGAACAAAATAAGACTATCCTAGGAACAATGGGATGTCACCCTGCCTGTAAGCTGGGCAAGTGCCATGGGGATGCAGAGAACCAGAGAGGACCAGAGAGCCTTGCTCTTTATTCCTTGCACCTCATTTCTGTTTAACAGTAACTCTGCAGCTGGGTGTGGGGGCTCATGCCTGTAATCCCAGCACTTTGGAAGGCTGAGGCGGGTGGATCACCTGAGGTCAGGAGTTCGAGACCAGCCTGGCCAACATGGAGAAACCCTGTCTCTACTAAAAATGCAAAACTTAGCCGGCCATGGTGGGGGGCGCCTGTAATCCCAGCTACTGTGGAGGCTGAGGCAGGAGAATTGCTTGAATCCGGGAGGTGGAGGTTGCAGTGAGCAAAGATTGCACCACTGTATTCCAGCTTGGGTGTCAGAGGAGACTCTGTCTCAAAAAAACAAAAAACAAAAAAAAAACTCCGCAAGGTTCTAACCTCCATCTTAATGAGATGAAACCTGACACTCAGAGAAATAAAGTGACTTGCCCATGTCCACAGCTAGTTAAGTTGAAGAAACCAAGATCCAAACCACAGTCTCCATAACCCATGATCTTTCTACCGGGGATGAGATCAGCCTCCCAGAAGAAGGTCAACCCAGAAGTTAGTAGAAAGTAGGATGTGGATAGCCAGATGGGAGGTGAAGAGACCTTTCCCAGAAGGGCAAGATATCATCAGCAATGTAGGGACGAGACTAAGATGGCATGAGAGAAGCAATACAGAAGCTACCTACATAGAAGAAAAGACTAAAGGAATTAAACAAAGAGATTTCTCTCAGTGGCTTATCTCTGAGGATTGTGACTAACTTTTTCTTTTCTTTTTTGAGACAGAGTTTCGCTCTTGTTGCCCAGGCTGGAGTGCAATGGCGTGATCTTGGCTTACTGCAACCTCCGCCTCCCAGGTTCAAGCGATTGTCCTGCCTCGGCCTCCAGAGTAGCTGGGACTACAGGCATGCTCCACCACGCCCAGCTAATTTTTATATTTTTAGTAGAGGCAAGGTTTCTCCATGTTGGCCAGGCTGGTCTCGAACTCCTGACCTCAGGTGATCCACCCGCCTCGGCCTCCCAAAGTGCTGGGATTACAGGTGTGAGCTACTGCACCCAGCCAACTTTTTTTCTTTTTGCTTGTCTGTGCTTTCTAAATTTTCTACAATGGGTAGATGTTTCTTATGTAAATAGGGGAAATAGTAGCAGTTATATATAAAAGGGATCACATAAGCTTTTTAAGTCCTTGCAGGCAGTGTCTATATTGTATTTATTTTTTCATCCTCCTACCAAGCTCAGCACAATGCCTGGCACATAGGAAGGTGCTCAATAAAAGTAAACTAAACAATGAAGTAGTTGGAGATAAGGGTTAGGAGAGGCAGAATGATAGAAGGCCAAGTCCAGCATTTTGTTTTGAAGCAAAGTTCAAGCCTATGTGTCAAAAATCCATTAGTCTTGAAATAAGCCCTTGGAACTGAATTCACCTGCTGTTTCCTTCATAGCATGTAGTGACCACACTCTGACCATATGCCACCCTCCCAGCCAACAGATTCCTCCACAAATTTTATTTGAGCTCCTTCAATGTGTCCAGCCCTGCAAGGGCTCCATAGGGGAAATAGACCCAAGAGAAGAATAAACCAGCGCCCTTTGCCAGAGCAAATATTTTGGTGCTGAATGATTTGGCGAAACCTGAGAACATTCGCTCAGAGGAGGACTGCCTCTCCTCACCAAATGGCACAACATACTATGATGTTATAATATTAGGTTCTTTATCACGGAAACACTGGCATCTGTTTCGGAGGAAGCTCCCTCCCAGATGGTGCATCCCACTGTTTTTGTCGTCTGGAACAGTATGAGGTTTCTCAAATGCCTTTAAGTTTCCAAATCATCCTCCATACAATGGCAGCCTGTTAATTAAGTGGTCCCTTTGTGATTGCATTTGATAAATATAAGATGAGAAGGGTTTATTGAGATGTGAAGGAAAGCAACAGGGAGGAGCTCCTCAGAGCAGACAGGCCTTTGTGTGGGCGTCATTCAGTGGGCTTCAAGGGAATCGGGCACAGCTTTGGATGAGCAGAAAAGAGTTTGGGATTCGCACAGACAGAGCCAACTCTACCCTGTGGACGCCCAGCCATATGCAAACGGTGTATAAGGGGCTTTGTGACGACCTCGCCTCATCCATCTCTTTCCACCAAGAGCAGGCAAGGAAACAGAAGCCTTCCACTTCTTTCTGGGAGCTGAGTGACTCGTGCCATTCGCAGATGTGCAGTTGTCAGTTACACTGCCAGGAGCTCTTTTGACTCCAACGGACAAGATTTGAGAAGTGGAGGTCCAAAAAAGGTATCTGCTTTGGAAGGAGTGTTCTGTGTTCTTGGAACAGCAGATGACTGGTGACAATATGTAATTAAATATAAACTCTCGGGCCAAGAACTTGACTCGGAGGGTTGGTGGACTTTCCGGTCTGACTTGTGCAATTTGACCTTCTCCAAAGACCAGGCAACTTTCTCCAAAATACAGCACACCAAGGAAGACTAAAGACACGTAGTTTTCAAGGGAATATAGATCTCTGTCAACTCCCCTCCTGCTGCCAGGCAGAAATAAATCAGCATCAGGCTACATACAAGGATCTATGATTACCAGATGGCATCTTTGTCTTTCCTTCTGGTTCAACCTTAATTCAATCGTTTATGCAACAAATCTATATTAGGCATCTAGTAGGAGGAAGGCACATATCTGGGGATGTAGTGGCCTGGCTCATGCGCCCCTGCCCTGGAGGGGCTTACAGTCCAGCAGACACATGGCTCTGTGAGCCACTTGGGGGCACAGGATTTGGCTTTGATCTTTACCCTCCCAGCACCTAGCACAGTGCTTGCTGCATACTGGGTGCTCAATAAATGTTTGTTGAATGACTGCATGAATAAATTCTATTTCCCACCCTCTTCTGCAGTTAATATAACTCTGTATCTTTTATATCTTCCTGCTGTCATTAATGCTTATTTTCTGGCTTTGGTTGCTATAAAGAACAGCTGTTTCTCAACTTCTGTACCCTAACACTTCATACTCTTAGAAATTATTAATAATTCATCTTTTTGCCTTCACTCCTCCAGCTCCCTCTTGTCTTCCCCTGGCATCAGCATCTGCTCTTGGTCACCTGTAATAAGAAAAATAATTTGTTTTGGCATCTAATGGTCTTTTACAGTTTGCAAAGGTTTTCACTTGTATGATTTCAAGGACTTTTGGAAGAGCCACTAACAAGCCCCAGCATCATCCAGGCTGCACCCTGCCAAATATTAACCCAACCCCAAATTAACACCCCCACCCCCTGCAACTTTTACCTTCAACCTTAAAGTCCAACATCAGCAGATTTAAAGATTAATTCTATCATTAAAATAAGATCCAGACAGTCAGGGCATGGTGGCTCACACTTGTAATCTCAGCACTTTGGGAGGCCGAGGTGGGAGGATCACTTGAGGTCAGGAGTTCAAGACCAGCCTGACCAACATGGTGAAACCCCATCTCTACTAAAAGTACAAAAATTAGCTGTGGGTGGTGGCACAGGCCTGTAATCCGAGCTACTTGGAAGGCTGAGTCATGAGGACCGCTTGAACCCAGGATGCGGAGGTTGCAGTGAGTCAAGATTGCATCACTGCACACCAGCCTGGGTGACAGAGCAAGACTCCATCTCAAAAAAAAAAAGAAAGAAAAATAAGATACAGAGAATACCTTCTCTAAAACAGTCATCACATTAACCTTGAAAATGTTTTACTCTATAGTATAAATTATACCAGATCCTATGCTGAAAGTGGGTTATAATAAATAGAAAAGAAAGCTGGGAAACCCACAGGAGAATCCAGGTTTGCTAAACCTGCCCAGCAGCAAATCTTTGACCTTAGTAGAAAAGCTCAACAGTTATATATTTGTATCATTATTATTTCTAGTATTAAAGCTACCACTCCTACTATTACCATTAGTATTGTTTCCACTCTATAAACGCTAGTCCAACAAATGTCCAACAAATTTCAGCTTCTTTCGTGAAATGTAAGCTTGACTGTCAATTATGTTTTCACAGCTATCCACAAACCAAGCAGATCCTTTGGTTTTCATTCATTTTAAGTGTTAACAGATGTTCTCTTAAAATATTCGCAAGCTGTACCAAAGGGAAAGGTTTAGATGGCCAGTAAATTTAAATAGAATTGGGACTAAGAGGAAAGGATTTCTTTGGGGTTATAGGCACATGAGTGTGTGAGTTATAAGCGCAAATAAGTGTTGTGGTCTAAAGGAGCCACTTACTTCCTTGACTGTCTTTTAACAGTTTTTTCTCCTTCCCAGGGATGGGAAATCCTCAGTTCAGCAGCTGATGTCCTAGAATACTTTGTGGAAACTGGTTAAACTCTCTTATGTGTTCACATGATGCGCGAGTAGCATCCTTAACCCTGAGCACTTCCTTCCCATCACAGCCAGGTTGCCCTGGAAGACCCACTTGGGTCTTCACTCCTGAAGCCAGACCCTAGGATGGCTATCTTCATCTCACACCTGCTCCCCCATAGAATAAAGTTGCTAAGAGGCTGCTCCTCTGGTCAGGTGCTCCTGCCTCCTCTCCATGGCCCAGTCTATTCTATTCATGTGGCTCCTGATCTGCTACTTTCTGAATTCTGTGTATTGCTTGACTCTTTGCCCAGTCTGTTTGGGTGTTCTCCCATCCAAATGCTTCTGAGGTACATGCTGCCCCTTTTGTCCGATTTCCCCAGGCCTAGCTTTCTTCCTGATCTCCACAAGCCATCATGATTGTAGCTCCTGCATAACGAATACAGAGAATACAAAGCTCTTGCTTCCCAGACATTCCCTCGGAATGAGAGAGTGTAGAAGTCTGGCTGCAAATTGCCAGAAAGGAAATGGGTCACAACCTGCTGCAAACAAGGCCTTGATCATCCTGGTTATTCCAGTCCATGGCCTGAGCACTTCCTCATGTGATGACAGCTCCATTCAGATCCTCCTTTTGTCTTGATTGGCCCTCCCAGTAAGGAAGAAGACATTGAATGGCAAATGGAAAATCCATAGAGGAGCTGGAATACTCAACTCCTCCCTTCACCCTTGCTTACAGGGAGACATAATTTCCTCCAGAAGCATGGAAGAGAATGTTGTCCAGGCTGGCACAGCAAAATTAAGTGGAATGGTAGAGAGTTCCCATATACCTCCTACCCACACACTGCACAGCCTCCCCCACTACCAGCACTTTCCATGAGAGTGGTATGTTTATTACAAATGTTGAACCTACGTTGACGCATGATTATCACACAAAGTCCATAGTTTACATAAGGGTTCACTCTTGGTGTTGTACCTTCTATCTATAGGGTTGGGAAAATATATAATGACATGTATTCAACATTATAAAGTCATACAGAAGAATAGTTTCACTGTCCTAAAAATCCCCTGTGCTCGATCTACTCACCCCTCCCTCCCCACAAACCCCTGGAAACCACTGATCCTTTTACCGTCTTCATAATATTAGTTTTCCCAGCATATCATATCACTGGAATCACATAGTACATAACCCTTTCCGATTGGCTTCTTTCACTTAGGCATTAAGTTTCCTCCATGTCTTTTCATGGCTTGGATATTGGCACTGAATAATATTTCATAGTCTGGATGTACCATAGTTTATCTGTTCACCTGCTGAAGGACATCTTGGTTGCTTCCCAGTTTTGGCAATTATGAATAAAGTTGCTATAAACATCCATGAGGAATGTGTTTTTAAATTACAGTTTTTCTCAATGATGACATCTTAATGAGCAGGGATTAGTTATGACAAACGTGTAGCTCAGTATGTAGAATACATAGCCAAGACTTCCCAAACACCTGTCCTCAAGTAGTCCATAGATAAATCACTCCAGGAGCTTGTGAAAAACATAGATTTTTGAACACCATTCCCAAAGACTGATTCAGGAGGCCTATGAAATCACCAGGCTTAAGAAACAGGCTTAACCTACAAAAGGAAGAAAGCAATGGAAAGTTAAAATCACTCTGTTCGCACCGGAGAGGATCATGCACAATGAAAAGGTTGGAGACTAACATTGAAAACTTGTTTGATGGAGACATTTTGTTCTTCATTGAGCCTCTTGGGGAAATGACATGGTGGCTTAAAGAATTGTTGATATGTGCTATCCTCTCCCATTAAAAGGAGCTAAAAAAGCCCCGGGCACCAAGATGTGAACTATTTCCTTCAGGGTAGAATGGAGCCACTAAAAATAGCCTTGGAAAATAAGGAGTTGTAGAGGCTCAACAAGAAAAACAAATCAGAAATAAATCTGGTGCTGAGAAAGAAACAGGGAGAAAGACAAGTTCTCGCAGGCAGTTGAGAGAAAGAAGCTATTAGCTTAGGTACATGAAAGCAGGTACATTTTTCCCAACCACAGGGATGCTGGCTGGCATTCCCACAGAGTAAATCAGTCCCTCTAGAAGGAAGGAAGATGAGTCAGAGAATCAGCCAGGATAGGATAGGTTATGCCAGGGTAACAAACAACCCCCCAAATTTCAGTGGCTTAAAAGCACAAAAGTTTATTTCTTCCTCGTGTTAGACATCCAGTGTGGGCTGGTGGGGGCTCTGCTCCTTGTCATCTCTCAGGGACCAGACTGACAGAGGCCTCATTTCCACACATGCTTCTAGGACCCCTGTGGCAGGGGACAGGGGGTGCTGCACATCCAGCACTGACAATTAAATGCTCAGAAATGATGCACGTCACTTCCACCCCCATATCATTGGCCAATGGTTGATGCATGTCACATGGCCTTGCTTGTGTTTAAGTGGAATAAGAAAGTGAAATCACGTCACATGTCCAGAAGGCAGAGAATGAAAATTGGTGCAAACAGCTCCGTGGCTACTATAGTCAGATAAAGGAGCTGAGGGAGGACGCACGGGAGACAGTGGAGGGGAGGCCCCTTTTGAGCCACTAATTTGCAACTTGAGTTTCATCTCTCTCCTTACCCATCAAGAGGAGCAGGCCCATCCAGAGCTCCTGAGGGTTTCTGGATTCACTTTCTGCCTGAAAAGTGAAAGGACAGCATGGTGGTGAACAACCTAGGCAATGGAGTCAGACTGACCTCTGTTTGTATCGGGAAACTACATTTACTCTCTCTGGACCTCGCTTTAGTGGTCTAAGGTGGATGACAATAGTGCCTGTCTCATGGGGTTGTTGTGAGGATTGCTAAGTGAGATCACGCAAGGAAAGAGCTTTAGACCAGAGATGCTCAAACTGGGCTGCAACAGTGAGCCACTTGAGGAGCTTGTTAACATGCATTTCTGATTCAGCAAGTCATAGGTAGGACCTGAGATCCTGCGTTTCTAACAAGCTCCTAGGTAATGCCAATATTGCTGGTGCATGAACCACACTTTAGTAGCAAGGATTTAGAGCAGGCAGTGCCCAGCTATGGTCCATTATATGTATTCTTAAAACTGGATCAAGAGATTCCAACAGTTCTGCTGCCCTCACCCTCAAGGAATGAAAGCTACAACTGCTTGTTGGTAGAGATGCTCATGTCTGTTGCTTCCAGAGATGAATGTTCCAGGGAACCCTCATGGTTAAGGGAGCAGGTGCTGAAGTCAGGAGTGCTGGGTTGTCTCCAAGCCTTGTCACTTCGCAGCCATGTGGCTTGGATGAGAAGCTCTCTGAACTTCCGTACTGACATCTGTAAAATGAGCATAATAATGCAGACCCACTATCCCTCATCTGCAATTCTCTAGTCCAAAGAGCTCTAAAAAAGACAAATTTCTTTATTAAGTTTGATATGCATTGACTTGGGTGCAAAAGTCAACCTGCATTAACCTGAAGCTATTTATTACTTTTATCCTTCTTTTGTGACTATTTCTATGTTTTACCACAGAAAAGTGAATGTGTTTGATAGCAAGATGCTGCTGCAGATTCTGTTGAGGGTGTGAGACTATGTACAGTACCTACTCCATCTTACCTTCCTAAAAACTAAAAGAAATCCTGAATTCTGAAATACATTTGACCTCAGTGGTTTTGGGGGGAAAAATGTACCTAAAGTGTCTCTTTCTCCAGTAGTTGAAAGGAGTGTGGGGAAAAAATGCATGTAAGACACCTATTACCATACTTAGCACATTGTAAGTGCTCAACAAATAGATGTTATTACTGAAATTATTGTTTCTCCCAGTGCTTCTCATAGAAAGAGAGGAAGGGAATGTGGAAGATGGTGCCTTCAGGTGCTGTAGAGATAGGAGGACAGGACCAAGATTGTCCCTATCTGTTTGAAAGCCCCTCAGTTTGTCTTCTACCTTCTCCTTAAAGAAAGAAAAGAAATATGCAAGGAAATGAACACATGCAGTGAGCATGCACACAGGAAGCATGGACAAAAGCAAGACTCAGACAGTGGAAAGAGCTCTTGTCTCTGCCTGCAGAAGCAGCCCAGCAGGAACCCCAGCTTCATAGTCAGCCAAGGACAGCTGGCCTTTTTTGATGTGTCTTTGAATATACTATTGAGGAGTCTCACTCGAGCTAAGGACTCTGAGGGAGGAGATGGGATTTCCATTTCTTACTCTGCCATTCACCTGCTGGGGGAACTCAGGAATGCCTTCATCTCCACAGGGCTCGGTTTTCTGATGTGAAATGGGCCAATAATACAGATCCTGCTGTGACTGCCTTATTGAGGGGGCCGAATAAAAGTGATCACAGATGTGAATGCATTTTGAAAGGGAAAATCTGTGTTTGCAGGTAGAGTATAATTATTAATCTGACTACAAGTAGGAGATCAGTGAGAGGACTGACCTCATGCAGGGAACACTGGTTAGCACGCACTTTAATCACACTTCTGTTGTCAACTCTGATGGCATTGTCATTTGCGTTTGGCTCCCTCACCTTCGCCAGAGCCATTTGTGCTTGTCAGTTAGGCCGGTATGATTGGGTTTTCACAAGATGTGAATTAAGTGAGCTGCTCTGGCCCCACCACCACTGACACACACCCAAATCAAGACTTTGGGATATTGTTTTTTAAGCCAATAAATGACAACGATTAGAAAAAAAATAATGGGGCACAGCTTCAAGGAGTGTCCCAGGAGGTATCCCTGAATATTCATTCAAGGCTTTTGAGAATCTGCGAGTATATCCTGGAGTGCCAGCAAATGGGCAACTGCCCCAAAGTAGAACTGATGGCTGATTCCAGCATTTTTGCAAGGGACTCCCTTCTTCCTTAATGCCCACCCTACCCTGACTCTGAAGGAGCCAGCCACAGAGAGTTGAAAGAAAGTTCAGTACAAGTGAAAAAAGATACCATGTGCTCCCTCCCAACCCACAACAGATCCCTATAGCCTGAGTTGGGGTTGGGGGGACTTTGAATAGGATGGGAGACTGAAGTCTGGTATAACCTTGAAGGACCATTTAGCATCTGAAATTGAGTATAAATGCCAAAAGTAAGACAGAATAGGGATCCCCTTTTTTAAGAGCCTGCAGATCCCAAATCCTGATTTCCTTCAGGGGAAATCCCAGGCACCTAGCTAGTCCAAGAAAGAAATAATTTCTTAAACACAAAAGTAATAGTAGCCTAAAACAATAGCTAAGAAAGTTACAGTCCAAGAGATGTTTCCTTTCCCTATAGAACCTCAAGATAATATCTTCACATGTGTCCTTCAGTTGTCTTTCAGAAACTCAACCCCCACTGAACAGATCCAGTGACATGTAGATCTCAGATAAGGAGAAAATAATGACTAAACTTTAACCAGCATTCTTTATTCTAAGTGTCTTCCTGGGGTGGGGGCTTAGAAAAAGTCACACCCCCTAGCCAGTTAACAGTCTTCCACTGACCTCAAATTTTTAAACAAAGTTTTTCTTCCCTAACCAATTACAAATCATAAAGTCTTTAAATCTACCTATGACTTGTAAGCTCTACTTCAACATATCTCACCCTTTTAGGTCCAATGTGTTACCTTCATGTATTAATTTATGATTCATACTGTGACTTCCGCTTTCCTGTAGTTTACCCCTGCCTTTAAAAATCCTTGCCTACAAGCCATCAGGTAGGTCAGGATTTAAACATTCAACAGTTTGGACCCCCTCGCTTGGTCCCCTACAATAAAAACCTTTTGTTCCATCACTACAAACCTTGGGGTAGATACCTGGTTTTACTAAGCCAGGCAAGCTGACTCGAGTTTGGTTCCTAACAAAAACAGTACTTGTTAAGCTAAACTGATGAGAAATAAAAGTATGAATCTGTCCGATAAGTCATCCAGGGGCTGGAGGGAGTTAGCAGAGTGTTTGGAAGTGCAGCATTTGGAGAGAAAGAGAAATCCATTTCCTGTCTGTGTCCCTGTTGAGTTCAGTCCACTCAATAAACTGTTTCCACATATTAAGGGCTGGACTCTGGGACCGGTATATGGCTCAGCAGTCAGATGACAGCAGTTATTACCATTATTTTTATCTTAACTTTCACTGAAGGTGGATTTAGACCTTTTAAGTTAATCTACAGAAATACAATATACCTAGTAAATGAGAGAGTGGAGAGACTTCTTATCCTGTTTTTAAATTTTTTTACATTCCTGTCTCCACAGGTGAATTTGGAACCATCTTCAGAATCAGGCTGCCGTGCTGTCTGTCAATGTATTGTAATTGAGACCTGCAAGGGCTCTTCTCACACCTGGGAACATCATGGTGACATTGCATCTGCCACCAGCTCCAGCCCCAGGAAGGTAGCATGTGAGGACAGGTGTGGCTAGTTATCATCCCGACGCCTGGTTAAGGCATAATAAAAATCAGATGCTGTTGGCCTCCCATCGGAACAGGGTCCCCAAAATGCTCAGAGCCCTCTTCTCATTGTTTTCATTGTTCCTGCCTCAAAATCTTCTTATCCCAGATCTCTTTTCCTCCAGGTCCTGCTCTCTGCTTTCCTAGCCTGTCTGATAAACCAAGCCTTTTGTTGACATAGCTTCAAAAGGCCAGGGGCCCCAATTCAAATCCTTGTTCTTCCATTTACTACCAGGAAGCCTTAGCCAATTATCTTCCTCTCACCTGACTTCTGCTTCCCACCTGTAAAATGGGAATGGTGACAGCTGCCCTATTGACCAGGTGCCACAGTGTTATTCTAGGGTTCATTTGCAGTTGTAGATGTGGGAGGGCTTAGGAAAACTTTAAAGCGCCATATAAATGATTATCAAGGATCTCAAGAATGTAATGTCTTCATCTCTTTTGCCCAGATAACACTCTACATGTGAATAGGTTGGACCTCAATGCGTTTCAAAGGTAGAATTCTAGAAATATGACAGGGTCAGTGTGAAACACGTTTTTGACAAACCCCAATCTGTCCCAGTAACTGATTAAAGATGCAGTTGGGCTTTGGACTAAAATCCCTATAGACATAGTATTTGATCTAGCCCATTCAGGCTCTGCCCCAAATTTACTGTTAAGAAAAAAAAAAACTATCAAAATAGGAGGTTTCTTTGGAACTTTCTCCCTCTTACGAAAACAGTCCCCAGGCTGGGCACTGTCGGTGCCTCTAAAACAGTCAATATTGTGGCTCAGCCCTGCCCTCCTGTTGAGTAAGGATTGCATCTACCGGATGTCCCTTGCCAGTCTCCTTGATTGCTGGTCTGGTCGGATTCACCTGTGCGGTACCCTGCACTGGCCCAGAATCTTCCAAGAGGAAGCCTTTGTCCTCAGGGCCGACAAGCAGGACAAGGGCTCGCAAGCCAAAAAAAACATTTCCATGGGCCCCCAAGAAATAACATCCAAGTCCAGTTGTGGCTCCAGACTGAATCGAGCAATCAAATCCACATTTGCCCCTGCCCAAAACCTCAGAAATGTTAACATCTTACACGTGTCAAAAGGGTTATTTATGAAACTATTTGCTTGTCAACCCCAGGAGGACATTCTGTACTTTTTCCCTGGAATACTGTATATTTACGAGCCATGGCTCAAAAACTAACTTTGGCAGGAATATTTATCCAAGAAACATTCTATCAACCCCTTGCAAAGCACAGCCTGCGCTCAGTCACTAGCGCGTGGCAGCTGGGCCGGGTCCTGGTACAGAGCTGGTCTATGGCTCACTGTCTCAGGGAATGAATTCCAGATGTGTGCTTCTTCAGGGGTAGGATTGCAATTTCAGATAAGAAGCTTGCTTTTTTTTTTCCTTACTTTTTCATTTTTTTTTTAACTTCCCTTCCCAATCTAGAAGCGTGCTCAAATAATTAGCCTTGATTGTGTGGAGCATGCAGCCTATTTGTCGTCTCCTGCATTAGATATTTGATGTGTTATCACCCTCCTCTCTGACCGCGTAAAGTCCCTCAGTTTGCAGAGCTAAGCTTCTGATGTCCCTGTTTTAGGATCCAGTTGTCTATTGCTAGCATGTGACACATAGAGAATCACTTAGTGGGAGAGCAGAAGGCCTAGTGCCATGTGAATAGGCTCTAGTCTGAGACAGTAAAATACCTGCCAGGAACTGTTGCCATCAGACTTCCCTAGGAACTGGTGTACCTCCAACGTGGCCCTGCCATCAGCTTCATCAGCCAATAGAGTCTTCTGCTGACAGGGGCCCCAAGCCCAGCCATCATCACAGCAGTTTCCTTGCTTTCCCATGAGTTTGGCCAATCAACTTACAATCCATTTTTCTGCTCTCTTCGGGGTTGAAGGGCCCAAGGCAGGAGCAGTCTCTGAGTGTGTGTATGCTGTCCAGTGACAGGTAAAAGGAGACAAGGACATGTATATGGGGACCTAGAGAGACAGAAAGATCAGAGTAGCAGAGAGATCTTGACACTTAGAGACATGACTGTGGGATTGATTCTTATGCAACCTCTGTAACATTTTTCTACAGCTGAGATGCCTATTTATTCTTAAGTCTCCTGAACCTTGATTAAAGACCTATTCCTAAATGTCTTGGTCCACAGCATTTTTAGAGATAAAATAAAATCCCTTTAGCTAATTTTTCTTTACCATGCCATATGGTAGTATACTAAAATATTATTATCATTGTTGCTGTTTATTAAATATTTGGCATTTGGTATACTCTATCTGTGGTTCTTAAAAACTGCAAAGATTTTATCATCCCTAATTTACAGGTTTAAAAATGCCAAGGCAGGGAGAGGTTATGCAGTTTTCCAACAGTCACAAAGATGATTGTAAGGGAGCTGGTATTTGAACCCAGAATTTACTGGTTCTTTCACGTGACAGAAGAGAAAAGAACTAAGAAGTTGAAGGAAGGAAAGGGGGTGAAAGTTGAAGTATAAAATAGAACCATCAACTCTTGAGAGTTTGATATTGTCTTCCCTGAGCTGCCCTTCCAGCCTCAGTCGACCTTCCCGAGTGAGGCACGCCATCTGAAGGTCATGTCCCTGTAAGGAGGCTCCAGTGTGCACATCCAAGAGGGCTGAGGGCGGGAGGTCTCTGTGGGGGAGGCTTCCATGTCCTCCTTAGGCTTTTTGGCAGTGGAGACACCAGCAGATCCAGCAGGGGGTTATTTGGGGCCAAGTCAAGAATCTAAAATTCCTGAAAGCTTCTGGGGCTGGTCACTGGGACTCAAACTCCCCTGAAGACCTCTCCTAACCAAGATCAGGGCACAGAACCAAGTTGTCTCTGTACTCATTCCCCTCCCGCCCAAAGCAGACACCTTCTTGGCAGGGAGCACTGCCTCCTGAAAAAGAAAGGTCCATGGAGCCTCGGGCCACCGTTCAGGGTCAGGAGGCTATGGGAGGTCTCCCCAGGGGTGTAAGGGCAGCCCAGGCTATAAACCCCAGACCTGGGTGTGGGCACAGAGCCAGCAGACTCACCTAAGGAGCAGGGACAACAGGAGAAAGGACTGCTTGAAGAAAGACCTTGGGCAGCCTTAGACCTCTCTGGGGAGTGGGGCGTCATCCAAATACAGTTTGTTTCATGGAGTCACCAGAACTGCATTTCTGAGTCTCCACATCCTTATGAGTTTTAACAGAGATGTAAGATTGTATCATAAAAGCCCCATCCTTAAAGTAAAGCCCACTCTCTTTCTTATCCTTATTCTGCTGATGTGTTAACTTGTCCATGCCTCTGGGCCCCCCTGCCTTTGTCCTCTTCCCTGAACAATGGAAGGAATACTTTATTCCCCTGTATCAGAGGGTAGAACTTGTGGATTTGAGCTCTTCATTCAGAGAGGTCCCTTTACTTCTTGGATGAGTTACTTCATCTTGGTTTCCTCATCCCTTAAAATGGGAATAATGACATAACTACTCCATAAAGATGTTGTGAGAATAAACCACAACATGAATATAAAGAGATTTGGTTCTTGGCACATAAAAAATGCTCAATAACTCTGAGCTGTTTTTTAAAAATTAATTTAACTTCCTGGAGAAAAAAATAAAACCATGGTAATGGCAACATGCTTGGACACTGTTAACTAAAGTGAGGGATTATTAATCTCTATATACAGATAGGTAAATTAAGTTCAGAAATGTTATCAGATTTGGCTAAGTTGAATAACCAGACACTGTGGTTTGGGAAGTGATCTCCCATCTGAGATGATAAGAAAACTGCTCCCAGGTTGACCTTATTACAGGAAAGTCTGTTTGCTGGGGAGGAAGGCGGGCAGGTGGAAGGGCTCAAGAAATGGAGTGATGCACTAGATTAGGGCCAATGACAGTGTTGGTGCCATTAGACCTTGAAGGAGGATGAGGCCTCCAAAATGTGTCTTTGCCAGGCACCCAATGGCCCACACTTGCTCAAGCCGCCACCTGAAAAAAGAGTGACTGCTACAAGTTGGAAGGATGAGTTTTCCAGATTTGAACTGCATCCTAGCCAATGTGGGCTAGTGGGAAGAGCAAATATATGGAAGGTAAAGAATCCTAAGTTCTTAGTCGCTACCTTGCTGACTTTGGACAACTTACTTTGGAAACCTCTGTGAGCCTTGGTTTCCCCAGGCTCTAAGATGTGGAAAACAAATGTCCATATTTCAGGTTTGTTATAAGGATTACAAGATATAAGTACTAAGCACTTAATAAGTTAAGCACCTACCTTACTTTTTTTTAATGAGAAAATTTTTTTTATTTTTCCATAAGTTATTGGGGTAGAGGTGGTATTTGGTTACATGAGTAAGTTATTTAGTTGTGATTTGTGAGATTTTGGTGTATCCATCGCCCAAGCAGTATACACTGCACCATATTTGTAGTCTGCTATCCCTCGCCCCCCTCCCACTCTTCCCCACAAGTCCCCAAAGTCCATTGCATTATTCTTATGCCTTTATGTCCTCTTATCTTAGCTCCCACATAGAAGTGAGAACATACAATATTTGGTTTTCCATTCCTGAGTTACTTCACTTAGAATAACAGTCTCCAGTCTTATCTAGGTCACTGCAAATGCTGTTAATTCATTCCTTTTTAAGGTTGCATAGTATTCCATTGTATACATGTCACCTATGTTACTTCTTCTTGCTCACTTTAGTTAAATGGGTATTGGACAAATTCTCTAAAATAGGAGAGCCCTCCACCTTTATTAACACCCTGATGGCTGAGCACTAAATAGAGACACAGGAGCCACATCTAGTCAAGAGAGCAGTGTGAACTGGGGCGGAAGCCCTGCCCTTTCAACATTAGAAATGTCAGACTGATATTATTTTTAATTTTTAAGAAAATTTGTTGGCCTTATTGAAAAATCAAGAGAGAACATTCAGGTGCCAGAAACGAAAAAAGAAGACAAAACTTTTTGGATGTGGCACATCTCAGAGGGGAGGCAAATCCCAGCCTTGGGTCTGCCTCCGTCACCGTGGAGGCCCATGCCTGCCCAGAACGATGACCATGCAACTACGCAGAACCTTCAATCAAGAAATAGTCATTATGGCTGTAGTGCTACTCTTACAGATACAAGAAAGAGGATTCGTACGCTGTAGAAAGATTAAGTCTTAAGTATCCGGAAAATTCCATTACCCCGAATCCCACACTCTGCTGCTTTCTTTTACTCCAGGTTTTACCGTGTATATCAGGAAAGGATTTTACTGACTTTTCCCTTTATCCATAATCGTGCAGGGTGTTCAGCCATTTTTCTTTTCTACATTGTTCTGCTTCTTTGAAGGGGGATGGGAGACCCTCTCCAGGCATGAATGAAATAATCCAACTATGATTTCAAGGGACCAGGAGCTTCTTTCTGAAGCACCACTAAATTCGGGGGTAAAAGTGGACACTAGGTTTGTTGGTGTGGAAAGCATAAGTGAGAGTTAGAGAAGGAAGGAGGAAGGGGATTGGATGACAGTTTGGTGTGTAAAGAGGGTTGTTTAAAAGAAACAAGGGCCCAGGTCAGAGGAGCAGAGGAGGATGCAGAAAAGGGCTCCATTTAAGCCATGCTGGATTAACCATCCCTTATAGGAACTGAGGACAGAATGGTGTGTGCTGAACCCAGAAAGGAAGAAAATTAGAGTTAGCAAAAGCTCTGCACCTGCCAGGAAGTATATGATAATCAGGGCCATAGGATTTAAGATACTAAAGAGCAACCCACTCCTTGAAACATATTCCTACAAAGAAGACTGCAAAAGCTTTCTAACAGGAATGTCGTTTTGAGATTTGTGAAAATGCCCTCACCTTAAATCTCCAGCTGACAAAGAAATTTCCAAGTCACTGATGTTGAGTGCAATAATAAAAATGAAATAAAATACATCTTTGAATCCTGGCCTTACCTCTTACTAACAGCATGGCCCAAGCACATCACTTCTTATTTCTGAATCTGAATGTTTTCACCTATAAAATAGTACCCACTTCATTAGGAACATAGTGGGAATTAAATGAAAGAATGTATTGCAGTATTTATTAAGTACAGAGGTGGTTCATCCATCATAAGCCCTAGATACACGGCTGCGGTTGTGATTAGGATTATTAAGGCAGGGGCAGGGCTGTTTACCCAAGATGCTAATCAGCTTTTCTGTGGCCTTAGCAGGCTTTCCTCTGCAAATCTGAGCTTGTAAATATAGTGATCAAGTGTATATGAGCTCTGGCTGTAGAGTCTAAGATTAGCTACAGACAGCTTGAGATGGAACCCCAGATCTGCTATCTACCAAGGAGTGAGTTGGGACATATTATGTAATGTCACTGAGCCTCATTTTTTCAATCTATGAAATGGGATGATGACAGTACTTACCTTATAGCAAACACAAAACATTGTGATTATTGATTTTAAGAAGGCAATTCTGAGACTGTGGGTGTATTCTCCCTAGGTCAGACCCAAGGGGTTACCCCTTTCCTGCTGTCCTTTGTACCTTTCCTCCCTTCCTGTTATGTTTATGGTTCCTTTCCCCCTATTGGAAAGTAGCACAATGAGGGTTCCACACCCATGAAAGTCACATTTATATTAGGGACCCCATGCTGGCAACTTTCAGGTTCTAATATTGAAACTGCACTGCCATGGTTGCTGCCTCAGAATCATCACAAAATTCCTCATTGTCACAGGGGGCTGCCCAAATATCGGCAGCTAAAATCATAATTAATGTTATTAGGGGCAACAACAAGAAGGCGGGGCCGGGGCGGGGGCTGCACAATTACCCAATGGTAAAATCAACCTCCAGTAAACAATCCTTGCTAATTGTCCAGAAAAGAAAAGCTTCCATCTCCCCTCCCACTTCCCATTCCTTCTGAAATCCCTTTCAGAAAAACAGAGACATAAGTATAGATTAGAGCTCAAATAAATGGCAAGTGAGTCAAAATATTTAAAAGGAAAGAATCTCTGATTCATATGCCACTGATTGCAGCTTCTAATTGCTCCTTTCACGCTGAATGGGCTTCCCAGGTAAGACTGGGAAATCGAGCGGGCCCCAGTGCAGCAGCCAGGTGTGGGGTTCTCCCTCACATGACTGTGCTGTGCCAGCACTGACACTCAACAATGGAGTACCAGAGGCCAAGAAGGAGCTGTGAGCATGTCCCAGGAGATCTTTGGGGCACTAGAATACTGAAGCCAGGGAACAGGGAAGTTGGGCTGCATCGTAGTTTGGAACCTAGATTGTAAGGGAGAATAGACCTGATATTAATCCACTGCTTCCTGTGTGGTCTTAGACAAATGACTGAATCCTCTCTAAGGCCCAGTCTCCCCATCTATGAAATTTTGTAGGACTAATGACAGAATTAAATTAAAGTGTGGATATACACCTCACAGCACAGGGCCTGGCACCCATTAGAGGCTCTACAATTTAGCCATTCAACATGTGTTTAGCCAAAAAGAATGACTTGATACTTGTAATGGAAATCTCAGGACCAGAGGGAGCAGGCATTTGCCCAAGGTTACTCATTCAGTTATTAGAACTCAGGGGTCCCAACTCCCAGGCCAGTATTATTTCCCTGGCTGGTACAATTTAATCACTCTTCCAACTCTAGGCCCAGCCCACCCCTGGAGCATCATGCTCCTTTAGAGCTGGATGATCTCAGGGACACCCTGAGACCGCAGGTGCCCCCACAGGCTTCCCTAATGGATTCTCCCTTCTAAACTGAAGTTCTCCATTCTCTCTAGGTTAGGCAACAGAGCAGAAAGGGATCAACAATTCCTGAATTCTCTTATGTACCAAATACTGTCCTTGGCATGTTAAATATATTCATCTCCTTGTTTATTCTTCCTAACTTCCCTGTGAAGTATTTTTGTTCCCAATCTGCAGGTGAAAAAAACTGAGGGTATTCAGGATTGCATTGTATCTTCTGAAGCCCATCTGTTGAAGTCTTAACCCCCCAGAACCACAGAATGTGACCTGAGTTGTAAATAGGATCATTGCAGGCATGATTGGGTTAAGTAATATGAGGTAATGAGGGTAGGCCCTAATCCATTATAACTGGTGTCATTATAAAAAGAGGAAATTTGGACACAGAGGGGTGCCCAAGGGAGAATGCCATGTGAAGATGAAGACAGACATTGGGGGTGATGTGACTACAAGCCTAGGAACATCAGGATTGCCAGCAAATCACTAGAAGCTAGGGAGAGGCCTGGAACAGATTCTTCAACACAGACCTCAGAGGGAGCCAACTCTGCCAGCAGGTTGATCCAGCCTCTAGAACTGGGAAATAATAAAGTTCTGTGGTTTAAGCCACCAGTATGTGGTACTTCGTTATGGCAGCCCTAGCAAACTAATGCAATAACTGTGGACACACACACAGCCACTCAGTTATTCAAGCCAGAAACCTGGGAGTTATTATTGATTCCTTGCTCTCTTATTCCTCAATCTAATCCATGGCCAAATCCTACTGATGCTTTTCCTTCTTGGTATGTCTCAAATACATCACCTCTTTCCATCTCCATCGCCACCATCATGGTCCGCATGGTCCGAGCCCCCATCATCTCTCAGCTAGGTCAGCACAAACATGTTGAATCAGGCTTCCCTGACTCTTGGCCTAGCCCAGCGTGGATCCATTCTCTTACAAAAGCCAGGGTAATCTTCATCAAATAAATCAGATCGCATTACTCCCCCTGCTTAAAAACCTTCCAAAGGCTCCCCTGTCCTCTTGGGATGAAACCGAAACTCTTTGCCAAGGCTAGCAATCCTAGTCTCTATGCCAACCCTACCTCATTTTATCACTGACTTATGTGCTTCATCCACACTCACTTACTTTTGGTTATTCAGGCTGGATGGATCAAACTCCTGGCTACCTCATGATCTTTACACATGCTGGTTCTTATGCTTGGGATGCTTCTCCATCCACCTTCCACCCATATTTTCCCTCAGCTAACTCCAATGTAGCCTTCAGCTCTCAACCTCAATGATTCCTCGAAGAGGCCTTTCCTGGCCACAACCACACTCTAAGTGATTTCTACCTTGTTATTCTCTGACTGGGCACCATGTTCTTTTTTCTTCAAAGACCTGATGATAGTTTGATATCAAAAAATTATTTAATATAAAGACTTCTGTCATGAGTGGCACAAGGTCAGACATAACCAGGTCCATACATATTTGTGTCTTTCCACAAGGTCAGTTTGTTTTGTTTTGTTTTGTTTTTGGGTTTTTTTGGAGATGGAATCTCACTCTATCATCCAGGCTGGAGTGCAGTCATGCGATCTCGGCTCACCAAAACCTCCGCCTCCCGGGTTCAAGTGATTCTCCTGCCTCAGCCTCCCAAGTAGCTGGGATTACAGGCACCGTCATTATGCCTGGCTAATTTTTGCATTTTTGTAGAGACGAGGTTGTACCACGTTGGCCAGGCTGGTCTTGATCTCCTGGCCTCAAGTGATACACCTGCCTCGGCCTCCCAAAGTGGTAGAATTACAGGCATGAGCCACCGCACCCAGCCAAGGTCAGACTTTTATTGATCTCAATCATAAAAACCACGAGCTACATGGACTTCCCAAGGAGGCAATTCTCCTTAACACTATCACTTCACTCAGTATTAGAGCTGTGGGTACACAGACTCAAACCATTCCACAGGTCAATCAATATTGCAAACCATACGTAGTAGTATAATTAATCAATATATAAATGTTAGAAATTAATATTTCACACCAAACAGAGGGATATTTAACATGAAGGGAAAACAGGAATAGGAAAAAAAAAGGGGGGGGTTTACGAAGCAGTCCAAGGAGAGTGACATGGACAAGGAGAGTGTCCTGGTCTGATCCTGACAGTCGTCAGTGTATTGCAAGGAAGAGTCCTTGATTTGGCCAGAGACTTCTGCAGCAAATTCCAGGTGCCAATCATGAGTGACAGCCAAATGGGGTCTGTCAAGACAACCATCTTGAGCTGATGAAGTCCTGCTAATTTTAAGGCCCTTGAGTCCTCTGGTGAGAACTCATAATAAAGGGTTATGCCCTTAACTGGTTGGATGTTGTCTCTATTGATTAAGTGAACATCTTGTCCCTGTTGACATAATGCCCTTTGAAATGTAAAAATCAAGTCTTTTTCTAAGATGGCATCACTTATGTCAAGGGTGCCCTATACAACTTCCCAAGGAGACGTTATGAGAAGGAGGACCTCATGTGTGGTTCACCATTGTATCCCCGGTGCTGAGTACAAAGTGCTTAGAATATTGCTGGCATACAATAAATATTTGTTGAATGAATTCATGAAAGTCAGTGCTGGTATTCAAGCTAGGTTTCATATGTCTGAGGTTCTTCTACCATAGCATACAGGAATCACCTCTTGAAGGTCATGATTTAAATTAAACCATTCCATAACTTTTGTTTCTGACTAGGATGAAGTAGCTTAATTCAGACCATCATCCCGCTGAAAACAAGTATAAATGTTGGATTAAAGTAAAATACCTAAAAAGAGTTTGTTTAACAGCATCAGAGAACAATCAAGGCAGCCAGGACTTGAGGACACAAGATCTCAGAGAAAAGGGATTCAGAGAGAAGAGAGCCTGGCATTTTGCTCCACTTTCTACCTTAAGGCATTTGCTGAATCTTAAACTGGGTGAGAATGAGAGGCCAAGAAATCAAGTGGAGGGCATCTGCATAGGGGCTTAAAAAAAAAACCCTCACAGAGCAGGAGAGACAAAATTTGGAGGGAGTTCACAGATGCTAAGAAGGAGGGGCCCTGGAAAACATGCCAAACTTCCAGTTAAGACCAAGAATAAAGAGAAACTGGAAATAGACCAGTCCTCACTAACTCCCAGCTTAGAACCATATCAGTCACTTGTTGGGTAAGCTTTATCTGTCCCCACTGTAACTACTGGCCAGAATAAAATAAAGTCTTCTTGGGAGAAGGATGACATAATCTAGAACATGTACAATTTTTTGTACACGACGTCCAGCATTTTCCTCATTGAGACCCTAAAAAGTCTATCATCTTCAAAGAAGACCTAATGTGAATTCCATGTAAGTCTGAATCTGATTGGACAGGCCCAGGCAGATCTCATGGGTGGAGGACAGAATAAGGAGGAGAATCCTGGGTGACCAGACAAAGCTGACAATTTTAAGTTGTTAACTGAGAGCTCAACTGACTCAAATTTCACCTGGAAAATGGAAAGCTGCCTACTGTGCAGTCAGCATGCAGACATAAGGAAGTCCTACACAGAAAGCAAGCAAAGCATATGTCAGTGAAGGTCCTACTTCCCTTTTGATCAGCTATAAAATAGGCTTCAATTATTAGAATAATATAATGCCCCAGCTGGCAGGACCTTTGAAATTTGTCTAAGCCCAACCTTTAAACTCTTTGCTTTTATGAACTTGGAGGCCCCAAGATGGGAAATGGCTCTTCTATGACCATTTGAAAAACTGTTGGTTCTTGACCCCAAATAACTGGGCTCCCTGTGCAGCCAGAGTCCCTGCTTCACTGCCTTGCTAAAGCTCCAGGCTCAGACAACTCTAGCCCGCAACCCGTCAACACTGCAAACAACTTCAACAGAACTATAAATGTCATGTTAGACGTCAGATGATAAATGTGATTCCTCCTCAGCAAAGGGAGCCCGAATGGGAGAATACAATGGGATTCCCAAGGAATTAAATTCTGCATCTTCCCAAGGACATCACAACAATTTCTCATTTATAGTGTTGTCCTAATAAATACAGAGGAAGTCATAATTCACTGCTATTATTTAAAATAGTCATCAAGTCCTGGATTTTATAACTCCACATTGGGCAGGATGTTTTTTTATCAAGTAGCAGCTGGGCTTTTACAAAACCCAAAGTTGGTGCCTCTATCTATGTTGTTACCTGGAAAACAGTGACAGAGCTTCAGCATCTGGGGAAAGGGCTGCCAATGGGGTGACAGGAGGGTCAGGTTCTAGTCCTGGCTTTGGCACTCTCTGGTCTAGGGGCTTTGGGCAAAAAAGCCCCAAATTCTTAACCTCAAAATAATGACAATACTTGCTGAGCTCTGTGTTAAGAGCTCACAAATATCCTCCTGTGTGAGAATGGGGACTGAGGAAATGGAGGCTCAGGGGCTTTTGTCTTGCTTAGGGCCATGGAACTGATATGACAGCTGGAATTCCATCTCAATTACAGGGCATTTGGCCTAGAACCCAAATCTTTTTTGTTTTGTTGTGATGCATTTGTTTTTATTTGTTGTTACCAATGTCCTGTTGCCATAGCTTCCTCATCAGCATGCAAACCTAGTGTCAGCTGAAGCCTCCCATCCCTCAGATATCTAAATAACCTTGATTCAGACATCATCTCATCCGCTGCCTGTGGCAGACCATAATTTCTCTAAACTTCAAGGATGTGACTTATCCTGGGCGTCTTTGACGTCAGATCTGAAAGTACAGAACTGTCCCTATCCATTCCACAGCAGCATTCCCAGATAAGAAACTCAGGCCTATGCATCTGAAAAAGAAAAAGGAAAAGTGCAACAGGGAGTCCATGGGTTTAGTGACTTTAAAAACAATTTGAGAGTTCATGGGAGGAATCGCAGCACACAGTTCAGCCTCACCCTCACCCCACCCCATCTGCCTGGCTCTCTCAACTCTTCTCCCTTCTCCCTCCTTCTCCCAAGACCCCAAAAACGTCTTCAGAGCAGCAGCATTGGCCCTTTTTCAGAGGCCCTGAGGTTAGCCAACATTCATGAAGTACAAGGACTCACCTGCCCAAGCAGGCTTTTCCAAACAAACATTATCTCAACACACAGCACTCTCTCTAAATGGTAGTCTCAGGCATTGGCTAAGAAAACAAAATTTTTCCATACCTTACATCCAAAATATAGAGGTTAAAAGGATCAAAGATACCCAACCTGGGTTTTATGAACCCATAAGATCATGAACTATTGTCAGTATTTCCAAAAGTGAGATCAATTCTGCACATTCATTTTCAGTGAAGGTATATACAATGTTAGATTTCTGTTTGGGGTTTAAAATTATATCAGTTCTGTGTAGTATCTGTGGTTTTCTCATGCTGATCAAAAACTCTGATAGACACCTATTTATGTTCCTGGTTCAATAAAAGAGCTCACATAAATCCCTCATTATTTAACATTTGTTCATTCACTCATTCAGTAAACATTTATTGATCAATTACTCTATGCCAGGCTTGTGTATACTGTGGTAAATATGATAAAGTTTCTACCTTCAAGGTGGTGACAAACAGTAAATAGATGAATATATTTGCATGGTAGTATTAGATGATGATGTGGGAATTCAGAATTTGGGGATATATGTCTGAGTAAGTCTCCCATTTAAGCCCAATCTGAAGATTTCAAATCAGTTTCACAAGTTTTTCTGTGATGGTTTTAACCCAAAACACATTCTAACTGAGGACATGAACCCAGATGAGATTTGGTGTCTGGTCTTCATTGGATTGTGAACCTAAAAATATTTCTTTTGGGGACACGTGACACTATTGCAGCAAATGCTACTGGCTGCACAGTGAGAGCCCTAGTTCAGTACCTGATGTGCATACAGTGCTCTTGGTTCTTAATTTAGACCTGGGCGCCAAAGCCTTTTCCACTGAAAGGGAATAGGGCAGTGAAAGATGGCTAAGAAAGAGCAAAGTGCCTGAAAGTTCCTCGTTTGCTCTTTGATGTGCACAGACTCGTAATTAACCAGGCGGCCCCTTCCCACCGCTTTCATCACTCTCACTCAGAATGAGTCTTTTCGGGGCACAATCAAGTGCTTTCACAGCTTTAACGTCACAGCTTTTCAGTAAATGTAGCTTGTCCATTTCCATTCCATTCAGAATATGATGGGAAAAGATTACTCTTTGCCAAGTGAATAAGAAATGGGGGGTGGGGGGTAGAGGGGAAGGCAGAAAACCAAAGAGAATCTATATTCCAAAGGCGACAAGTAACTCTGGAGATGTTTAAATATATAGGACAATGAGCAGCCTTTCAAGATTCCATAGGCTCACTGAAGGTAGCGTTAGAGAAAGTCTTAGAGACAATGCAAGTCTAATTCTGTGCATGGATATGAGGAGAAACAGTTCCAAAACGGAAGAGCGGTCTTTCCGCACACAGTCATGTGGATGATGGCAGAACAAGGACTAGAACTCTGACTATCTGAACAGCACCCTTTCCATCACACCAGACCACTTCCATATTCCCTTTCTTCACTTATCCTCTTCCATGTTGTTTTTATTAATTTGTCGTGCACGTGGGGTCCTCCCTTTTGTACTTACGCAAATGCTCCCTCACTTTCAAAGACCAGTCTCTAGTCTATGTGCTTTTGAAGAAGTTATCCCAGTTACTCTAGGCATAATTTCTGCTTTGTTCACCCAAATCACCACATTTGTAATCTGAGTCATGCACTTGTTTGTGTTGTATCTTGCAAGTGACAATTTACAATTTAAATTGTCTTAAGCAATAAGAAAAAGGAATTTTTTGTTAGTTGCAAAACTGAAAAGTCCAGGAGTAGATTTCACTTCAGGCATGACTGGATCCTGGAGCTAGGATGACAGCCTCACTATTTTTTCCACCTCTCTGTTTCTTAGGCAGGGTCTCCACCTTGGGATGGCAAGATGGCTTCAGGAAGCTCCACGTAGCATTTTGTCATCTTAACAGCCCCAGCTGGAAGCAGATTCTCTCTTTCCCAGCAGTTCCACAGAATTCCCACATAGGAAGAGTCTCATTGGCTCAGACTGGCTCATGTGTCTGTTAGCCCACTGTGTTCACCTCCTCCTGGACCCGGGAGATAACTGTCATCATCCAATGGTTAAAGTGCCAGTATAAGGACACTTGGTTTTTATTGTATGATTTGTGGATAATGTAGCATGATGGTGTTAATGGCAAACTAAGACACTGAGAAGACTTGCTAAAGTCAGTTTTTGCAACCATAATGCTGAAGTTTTATAGTATGATGTCTCACAGGGAGCTTCCTGAAAGCTGATAGCAGCTTTTGCCTGACAGGGACGATGTCATTACCGCCAACCCAAGAGCATCTTCCAAGAGGAATTGGAGCCCCTCAAAAAATTAAAGTCTCTGAACATCCCATAGCCACTTGTCTCCTGCTATAGTCTGCCGATAATATATCCTTTGAGCTTATCAGAGTAATTTGTAACTTTCATAAGAGCGAAGTTCAGAAAACGCATTTTTGACACGTTTCTGATGACACCGTCCTCATCTGTGAACCAATCACTACTGTAGCCACAGATATGGGATGTTCCGGTTGCTCAGGGCTGGGTCACATGACTACCTGGGCTATTGCACATGGCCACAAGGCAGAGACGATTATAGTGTTGGGTTCTTTTAATACTACATATCTTCTGGAAAACACTGAAGAGCACTTAACAGCATGGAGTGTGGGAGTGGTGATTCCACCAAGGAAATCCACGGTCTGTTGCCAGAAGAAGAGGAAATGGATGTTGAGCAGGGGGAAAAAAATGAAAATCTATAGTAAGCATTGTTCTCCCTTTATTTCATATGTATAAACCTTGCTTTTCCCAAATCAAGTATAAGCTCATTCGTGAAAACAGAACTCAGTGTATAAATAATAATCAACATATTCTTACTGATTAGTCAAAAGCAAATATTTATTGGGCATCCACAGAGAACAAGATGCTATGATGCTTAGAGAAATCTTAAAGATCCAGATTTGAGACTTTAGTTTAAGTGCAACAAACAAATCCTGAATCCCCACTGTATGCCAAACACAGTGCTAGTGCTAAGGATGCAAAGTTGAATACGATACAAAGTTGCCCTTAAAAATCCTCACTTAGCAGAGTAAAAACAGTAATACCAACATTTATGGAGGGTCTACTATGTGCCTATATTCCATATACATTAATCTTAAGTCTTAGTACAACCCACTCAAAGTATGATATATTATTTTACTATGATTTTACTGAATCCCAAAGAATGACACTTCAAACCTGATAGTCAAACTTAGAGGTCAAACAAAATGTTAAGAATGCCCAGCTAATTAGTAGAGTGGAGAAATCTGGTTATGAGGTGGCTCAGAATTCGTTCTTATAATCTAGATATGTAGATATTTAAATAGCTTTTAAAAAAATCCATTGCACAAGTACTTTTAGCAGTCTTTCTTTTCTGAAGAATTCTGAAAAGCCCTTAAGACTTCATTGCTTGTCTCTGTAAACACATTCACACACCCTTCTTTAATTTTACTTTTCAATGAATTGCATCCTCAACCTTTTTCTGTATGAATGTCAAAGCTATTCAACCTATTAGAGGATCTCAGTGCCAGATAAATACAATGTATTATAATTACTATTTTGGTCATAAGTCTTTTTTTTTCTTTAATGGAGCACACTCTTTGTGGCCACTGAACCCTACTTCTGGTTGATTAGGCTCTTAGTATTTAATAAGCTTCAACAGGAAATGAGTAGAATTAGTACAGTGTCTTGAATAATGAGCTGTTAATGTATTTTTAATGACCAAGATGTTCCAACAAGAAACTTGTTGATTTTTGTCACAAAACATTATTGGAAAAATGATCTGCACGTAGCCTGGATGGTGTTTTATGTGAAGTGAGATGATGTTTTACTACATTCAGAGTACTCTTTTACAAGCCAACTTGATTTAGGGAAGTTGCTACAGGAAGAGGAAAGAGCTTAGCAATTAGAACTGAGTATAAACTGTAACTTTTTTTAGGATTTCAGTCACAGAAAAAAATGTATTTCTTTTTTTTTTTTTTTTTAGACAGAGTCTTGCTCTATTGTCCTGGCTGGAGTGCAATGATGTGATCTCTGCTCACTGCAACCTCTGCCTCCTGGGTTCAAGCAATTCTCCTGCCTCAGCATCCCGAGTAGCTAGGATTACAGACACCCAGCACCGCGCATGGCTAACTTTTTATTTTTAGTAGAGACGGGGTTTCACCATGTTGACCAGACTGATCTCAAACTCCTGACCTCGTGATTCGCCCGCCTCGGCCTCCCAAAGTGCTGGGATTCCAGGCATGAGCCCCCGCTCCCAGCCAAAAACATATTTCTTATAGAGGATCTCACTTTGTCTCTTTTGTTCCTTGCTTGATAGTAGTTATTAACCCATTTTACAGATAGACAAAGTGGAAAAGCTTGTTCTGCTTTTTTTTCTGTAAAATAGAAGGATCATTTCTATCTGGGTCTGACTTTTTTAGTGGAAGAGATTATATAAACTTTCTGGGTCTCAGTTTCTTTATCTGTTAAATTAAGATAATAAAGTGCATGTGTCAGAAGAAATTGTAAAAACTAAATGAGATAATTCATGGAAAACACCACTAGATCTTTCTCTTCTGTGTTCCTTAGGACAAGTTAATTAATATCTTCTTAAGATATTACTCCTTTGGGAAAATTTTGCATTTCAGTAGCCTTTATACTCTAATTGCATTATGAGCTCCCTAAGGTCATTGTGAGCTCCCTAACTGTACTTTAGACATTTTTCTTTTTATTCCTTGCATTTAGCACAATACTGGGCTCAGAGCCGGTGATCGATAAACACCTGTCAAAAGATTGCCTCCAAGGTGTCTTCCAGGACTTACGTGCTGTAATTACTTCCAACAGACTTCTCCTCAAGGAGATATAGAATGTAAATTTGTACCTAGAGTCGTCTGTTCCTTTTGTAGAATCATGGCCCAAGAATCCCAGGTTTCAAGTTAAGAAGCACGAAATTGGTTCATTCAGTGATCATTCACTATGACATCAAAACCCTGCAATTCCAGGATAGTAATTAATTTAATTGAAATGAATCTATGGCTAGACACTGTCTCTCCAGCAAAAATGTAGCTGCAAATGCTTCCTGGGGGCAAATTTGAAGAGTAACATGAAGTAGAGTTGACCTAAGAAGAAAATAAAGAAAAAAGCTAAATATCCAGGATAGTTCCATGATTTTAGATGGTGATTTTTGGTATTTAAGTGGATTAGGATATAAGGTAGGGAGGAGTAAAGAAATGAGGGAATATTTGCCACTAATATACCATTGATGATGATAATGATGATAGTTACCATTTTATGAGCAGTTACTACATGAAAGTGCCATGTCACGCAACTTATATCCATTGTTTCATTTCCTCTTCATAGCTACACTAAGAGGTAAATGCTACTACTGTTTCCATTTTATAAATGAAAAAAAAATGAGGCTCAGAGAAGTTAATTCCTTTCACAATGTCATATAGTCAATATGTAGTAGAGGCAGAATTTGAACCCAGTTTTGATTATTTTAAAATAGCATATTTAGCCAATTCTGTAGCTGAATCCTAAACTTCTCTCTTCTTCTAATGCAAACAATAAATTAAATAGTAATTTAAGTTTTATAACTACTACTACATGTTAAAAAGAAAAACCCCATGTTGGATAAGCAGATTTATTTAACAATGTAATAATAATTTCCAGGGCCTTATCAAGGGTTAGCTATGAATTGGAAATTTTAAACAGTGATATTGTGGGTTTTATCTCTTATCTACAACTCTGCAAAGAAGATATAATAGACCATTTTACACATGAGAAAACTAAGCTCATGCAACTAAAACAACTTCCCTTATTCCCAGAGGTGACAAATGGCAGAGGACAGATCTTGAATACAGGCCCTGATTTTTCCTTTGATCTCTGCTGAGGTAGTATTATACCAGGAACATATTCTGCTATATGGAAAATGTGGTTGGAGATAAGCTATGGAAAAGACATTATAATTCAGCCTACTTTTTAAGTTCTGAGTCTCAAGAGGGTTGTTTTGTTTGTTTTGCTTTTTCTCTTAATGAAATTATTCAAAGGCATCTCTCAAATGTTTGGGATTTGAGTAAGAAATGCCAAAACATGCTTCTTCTCTTAAGAATGTTCTTCTCTGTCTGTTAAAATCTCTATGTAATTTCAGGCAAAATTTAATTCATCTGTTTCTGATTCACTTCCCAAACTTACCACCATGTTTCGTAGAGGCCATTTAAAGTCTATGACTTTCGGAGTTGCTCTGAGCTACTTGTCTTTAAAATAGGAAGTTAGATTTTTTCATAAGGGCAGAGGACTTGGCCTCAGAGGAAAGGGGATGTGTTCCAAGTCCCAAGCCACAAAGTGCATGTGGTTTCCAAACCTGGCTGGTGTCTGCTTCTCCACCCCTCTACTGCAAGCCTCAGCACAGTGACTTCACTCAACAGCCAGAATCAGAATTTATCTCCCTTTTCTGTTCAAAATTCATTATAATATTTGAATCTAATTTTAAGAGCAATCAGAGACGAAAAAGAAATGAAGGACATCCAAATCAGAAAGGAAGAAATAAAATCCTTGTTTAAAGATGACATGATTCTATACGTAGAAAGCTTTAAAGACTCCACACCAAAAAAAAAAAAAAAAAACTGTTAGAACTAATAAATGAATTCAGTAAAACAGCAGGATACAAAGATCACTGTACAAAAATTAGTAGCATTTCCTTACATCAACAACTACTTATCCAAAAAAGAAAATCAAGAAAATGATCCCATTTACAATAGCATTAAAAAGAATAATTATAAAGCTATGATAATCAAAACTGTATGGTACTGAAATAAAGATAGACACATAGACCAATGAAAGAGAAATAAACCCAAATATACAAGGTCAACTAATTTTCAACAAGGGCACTAAGAATACACAAAGGGGAAAGGATAGCCTCTTTAATTAATGATGTTGGGAGAACTGAATACCAACATACAAAAGAACAAAACTGAAACCTTATCTTACACCTACCAAAAATCAATTCAAAATGGATTAAAGACTTAAAAGTAAGACTTGAAACCATAAAATTCCTAGAAGAAAACAAAGGGGAAAACTTCTTGACATTGACCTTTGCCATGATTTTTTGGATATGACACCAAAAGTTCATGAAACAAAAGCAAAAATAAACAAGTGACACCTGCACGTTGTGCACATGTACCCTAGAACTGAAAGTATAATAATAAAAAAAATTTTAAAAAAATAAACAAGTGAGACTACATCAAGCATAAAAGCTTCTGAGCAGCAAAGGAAACAATCAACAAAATAAAAAGGCAATCTGTGAACTGGGATTACCTAGTTCTTGGTTAATTATTTTTAATGCATTGAAATTTATTGCACAAATAAAAGAACTGCTTTTTTAAAAGATGAAAAATAGGAACTATGTTTAAAATAAAAAATATTTTTACTCTTTTCCAAGTTTCCTTCCAATTCTTGTTTACATATACTCACGAATTTTTACACAGCTGCAATGAAAGTGAATACATGATTTGGTAGCATACAAATGTTATTTAATCATAAGTATGTTTCTTCGTTGCTATTTGGTCTAAATTGTTTTTAGTGACTGCATAATATGCTATAAAGTTGATGTCCCATAGCATAAATTCAGGAGTTTTAGATTCTTTCAAACAGTTTGAGATATGTATAAAGAGTTAATACATTCAGAGTTCCATTTCTGGTATGGTAAATTAAACTGCTAACAGACTGACCCTTCTGTAAACAACTATAAACTCTGGAGAACATGTGAGGGGAGAAAAACCATCAGAAGGCCACAGAAAATGAACAAAAGCAGACATATTTTGGAGGAAAATTAAAAGTTGAAGGAAGGGACCAGTACAGAGTGAGTTTCTAGTTTTTGTAGTTTTAGCCTTAGGTGAGACCACAATAGTAGTACAACATGAAGCAGCTAAAACTCCAAAGAAAATCCACCATTTTTCTAGCCAGAAGAACCAGAATACAAGAGACTGGGCAAGTATAGCCACTGGCCAGTAAGAAAAAAATCCCAGAAAAGAGAGGTCCAGAAAAGGGTGCTCACAATTCTATTTAAAACCCTGCCCAAGTCTCTGGGTGTACCCTATGGCAGCTAAAACCAAACAAGATTTAAGCTGCCAGCCATCACAGGCAAGAGTTTACACTTTGAGTCAAACCAAGTTAATTGTCAGCTAAAACAAAAACATCAACCCTCCTGCAAGAAATATAATAGAATTCGGTCTTTATACATGTACATGTATGTTTATTGTGGGACTGTTCACAATAGCAAAGACTTGGAACCAACCAAAATGCCCATCAATGATAGACTGGATAAATAAAATGTGTCACATATACACCAAGGAATACTATGCAGCCATAAAAAAGGATGGGTTCATGTCCTTTGCAAGGACATGGATGAAGCTGGAAACCATCATTCTCAGCAAACTAAGACAGGAACAGAAAACCAAACATCACATGTCCTCACTCATAAGTGGAAGTTGAACAATGAGAACACAGGGACACAGGGAGGGGAACGTCACACACCGGGGCCTGTCTGGGAATGAGGGGCTAGGGGAGAGATAGCATCATCTACATTAGGAGAAATACCTAATGTAGGTGATGGGTTGATGGGTGCAGCAAACCACCATGGCACAGGTATACCTATGTAACAAACCTGCATGTTCTGCACATGTACCCCAAAACTTAAAGTATAATTAAAAAAGAAGAATTCAGTATTTATAATGTTTCATTTGCAATATCTAGTATACGATTCAAAATTACTCAACAAATGAAGAACCAAAAAAAATGTGAATCATTCTCTAGGGATGACCAAGCTCTAAAATGAGCCAGATGTTGGAATTTTCAGTCAAGGACTTCAATGCTGTATAACCTTGCTAAATGAGATAAGAGAAAAAATACTCACAATAAAGTAAAGGTAGGAAATCGAAATAGATAAATGAAAAATATTTTTAATATTTTTAAATTAAAATATTAAAAATGAATATTTCTAATGATAATGAAATACTTTGGAAGTCAGATAAATGAAAGATAAATGAAAGTGAGGAAAAATGGGAATGAAAATTATATCTGATTTTTTAAATAAAAAGTATTGGATGAGTTTAATAGTAGAATGGAAATGACAGGAAAGCATCAGTAAACTAAAGACAGAGCAATGAAGACTATGTAATCTGAAAAAGAAAAAAAAAGATTTTTAAAAATGAACAACACATCACCTCAGAGAACTGTATAAGCAGTTTCTTTAAAACACGGATAAGTAGTTTCTTAGAAAAAGAAGGAAAATGCCAGGCGTGGTGGCTCACACCTGTAATCCCAGCACTCTGGGAGGCCGAGACTGGCAGATCATAAGGTCAGGAGATCGAGACCACCCTGGTAACACGGTGAAACCCCATCTCTACTAAAAAAAAAAATACAAAAAATTAGCCAGACGTGGTGGCGGGCACCTGTAGTCCCAGCTACTCAGGAGGCTGAGGCAGGAGAATGGCGTGAACCCAGGAGGCGGGGCTTGCAGTGAGCCGAGATTGCGCCACTGCACTCCAGCCTGGGTGATAGAGCGAGACTCTGTCTCAAAAAAAAAAAAAGAAAGAAAGAAAGAAAAAGAGAAAGATAAAGAAAGAAAAAATAATAGAATAGAAAAAAATATGTAGAGAAATAATGACAGAAAACTATCCAAGTTTGGTTGAGACAAATAAATGTACAGATTCAAAATACTCATCAGAACCCAAATAGAAGAAAAAAAATATGTCTAACACGTTGTAGTTAAATTGCTGTAAAACAAACCTAAAGAGAAAATCTTGAAAGAAGACAGAAAAGCAACACATTACATATAGGGGACTAATGACTGAAATGACCACAAAATTCTTATCAGAAATCAGGGTGGTCAGAAGATAACGGAGCAACATCTTTACAGTGCTGCAAGCAAAACTCTATCAATCTATCATGCTGTATTCTGGGGCATAATTCTGTATCCAACCACTTCAAAAAGGATGCTGAAATAACATTTTCAGACAAAAGAAAACGAAGACAACTTTTTGGTAGCACACTTGTACTACAAGAAATTATAAAGGAAGTTTGTCAAACCTAATGAAAATGATGCAGTGTGAAACCAAATAACCAGAAAGAGCATCAGAAATGGTAAATATCTGGATAAATATAAAAGCTATTTTTATTCTTCATTTCCTTAAAATACATAAGACAGTTTTAAGGAAAAATTACAGTATTAACTTGCTGGGTTTATACTGTAAGTAGATAGACTACATATAAGAATTATAGCATGAAGAATGCAGAGTAGGAGGGCAGAACTAAATGGAACTATATTCCTGCAAATGTTATATAGTTTATGTGATGTGGCACAATATTAGCTCTAATTAAACTATAAGAATTTTTTAAAAAAGTTATCGTGTTGTCCCCTACAGTAACTACTAAAAATATAATACAAAGAGTCATAGCCAAAAAGCCAATAGAGAAATTAAATGAAAATTCTCAAATATATTCAAAAATCCAGAAGAAGACAAAAACACAGGGGAAAACTGAAATTAGATATTGAAATGATAGACATAAATCCAACCATGTCAATGATCATATTAAAAGGTAATGGACTAGTAACTTAAGATGTTAATAATAGGGGAAGCTGGATGTGGGATGTATGGCAACTCTCCAAAGTACCTTTGCAATTTTTCTGCAAATCTAAAATGGTTATAAAATATGCAGTCTAGTTTTAAAGAGGTAATGGACTAAACACACCAACTAAAAGCCAGAAATTAACAGGATGGATATAAAAGCAAGACTAGACTATATGCTGTCTGTAGGAGACATACTTTAGACATATAGACACGTAAAGATTGAAAACAAAGATGTCCCATACATATCCATGGTGTGAATGAGTATACCATGCACACAATAAACATAAGACTAGAGTGGCTATATTAAATTAAAATTAAACATATTTGGGGACCAGAAAAAGTAATATCAGAGATAAACAGAGACATTTCAAAATAACAAAGGGTCAATTCATCAAGAAGATGTGGTAATTATAAATATGTAAATGCTAATAAAAAGCATCAAACAACATAAAACAAAAGTTGACAGAATCAAAAGAATAAATCGATAAATCACAAGAAATTGTAACTCCACTTTCTCACTAATTGATAAAATGAATTGGGTGGTATAATGGAGATCCCAAATAACAGCAGCTTAAACAAACAAGCAAAAAAAGCTGTTTACATCTCTCTTTCTATCCTGCTGATCCACTGTCCCCAGGAGATTGCCCTTATCCCCATGGCCATGCTGGCTGGTCACCACATCCTCACTCTGTCCCGTAAGAAGAGGAAATGTGGAAAGGGCATGTCCTGTCCCTTTAAGATCATGACCAGAAGTTGCACACATGTTTCTGCTCACATATCGTTGGTCAGAATTTAGTCACATAGCCACCCCTAGCTGCATAAAGGAATGGAAAACATGGTCTTTATTTTCTGTGGCTAAATGCCCTGCTATAAATCAGGGGTCCTGTTACTATAGAAGGATGAAAGAAGAAATAATCAGGCTGTGATTAGAAGTCTTACTTGGAACCAACCCAAATGTCCGTCAATGATAGACTGGATTAAGAAAATGTGGCACATATACACCATGGAATACTATGCAGCCATAAAAAAGGATGAGTTCATGTCCTTTGTAGAGACATGGATGAACCTGGAAACCATCACTCTCAGCAAACTATCTCAAGGACAGAAAACCAAGCGCTGCATGTTCTCACTCATGGGTGGGAATTGAAAAATAAGAACACCTGGACACAGGAAGGGGAACATCACACACCGGGGCCTGTCATGGGGTGGCGGGAGTGTGGAGGGATAGCATTAGGAGATATACCTAATGTAAATGACCAGTTAATGGGTGTAGCACACCAACATGGCACATGTATACATATGTAACAAACTTGCACGTTGTGCACATGTACCCAAGAACTTAAAGTATAATAAAAAAAAAAGAAAAAAAAAAAAGTCTTAGACTTTTCTGTCCCCAGTGTGTGATGTTCCCCTTCCTGTGCCCAAGTGTTCTCATTCCCACCTATGAGAGAGAATATGTGGTGTTTGGTTTTCTGTCCTTGCAATAGTTTGCTGAGAACGACGGTTTCCAGCTTCATCCATGTCCCTACAAAGGACGTTTTCATAATGTCTTTACTTGTAGAAGAAAGGAGTTCTTTGAACTAGCAAAACAATAGGTTTGCTATTGTTTTGGTGTTTTTTTTTTTTTTTGCTACAATCATGTCATGTGATTGTAGATCTTAAAGTCAGAGAAATCTTAGGGGATCGCTTGGTGCAGCTTCCACATTCAGTGTGAAAAGTATAATCACATTTTACAGCCTGTCTGGAAGCTCTTGGGGGAGGTGCTACAGTCAGAATGTTTGTGTTCCCCCACAACTTCATATGTTGAAGCTTAATCCCTAAGGCAACGGTATTAGGAGGTGGGGTAATTTTGGAGGTGATTATATCATGAGGGTTCTGCCCTTGTGAATGGAATTAGTGCCCTTATAAAATATGGCCACAGAAGTTCATTTGTCCCTTCCACCATGTGAGCACACAGGGAGAAGGTGCTGTCTATGAGGACCAGGTCTTTACTAGACACTGAATTAGCTGACACTTTGATCCTGGAATTTCCAGCCACCAGGACTGTGAGAAATAAATGTTTTCTGCCTATAAGCCACCAGTTGGTGGTATTTTTGTTATAGCAGCTTGAAAGTACCAAGATAGAATATTGGTACTGAGAAATGGAAATGCTGCTATACAAATACCTAAAAATATAGACATGGCTTTGAAACTGGGTAATGGGTTGAGGTTGGAAGAGTTTTGAGGCACATACTATAAGAGGCCTACATTACTACATTACTAGGAGCAGACCTTAAGGGCAATTCTGGTGAGAGTGTCAGAGGCATTTGAACCAGAGAGACTCCATCTTGAATAGGGGCTGGGTAAAATTAGGCTGAAACCTAGTGGGCTGCATTCCCAAGAGGTTAAGGCATTCTTAGTCACAGGATGAGACAGGAGATCAGCACAAGATACAGGTCATAAAGACCTTGCTGATAAAACAGACTGTGGTAAAGAAGCCAGCCAAAACCCACCAAATCCAAGAAGGCGACGAGAGTGACCTTTGGTCTTCCTCACTGCTGATTATAGGCTAATTATAGTGCATTAGCATGCTGAAAGACACTCCCACAAGCACCATGACAGTTTACAGATGCCATGGCAATGTCAGGAAGTTACCCTATATGATCTAAAAAGGGGAGCAACCCTTGGTTCGGGGAATTGCCCACCCCTTTCCCAAAATCCTAATGAATAATCCACCTCTTGTTTAGCATATAATCAAGAAGTAACAATGAATATTCTTAGTCGACCAGCCCATGCTGCTGTTCTGCCTATGGAGTAGCCATTCTTTATTGCTTTCACTTTATTCTATGGATTCATCTCTAATTCTTTCTTGTATGAGATCCAAGAACCCTCTCTTGGGATCTGGATCAGGACCCCTTTCTGGTAACAAGAGCAAAGAAAGAAAAGAGGAGAGTTATCATCATCACTGGTCATCAGAGAAATGCAAATCAAAACCACAAGGAGATACCATCTCACACCAGTTAGAATGGCAATCATTAAAATGTCAGGAAACAACAGATGCTGGAGAGGATGTGGAGAAATAGGAAGGCTTTTACACTGTTGGTGGGAGTGTAAACTAGTTCAACCATTGTGGAAGACAATATGGCGATTCCTCAAGGATCTAGAACTAGAAATACCATTTGACCCAGCCATCCCATTACTGGGTATATGCCCAAAGAATTATAAATCATGCTACTATAAAGACACATGCGCACGTATGTTTATTGAGGTACTATTCACAATAGCAAAGACTTGGAACCAACCCAAATGTCCATCAATGATGTAGACTGTATTAAGAAAATGTGGCACATATATACCATGGAATACTATGCAGCCATAAAAAGGATGAGTTCATGTCCTTTTCAGGGACATGAATGAAGCTGGAAACCATCATTCTGAGCAAACTATCACAAGGACAGAAAATCAAACACCACATGTTCTCACTCATAGGTAGAAATTGAACAATGAGAACACTTGGACACAGGGTGGGGAATATCACATATGGGGGCCTGTCGTGAGGTGGGAGCAGGGGGAGGGATAGCATTAGGAGAAACACCTAATGTAAATGATGAGTTAATGGGTGCAGCAAACCACCATGGCACATGTATACCTATGTATCAAATCTGCACATTGTGCACATGTACCCTAGAACTTAAAGTATAATAATAAAAATAAATAAATAAAATAAAAATAAAAAAAGAAACAAACAAAAATGAAGTGAGACCTAAAGATATGATTGAATTGCTGCAATCTCATGGTCAAACTTGAGTGAATGAAGAGTTCCTTCTTATGGATGAGCAAAGAAAGTCGTTTCTTGAGACAGAATGTACTCCTGGTAAAGATGCTTTAAACCAAGTTTGTCCAACCCAAGGCCCATGGCCCAGGGGCCACATGTGGACCAAGATGGCTTTGAATGTGGCCCAACTCAAATTTGTAAACTTTCTTAAAACACTATGAGATTTTTTTGCAATTTTTTTTTTTTTTAGCTCATCAGCTATCATTAGTGTTAATGTATTCTATGTGTAGCCGAAGACAATTCTTCTTCCGATGTGGCCCAGGGAAGCCAAAAGGTTGTACACTCCTGCTTTAAACATTGTTGAAATGGCAACAAAGAATTTAGAATGTTTCATAAACTTTGTTGATAAAGCAGTGGCAGGATTTCAGAGGTTTGACTTCAGATTTTGAAAGAAGTTCTAGTGTGAGTAAAGTGCTATCAAACAGCATTGTATGATACAGAGAAATCTTGCATGGAAGGAAGAGTCAGTTGATGCAGCAAATTTCATTGTTGTCTTATTTTTGAAAATGGTCACAGCCACTCCAAGCTTCAGTGACCACCACCCCTTATCAGTCAACAGTCTTCAACATCGAGGCAAGACCCTCCACCAGCAAAAAGATTACGACTTACTGAAGGCTCAGATGATAGTTAGCATTTTTTAGTAATGAAGTATTTTTTAAGTAAGGTATGTACATTGTTTTTTAGACATAATACTGTTGCACAGTTAATAAACTACAGTATAGTGTAAACATAACTTATATGCACTGAGAAACCAAAAAAAAAAAAAAAAAAAAAGAGGAGAGCTATAGAGAAAGCTTCAGGTTTCTTAGATAGTCATGAATAGATTGTTAGTAGAAATATGGATGGTAAAGACCATTCTGATGAGGTTTCAAATGGAAACAAGGAATATGTTATTGGACAGTGGAGGAAAGGCAATCCTCGTTATATAATGGTAGGACTTATGAGCAATGAAATTGGATATTTAGCAGAAGCTATTTCTTAGCAAAGTGCTGAGGGTGCAAAATGGCTTCCCTTGAGTGCTTATAGTAAAATGCAGGAAGACAGAAATGACTTAAAGACAGAATTCGTAATCAAAAAGAAAGTAAAACATAAAAATTTAGATTCTCAGCCTATTCATATTGGAAAAAATGAGAAAGCCTGTTGTGGCCAAGTGACTCTTTGATAAGGAGATTTAATACGGATGGGCCTTTTCAATGGAAGCCAGGTGCCACTCATCAAGACAATGAAAAAATGATCCCAAAGGCATTTTTAGAGATCACAAGGCTGGCATTTCTATTACAGACCAAGAGTGTCAGGGCCTGTGGGGCAGAAGGATTTCAAAGTTTTTCTCCAGAAGGTGGCTGTGCTACTGGGCTGCCCCAGGTTTAGCTCCAGCAGACCCAATTATTCATGAGCCATGATGACTGCCCCTCCCCATTCAGGGTACAGGCAGTAAATCTTGATATATGTAAGATGCTGTCGGCTGGCTCATGAGCCAAGGGGATGTGGATGTCTTCACTTAGATTTTAAAGGATGCCTCATAGAGCCATGGGCCCAGGCAGAGAACAATCACAGGGTCAGGGCCACTGCAAAGAGACCTCATTAGGGCAAAGTCCATTGGAGGTTTAGGGATGGGGATGCCCCAGAGATCCCAGACCAATAAAGCCAGAGGCATGAGATTCCAGCCTGGGATAGCTGCAGGCACTTGACTCCAACACGTAAGAGCTGTGGGGGAACAGGGCAACCCGAGGTCATGGAAGCATGGCTTCCCAGAGTCTTGGGGGTCCAACTCCTGCCTGGAGGGCAGAGACTGGACTCAAAGATTAGTCTTGAGACTTAAGGTTTTGGACCTGCTTGAAATCTATTTATCCCTTCCTTCTTTCCTATTTCTCACTTTGGAACAGAAATGTCTATCCTGTGCCTGTCCTACCATTGTATTTTGGAAGCAAAGAACTTGTTTGCTTTCATAGTTCACAGCTGGAGAAAAATTTGCGTCAGGATGAATCATACCTTAAGTCTCATCAGTTTCTGATTTAGATGATATTTAGATAAGATTTTGGACCTAGACATTAAAACTTGATGCTGCAGCCAGTTAAGACTTTGGGGACTATTAGGATGAAATGAATGTATTTTGTATGTGAGAAGGACATGAATTTTGGAAGGCCAGGGGAAAATGCTATGGTCTGAATGTTTGTGTCCCCCAAAAACTTCACATGTTGAAACCAAACCTCCAAGATGATGGTATTGGGAGGTAGGGTCATTTGGGAGGTGACTGCATCATATGAATGGGGTTAGTGCTCTTATAAAATAGGCCCAAGGGAGTTCATATTCCCCTTCCACCAAGTGATGACACAGTTAAAAGGTGCCATTTATGAGGAATGGGCCTTCCCCAGGCAAGTTGATCTTGGACTTACCAGCCTCCAGAACTGTGAGAAATTAATGTTTACTGTTTATAAACCACCAGTTTAGGGCATTTTTATTAATGCAGCCCAAATGGCCTCAGATAAGCAGCCTTGGCCAGCTTTCTCATCCTTGCCTTCAGCACCTGAAATGGTCCCTGACATACAACAGAGGCTCAGTGAAACTTGTTGAATAAGTGTCTACATGCTTCCCAATTTGATTTCCTCATTGTTGGGAGTTTCTGGGTCTGTTCCATTAAAAACATGAGGTAGAAATAATTGTGAGCCAAATTTGACAAATAATGTTAGGAATTTACTAAAAACAACTTAAAGAAAAACCTTTATGAAAGGGAGCAGAGTAAAAGAGAAGCCTTGTCAGTCTTCTAGCAGGCAGAATGGACTTCATGCAAAACCCAGAGCAGGCTCAGCCCTCCCTCCTCCATGAGTTCTGTGATGTGATTTCAAGCCCTCTCCTCCAAAAATGTCGCCCCATCGGCCTGTGCAGATGCCTGAAATTCTACTAATCATCCCTTTGGGTTAATTGAATCCCCCCGTTGGAAGGTAAATAAGCTATTGGAGAGGGCACTATGACACATAAGATTTCTATTAGTTAACAACACCTTTCTACAAGATGATTCCATGAAACCAGCAAGCAGGGGCCTGAAAAGCAGCAACAATAAGTAGCCGTATTTGTTTTACTAAGGGGAGAAGCCCAGGCCTTAGGGACCGTCCAAAAAGAGCCAACTAGAGTGAAAGGAGAAGGTGAGCCGACCAGCCCAGCCAACCTGAGGGGTAATCTGAGAATGCTGGGCACAAGGTGGGAGCAAGAGGAGACCCAGGCCCCAGCCACAGCCACCTTCACTTTACAGGTGGTAGCAGGTACTAGAGAAATCGTTGTTGAAGAGGGAAGTGAAGTATGCTATTTATTTAATTTAGTTTTTAAATAAACTTTCATATCATGCTTACTATGTGCCAGACACCCTTCTAAGTGTTTAGCAAATATTAACTTGAATTTAACCAGAGAAATGGCATTGTCCAAAGTCAGAGTCTGAAAGCCAACTTCACCAATTTCTGGCTGTGTGACCCCAGCCCGTGATTCATGCCTTCTGGGGCTCCTTTTTCTTTTCTTTTTTTTTTTTTTTTGAGACAGAGTCTTGCTCTGTTGCCCAGGCTAGAGTGCAGTGGCACCATCTTGGCTCACTGCAACCTCCTCCTCCCAGGCTCAAGCAATTCCCCTGCCTCAGCCTCCTGAGTAGCTGGGACTACAGGCGTATGCCAGCCCACCAGGCTAATTTTTGTATTTTTAGTAGAGACGGGGTTTCACCATGTTGGCCAGGATGGTCTTGATCTCCTCACCTTGTGATCCACCCACCTTGGCCTCCCAAAGGGGGGCTCATTTTTATCCCTTATAAAGGGGGCAGAATAGTAAAACTACCTCAAAATTATTGTGAGGAATTATCAAGCTATGAGCCATAGAGAAACTTTGTGGACTGTGAAATGTTTTGCAAATCATTGCTTATATATAAGTAAGCCTAGGACTGGCTCAGCCTCTAAAGCAAATAACAATAACAATAACAAAAAAATCGTCCTTTTCATCCTCATAACTGTTGCTGTCTATTATGTAGCTTGTGGGCAGCGGGGTTGGATGACTTCATTCAAGTCCTGGTTCCCAACCTATTAGCTGCATGGCTTTAAGCAAGCTGCTTAATCCCTCAGCAATTCTGCATTCTCCTCTATAAAACTAGGACTAATAATAGATCTACTCCATAGAGTTGCTGCGAAAACTTTTTCAAATGATGGAAATAAAGCTAAGGACAACAATCTAGAGCAAATGCACCATAAATCACACACATCTCTGCTCTTTCAAGCCTCATAGTGTTACAGAGTAGGTATTATTATAGCTATTATCCTCATTTCCAGAGGAAAAAGCTGAGAGCCAGAAAGGTTCGGTAACTTGCCCAATGCCACATACCTAGGGAGTGATAGAACTGGGATTCCTGGACAGGTCTGTCTGACTTGGATATTTTTGTGGTTGCCTAAGCAGATGTTCTCACTGTCCATAATGACATACCAGAAACACCTAAGGAAATTCTTGAGCAAAAGAAAAAAGAATTGCTTGGCCAGGTGCAGTGGCTCATGCCTATAATCCCAGCACTTTGGGAAGCCAAGGTGGGCACATTGCTTGAGCTCAAGGGTTCGAGACCTGCCTGGCCACATGACAAAACCCAGTCTCTACTAAAAATACAAAAATTAGCCAGGGATGGTGGCATGTGCCTGTGGTGCCAGCTACTCAGGAGGCTGAGGTGGGAGGATTATTTGAGCTTAGGAGGTGGAGGTTGCAATGAGTTCAGATCGCGCCACTGCACTCTAGCCTGGCTGACAGAGTGAGACCCCATCTCAAAAAAGAAAAAAAAAAGAATTGCAAAGCTAGAAAAGGAAAAGCAGTGACAAGTACCTTACTTCTCCTTAGTACTGCAAGTATTAAGGCTAAGTTGTTGCAGAAGGGAAACACAAAACCTTTAAACGCAAATGCTGAAGAGGCTCCCAGAAACCATCTGGTTCTACCTCCTGCCCAGTGCAGGCATATCAGAGCCTGGGACAGAGCCTGGGAGGTTATGAACCAAACTTGTCTCCTCTTGCTTCTGGGCCATGACCCAAACCTTGCAATTAGATATGACGGAGTTCTAGTCCACGGCGTGTGAGTGGAAGGGATGTGCACCTCTTCCAGGTTTGGTCTGTAATCACCTCCTTTTTTCTAAACTGTTTGATACAATTCAGCATGGTGACCAAAAATGCCACAGATAGAAAATGATGGAGCCACAGGATGAAAGAGGCCGGAGTTTCTGAGCCACCTCCTAAAGGAGAGCTGCCCACCCATCAGAAACACCCAGCTAGAACTTTACATGAACAAAACTAACTCTCTTTCACAAATGAACCATCATATAGTCCATTAGTCCCAGCAGCAAGCATAACTTTAACCAAACCAGGGGCCAGTGGACTTTCTGACTTTTGGCCCTCAACTTCTGCTTAACTCCTCCAGTGGTGGGGACTTCATTTCCTCCTGCAGTATTAACTCATTCTCATTCTTCATTTGTTCATTCCGCACATATTTATTGAGCTCCTACTACGTGCCAGACACTGTGCTAGGCACTGGGGAAGCAGTAATGAGAAAGGCACAAAGCCCTGTGCCCCAAGGAAGCTCATCACCCAGACTGGTGGGTAGAAAATGAACAAGCAGGCAGGCAAGAAGCATGATATGTATAGACTTTGCTAAGTAAGTTGCAAGAAAGAAACAGATTGATGAGACAGAATCACTGGGAAGAGGATCAACTTTAGCTGGAGGAAGAGAGCTTCGACGGAAGTTCACTCTGAGGAGGTGACTGAAACCTGAGACACAATGGCAGACACCCTAATCATTACACTTTCTTTTTTTTTTTTCTTTTAATAATAAGAAAGTGGTCTCCTTTAGGCCTGCTCCCAGTCCTAATTACATATTCTGGGGCCCCAGAGATGCCTATTGCTCCCTTTCCAATGACAGCTTCTCCAACATCCAACATTTGCAGACAGCTGTCACATTTCTCTCCTCCCCACTGGCCCTAGCAGAAGCCCCCACAGGATCTGCCGGCCCAGACACCTGCTGCAGGTATCAATAACAGCAAGCAACTTGCAGCAAGGGTCGGGGTAAATGAGGGAGTCCCTAGGATCCCTGTGCCCAGGCTATGTGGACCCTCCCAACATCTTAGGGGTAATTGGTCCCACTCCTACAACATTGCCTATAATATCTGCAGGGCTGCTTGCTAACTGCTGGCTCCTGTCAGGCATTTATTCTCTGACATCAGGGGGAGCAAGCGGGGTTAGAAGCCTTCAAGAGCTCCTGCTGGAAGCCTTCTCTCCCTCTCTTAAAAACAATTTATTTTTTTGATGTTAAAACCATGTTCCCCCTATGTCCCGGTTTGAACACCAAAACAAACCCAGCTGTCCCCAACACTAGGCTGAAACCACAGGCGTTTGGCTGCAGAGCCAAAGAGGCAGCAGGAGGAACTGCTCAGAATCTTGCCCCTCCAGCTTCCTGCCAAGCTCCACTCCAGAGGCAGGGAGGCCAGTGCTCCTCAAAGGCCCAGCCTCCCCATCCTCAGAGTTAACCAGGACAGCACCACCAGGGTCACAAGCCTGCCCTCCTCCTAGGGATGGGGGGTGGGGAGTGGTTCACAGGAGGCAGAGACTGATGCTGCACTCCTAGCACCTCTGGATCAACTAACACCCACGGCCCCATGCACCACGAGTGGTCTGCAGCAGCTCCAGGGCCCTGGACAGTCAGCAGAGCAGAGAGCTGATAGTCAGGCATTATGTCAACAACTGTTTTCCTTGCTTGGTTTGGGGATAAAAACAACTGCTGCTCCTTGCTTTCTCACACTTTCCACTGAGGTCACTTGGGGCACGACTGAGTCAAGACTTCCAGAGGGTGTGGAAATATCAGGGAAGCAAACAGTGAAGCTGTAAGCACAGGACGCACTGTGCCCAGCTTCCTCCGCCGCAGGGAAGTCACAGCAGAAGCATGCACCCTGCAAAACTGGCCTTCACACCACTTCATCTTCACACTACCTCATACTGCACTCAATCTGACCCCTAGGTATGGTTCTCCCAACTCACCTGGCCCTCCCCCTGCCCTCCTCACCCTCCACAATCAGGGCTGGGAGTAGGCTGAGGCCAGTGAAGCACAATTTTTTCTTTCTTTCTTTCTTTCTTTTCTCTCTCTCTCTCTTTTTTTTTTTTTTTTTTGGAGACAGAGTATCCCAGAGTATCCCTCTGTTACCCAGGCTGGAGTGCGGTGGCTCCATCTCAGCTCACTGCAACCTCCACCTCCCAAGTTCAAGCAATTCTCCTGCCTCAGCCTCCCAAGTAGTTGGGATTACAAGTGGCGCCCATGACCAGCTGATTTTCTTTTTTTTTTTTTTTTTTTTTTGCATTTTTAGTAGAGATAGGGGTCTCACTATGTTGCCCAGGCTGGTCTCAAACTCCTGAGCTTGAGTGATCTGCCTGCCTTGGCCTCCCAAAGTGCTAAGATTACAGGAGTGAGCCACTGCACCGGGCACAAAATTTAAGGAGGTGCTCACCCTCTGGGTCATGCAAGTTCAGGGTCCATCCTGAAAGCAAGCACCTTCTTACATTTTGCACCCTTGGCATCTCACTCCCATTACCCTGCAGAGGGCCCTGTGCATACCACTCAAACCCGGCTTTCCATGCAGATCCCTGGGAAAATACTTTATTTCTTTGATGTCTATCAGCTCATGTCCCAAACTGCTATTGGAAAGAATCTATACATGGCTTTACACACATATGTGAAAGAGTAAATCCACCTTGCAGAGGTTTTCTTTTGGTTTGGTTCGGTTTTGGCCAGATAGTACATTAATTTTTGAAAATGTGTTGACAATGTTTAAAATTCAGAAGAGTTCAAATTTAAAAAGACACACACATACATTTCTGGCTCCCCTTGAAAACACAGAAGACACAGTCCCTCTGGGCCGAGGTGGAGTGGCAGCTGCCCCTTTAGGCCCTGGAGACATGGCCTGTGCCCCTCAGTACCCCACAGTCCCACCTGTGCAAACTCACCATTTATATGACCTGCTTTATCCTTATAAGCATTTGGGGTTGCAACCTTTGGTCTAGAGAAAAACATAAAATGGCTTGTCTCTAATGGCGCAATTTCAGGCACAGGGCAGGGTAGAAGACTGGGGTGGACAGTAGGAGGAGAACTTTTCTGATGTCCTTGAAATCAGGCCATGGAGGCGGGTCCCCATTCCATCAGCGAGGATGCATAAAGAATTGAAACTTGAAGTTTACGGGTAGAAAAGTGTTATATGACAGCATCAGGAGTGTGGCTAGCACAAAGGGACTAACCCTGGATGGTAGGAGCCCTGGCACAGGGTCAGGAGGCCTCTGCGGGCATCCCACATTCGCCCCTGATCTCTGTTTGATGTTCAGTATGACTCTTTGAAGCCTCAGATTCCTCTTGTGGGCATCCCACATTCGCCCCTGCTCTCTGTTTGATGTTGAATACGACTATTTTGAAGCCTCACATTCCTCTTCTCTTCTTGAGGAGAATCAGGCTGGATTATTTCCCGTCTAGCTCTAACTCTTGACTTTAATGCTTACTATTCTTAGGTGGAATTATTCTAGTAAAAGAGAGTCTCAGAATATTGTTCAGGCCTAGCTTAGAAGAGCAATTGTGCGAAGATCAGAAACTACATTTCATTGATAGCATGGAATTTTGCAACGTTCGCAGCTCTCCTGATTCTTCCATAATTTCTTTGGTTCTGCTGAGAATATACATTTAGAGGAGATCAAACAATAGCCTGACTCAACAATCTCTTGCCTTAACAATTGCTTGTCTGTTTGAGAATTCACTAGGTGTGAAATCTACCTTCCCAAAACTTGCATCTCTACCCTGAAGATGCTGGAGGAGAATAAAGCTCCCTGCATTCTATGCAATCTGGATGGCAGGGTTTTGGTGGGGGGGAACCACGAAATATAGCCATGAGTAAAGCCCAGTCCTTGTCCTCAAAAAGATTACAGTAGGGCAGGGAGGGACACACAAAACCCATAAAATCCAAACATATGGCAGAGTAAGATAAAAGTGTATCAGAGCACCATGGCTCTCACTGCAGCCTTGAACTCCTGGACTCAAGTAATCCTCCCAGCTCAGCCTCTCGGGTAGCTGAGACCACAGGTGCCCGCCACCACTCCTGGCTTTAGACAACAAACTTTTATATCCAGGGAGGCAAAAGCTTGTGGGAAAATCAGAACAAAAAGTAAATGCGGCAGAGCAAAGCTGCAAAAGCAGCAACATGTTACTGCCCTTGACCATGTCTGGATCCTAGACACAAACTGAACTTGGTAGAGAAATTGGGGCTTAAACATGTATACATAGCATATTTCAGTAAACAAACTGTTTTCATTAAAAAAAGAAAAGTCTATCAGAGCTATGAAGTACTTGCTAGGAGGAGTCAAAAAAGGAAGGACTTATATAGGTCTAAGGCGGTGGGGTTTAGACAGGTAGTGAAGGATGGATAGGCACTGAACAGATGAGGATAAGTGGTAAGAAACAAGGGCTTCAGCCATTCATTCATCCACCAAAGACGAAAGCTTCCTACTGCCTGCTGTCACCCTAGGCATTGGGATATAGGCATTAATGAGACAGCCAGGCATCCTGCCTTCATGCCACTTACCTTCTAGTAGGGAACATAGACAAGTTCACAAATACCTAAGATAATATCAGATACTGTTAAATGCTAGGAAGGCTATTAAATGAGGTGATTATCATAGATAGTGACTATTAGATGGACAGGGAAGCCCTCTCTGAGCAGGCTCCAGTTGAGCTGGGTCATGAGATACTCTGGAGAACATAATTTCAGGAAGGAACAGCAAGTACAAAGGTCCTGAGGCAGAAACAAACAAACGAAAATAGCAATATGGCTGCAGGACAGGGAATTTTGGAGGAAGAAATTAGGAGATGAGGTTGAGAGGTGAACAAGGGCCAGATCATTTGGGGTCTCATAGGTCAGAGTAAGGAATCCAAATGAAATTCCTTTTGCTGTGGGAAGCCAATGGATAGAAGCTGACTTTATAATTGTAAAAGACCCTCTGGCTATTGTATAAGGAATGGACTACCAAAAGGCCAAATGGAAATGGGAGGCCATATTACCCTGCTCAGGCTGCCATAACAAAATGGCATAGACTAGGTGGCTTAAACAGTGGAAATGATTTCTCTCAGTTCTGGTGACTGGAAGCCCAGGATCAAGGTTCCTAGTGAGGGCTCTTTTCTGGCCTCCAGAAGGCTGCCTTCTCACCAGGTCCTCACACAGACTATCCTCAGTGTGCTCAGGCAGAGGGAGAGAGGGATGTCTCTCCTCTCTCTCACTTCTTATAAAGCAACAAATGCTATTGGATTAGGACCTCACCTTTAAGCCCTCATTCAACCTTAATTAAGGTAATTACCTCCTAAAAGCCCCATCTCCTAATACAATCACATTTCAGGTTAGAACTTGAAAATATTTGGGTGGGGGAAGGGGATGGGGAATAATTTGATCTTTAGCAGATACCAATGAAGAGTTAATGGGTATCCTAGCAAAACTTATCCCAGGGATCTGAAAGAACAGGAGGATGAAACAGACTTTACCCTGGTGAGGGGACTCTGGCCTCACACGGTCATGTTTATAGCCTGCTTTGCCACTTAGATACTTTTAATCACTGAAAAATAGAAGGAGGCCAGGCACAGGGGCTCACACCTGTAATCCCAACACTTTGGGAGGCCAAGGCAGGCAGATCACTTGAGGCCAGGAGTTTGAGACCAGCGTGGCCAACACGGTGAGACCCCCATCTCTACTAAATATACAAAAATTAGCCAGCATGGTGGCACATGCCTTTAATCCCAGATACTTGGGAGGCTGAGGCACAAGAATCTCTTGAATCCAGGAGATGGAAGTTGCAGCAAGTGAGAGAGAGAGAGAAGATGAAAGGAAGAAGGAAGGAAGGAAGGAAGGAAGGAAGGAAGGAAGGAAGGAAGGAAAGAAAGAAAGAAAGAAAGAGAAAGAAAGAAAGAAAGGAGGGAGGGAGGGAGAGAAAGAATGAAAGAAAGAAAGAGAAAGAAAGGGAAAGAAAGGAGGGAGGGAGGGAGAGAGGGAGAGAAAGAATGAAAGAAAGAAAGAAAGAGAAAGAAAGAGAGCAAGCGAGCAGTTTTCTTGTTTCTAGAATAATTAGTATGGGTCTCCATCCCAAGACAGACTTTTTGGTCCTGTGCTAGAAAAGACTTCCTGAGCTAATTCATTTCATTTATTTCTAAGTATCTTGTTTTCATCATGGCATCTCCTGCAGGAAATGAAAATAGCCAGCAGCTTCGGCATAGAGAGACTGAGAGGTCCCAGCCCAACACCTCAGGACAAAGGCAGGGCATAGCAGATTAAATGCCACCATTGCTGCAGTCGCCTGCTCTCACTTTTCTCTCCCTGTCAAAGCTGATATTGAGTGTACTCTCCCTGTGAATTGAGCATTCTGTCATCAAAAAGCTCGGTGATGAAGCTTATCTCATTTTTAAAATCAAGACTTGTCTCCCGTCTTTAATACTGGATGACTAATACCTAGGTCATTTTTTAAAAACTAAATTAATTTGATGCTCTGATTCCCTGTTGTTGTGCAACAAATTACCTTAAAACGTAGTGGCTTAAAATAGCCATTTTATTTTGCTCACAGTTTTGTCAGGAATTGTCTTTAAACATGACAAGATGATAAAATAAAGTATGACCAATTCAGCAAACATGTATTGAGCACCTACCATGTCTCCATTACACCAGCCTGTCCTGCAGGCAAAAGCAAAGACACAGTGGGGTAGAATTTATGGGTGCATTTGGAGAACTGCAAGTCCTGGGTATGGCTGGAGTTTGGGTTCATGTGGAACCCAACAAGGGACAGGCTTCAGAAGTAGACTGAGGCCAGATCCTCAAAGCCCTCGAATGCCAGGATAAGAAATTTCAACTTCATCCCATAGGGTATGGGCAATAGGGAGCCATGGAAGATTTCAGCAGAGAAGAGTCACTGTCAGATCTATGCTGGGGGATAGGCAGGGAATAGATGCTTCTATGAGAAAAGAGTGAAGCGTCTGGAAATTTGCCCTCTTATTCAACACCTGAGGGGCTCCACAGTTAATATTCACCTTCAGCAGAGCTGACCTCCTGGACCTCATTTTACCCTAGCCCTGTTTCTTTGCCACTGGGTGCAGCTCAGCATGAAGAGTGCATGAGTGAGAGCCACGGGCCTCCTTAGGGGAAAAAGAACAAGTACTGCCCAAGTTGCTACATTGCTCATATGCATTGTTACCCTGAAAGGGTCACAGTCCCTTGCCTCTACAGGGAGTGGGGGATGAGGCTGCCTTGGTGTGGCTCAGAAAACATATTGAGGCTTGGCAGCACCTGAGAACATTTTGAAAAACTTCCCACCAGGTTTTATTTGTTTTGTTCACAGGCCCTTAAAGTTAGCAACAGAAATCACCTCTGAGGGCTTGGTTCCTGATGGCTCTCCAGTTCCCAACAGCTGTGGAGGGCCTCTCCTGGCCCATTTCCCTGACCAACCACTCCCTGCCCCTGTCAGGCCCCTCCCACCTCAGAAGAGGCCACAGCCGCAGGTCAGCTCCAGGCAAAGGCACAGGGTAATTAGAGGCTGCTAATCACTACCACGATAATAATACTAGTGAGTTAGGGAATGATTCACAGATACCAGACACCAACTTAAATACATGTATCCTCTCATCTAATGGTCAGAACAACCCACAAAGGAGGCATAACTATTTTCTTTATCAGATAAACTGAGGCATGGAGAGCAACTCACCCAGTTGCACAGCTAGTATTTGGCAGAACCTGGATGCAAACCTGGCTCTGATTCCAAAGCCGAGGCCTCTTGGCCCTCCAGTCTCCCATTTCTCAGCGCTTCCCTTGGGGAGTTGCCTCTCCTACTGCCCCCTCAGGTACCCAGCCCCCTGCACCTAGATTTTATCATGTAAGCATCCAGTTCTTCCCATATGCAGCTCCTTTGTCTCAGTTGTGTCAACTAATTTTATTACCCTGGGTAAATCCCTTCATTCGCCTGGGCCTCAGTTTCTTCATCAGTAAAATGGGGATGCCCAGTCTGTCTTATAAAGTCAGTCCAGGCACTAAATCAGTTGGTGTGCTCCTGCGGCCCTGGGAACCTGGGATGGGCACTTAACTGTAAAGTCTTCTTATGACAATGCAGAAGTGACTCATCTGGTGAGCAGCCCAAGCCCTTCCTGTAGGCAGTGAGCACTCAGGAGGTTTCCACAAATAGATTCAAGCAACAGGTGTCTGCACCCTGGGTAGCTCGGTACCTGCCAACTCTGCTGGCAATGCTCGCTCTGGGCTCTTTCCACAGAGAGAGGTCACATTCCATGGCCCAGCAGCCCAGCACAAGGAAACAGCCCTGCCCACACACAAGGAAAAGTGGACATTAAGGGTTCTGCTTGTTTTTAAAAGGCTTATGGGCCTCCAAGGCAGAGGAGAGAAGAGCAGGGAGACCAGGTCTAAAGTGAGGGTGGAGACTCTCCTTGTTCCTAGCTGTGGAACAGAAGCACTGTCTCCCCAGGGTGGAGGCCAGCAGCTTTCCCAGCAGGCAGACTATGAACTGCTCTGCTCAGACTTCAGACTTGGGTCTGGCTTAAAAGGAGCACAGAGTCATATTTGCTGGATTAGTTTCCTAGGGCTGCCATAATGAAGTACCACAGACTGGTGACTTAGAACAACAGCAATGTGTTGTCTCACAGTTCTGGAGGCTGGAAGTCCAAGACCTAAGTGTTGGTGGGGCCATGCTTCTCAGAAACCTGTAGGGAAAAGATCCTTCCTTGCCTCTTCCAGCTTCTGGTAGCACCAGGCGTTGTGAGACAGGATCACTCCAGGCTCTGCACTGTTTCTGCTTGGCATTCTCCCTGCTTTACCTCTGTGCATGTCTACCTCTGTATCCAAATTTCCCCCCCACAGTGTTTGTTTTTGTTTTTTGTTTTGTTTTGTTTGAGACAGGGTCTCACTGTGTCACCCAGGTTGGAATGCAGTGGTGCACTCTCAGCTCACTGCAACCTCCACCTCCCAGGCTCAAGCGATCCTCCCACCTCAGCCTCCTGAGTAGCTGGAACCACAGGCACACACCACCATATCTGGTTAATTTTTTGTGGTTTTCATAGTGAGAGTTCCACCATGTTGCCCAGGCCGGTCTCGAACTCCTGAGCTCAAGTGATCCGCCCGCTTCAACCTCCCAAAGTGCTGGGATTATAGGCGTGAGCCACCGTACCTGCCCTTCTTCTTATAAGGAAACCAGCCATTTTGGATTAGAGCCCACCCTAATGATCTCATTTTAACTTGATTACCTCTATAAAGGCCCTATTTCTAAATAAGGTCACATTCTGAGGTACGAGGGAGTAGGACATCAATATATCTTTTTGAGGAGACACAATTCAATTCATAACACCTGCCTTCTTTACCCTGTGTTTAGTGGGGAAAAAATGGGGGCTCAAAAGATTTGAGTTTGAGCCCCAGTTCTGCCAATAACTGGCTACTTGGTTTTGATGAGTGATTTTGACCACAGTTTCTCCTCTTGCTTACTTGGGGAAAAGATTAGATGAGATCATAGAAATCACCAAATTTATAGCCTGAAGTGGCCTCTGAGATCATCCAACATTTCCCAAAGTGTGCTCACCAGAATATTAATCCTGCAAAGTCCCCTTGGGATAAAAAGGAGGGCTGGTTGTGTGAGTCCCTCTCCGAGACTCTCAATATGCATTACCAGAGGGAAGTTCCCGAGAAGTCGCACAGTAAAGAAGCCTTTGTTTGTCCCTGCATCTCCCAAACTCATTTCACTATGGACGCTGTTGTTTGGGTAATCCCTGGTAGCAATCTCTTGATCACTGATCTACATTTGGAAAATGCTCACATAGATTAACCCCTTTAGTGCACATTGGAGAACCAGGATTGAGACTTAGATCACCTTTTACCTGCTCCCAAATCTCTGTCTCAGGCTCAGCTTTGAGGAAAACCCAAATTGAGACAGATGGTTGTTCCTGGGATAAAAACAGCTTTACTGCTAATTTTAAATTTTTAACATTATTTTCAATACTATGTACTCAGTAAATTTTCAAACAACACAGAAAAGAATAAGGAAGATAAGTAAAACTCACCTTAAATCTTCCTACCCTAAAATAACCAACTGATGTGGATTACTTCTTTATTACTCTATTATTTCTGCCATTTTTTTTTTTTTTTTTTTTTTTTTTTTTTGCAGACAGGGTCTCACTCTGTTGCCCAGGCTGGAGTGCAGTGGCGCAATCTCCGCTCACTCCAACCTCCACCTCCCAAGCTCAAGTGATTCTCATGCCTCAGCCTCCCAAGTAGCTCGGATTACAGGCACACACCACCACATTTGGCTAATTTTTGTATTTTTAGTAGAGATGTTGTTTTGCCATGTTGGCCAGGCTGGTCTTGAAATTCTGGCCTCAAGTGATCCACCTGCCTCAGCCTCCTGAATTGCTGGGATTACAGGTGTGAGCCACTGTGCCCAGTCACTTCTGCCACCTTTTGATTGCACGAGGAGGTAATGAAGCTCAGGAACTGGGATAGGAGCTGAACCCAGAATCAGTGAGTTCAGAAGCATATCCTGACATGAGTTGTTGCTTAAATTATAGTCAAGCCCCTTGGCCTCCTTGTGCCTGATTCCTCCTTACCCCTTTAGAGAGCAGTGTCTATGGCAGAGTCTGAAAATTAATAATATTCATGGCTACCATTTATTGGGTTCCTACTACGTACACATAATATTATGTTACACATTATTGCACCCAGGAAATTAACCCTCACATCTTCCCAAGGAGGCAGGTGATACCATTAAGGCTTTGAGAGTTTGACTTGCCTCAGATCTCACAGCTGCTAGCAGCCATAAAGCCAGGACCCTAACTCTGAAACTGACTCCCAATTCTGCCTGACTCTGAAACTTTCTGCATAACTGTAACTCTGTGACTTCATACACTATATGCGGCAAACGTCAGTCCTATTTTCTGACCTCTCAGCTCCTGTTAAATGCCTTTGCTGTGTTTGGAATAGTTTTAGCCCTGTGGATCCTACTACTCCAAAGCAAAACCCAGAAGACTCCAATCAAATCTGGGCCTCCCTTTCAGACTGGATGAAAGTGTGTCCAAGGCTGGGACAATCAGACACACTCCTATAAGACCTTGATTCTAAGAGAGCAACTCAAGGAAAGAGACTTTCCAGGGGATCCATTGTGCTGGCAAGGATGGCAGCAAGAGGTCTGACTTTTGGGGTGACAATGTTTGCAAGGATGAGATCTTGGCATAGCAATAGTGGTGGTTTCTTCTATGGCTTAGTGGGACAACAGTAGGGGCAATGGTCCCTCTGTCAATCTAGTTCTACGGAGCGGTGTTTTCATTGCTCCTTAAGTTTACCTTCAGACCTTGCTCTCCACCTCTCCTGACGATTCTGAGAGCTCTCAATATCCTTTTGATAAATTCCTTCTCTGCCCAATCGGCCAGAGTCAGCTTCTGTTGCTTGCTCCCAGAAAACCTGACAGATGTGTGCTGTATCAGTGAGAGAGAGTGAGACCTCTCACTACACAGAACTCTAGTGGCTTTGGGTGTCTACAAACTGCAAAGCAATGAACAGAGATGGCCAGTTTCTCATCAATTTCTTTAACATAGACAACAAATTCATTAGATCCCAAAGTGAACTTTTGGCCAAAGTAGTACAAATTGGTTTAAACCATATTGATTCTGTTACCTCTCAATTGCCTAATTTCCAATTCACATTATATTTTGTGCCTTGAGTCCAGGTGTTAGAAGCCAACAGGAAAACTAGACTTTCTTGAATGGGTCTTCTGAAAGAAATTTAATTGAAAATCGTATTTATTCTTTAATCCAGTGGTTCTCAAACTTTTTAGTCTCAAAACACCTTAAAAATATTAAAGATTCAAACAGGTTTTGTTTGAGTTGGATCTGTCTATAGTGAGGCAGTGGCATTGTTTGAAATTTCTGCAAATCCCTTTAGTGTCTGGTTTTTTGGAAGACAGCTGAGTTCTCACATTTCCCTCTGCATTTAGTCTGTTGTGTGTTACGTGTCATGTAACCTCTGGAACACTCCACTGTACACTTGCGGAGATTGACAATGAAACAGAAAATATCATTTTAACATTATTATGAAAAGAGTTTTGACCTTACAAACCTCCTGAAAAGACCTCCCCAGTCTACACTTTGAGAACTGCTGGCCTAATCTCTAAACCTTTTCATGTCTTACATCTTAGATTGCAACTGATTCACATGACAAGTCCCTTTTATACCCTTACTGTTAACCTAATAATGTGGTCTCATCCTTTAGAACCATTCTATTCACTGGACCCTAATCTCTCTGCTTGATTAGAAAAGGTTCTGCTCAAAAATCAGAAAACCTAATTCTGCCATTAACTGGCTGCATGATGGTAGACAGGTCAGGGACCTTGGATAGGTCCATCGGTCTCTCTGGGCATTAGTTCTGCACTTGCCAAACAGATACTTACTTAACTCATAAGAAGACTACTTAAATATCAAATTGGATGGTATGCATGAAAATACTTACAGCACACATATATGAAAGAATACTATTCCAATATTTGAATGGTTGTATTACTTTGGTTGCTTTGGGTTGCTAGTAACAGAAAATCTAACTCAAATATCCTTAAATAGATTGGCTCATTTAACTGAAATGCCTAGAGGGGGACCAGATCTCAGGCATGGTTTGACCCAGAGGTTCCTGAGGGAGTGTGGGCTCTGATTCATGTTTTCTGCCATACTCTCCACTCCGCAACTCTGCTCTGTGTTGCTTCGGCCTCAACTATTCCTTTTCCTGTTAGTAACAATAACCACTGAACTTCCTACCCCACCTGCTTATGGCATACCACCCAAAGCAAGAAAAAGTACCCATTCCAGAAGCTTCCATAAAAGAGAGAGAAACTTTCTATCTCAGAAGTCCTCAGCAAATGTTTCCTCTTTGGTCCAAAATAGGTCAAGTGTCCATCCTGAACCAATTGCCAAGGTGTAGGTAATAAGATAAGCTGATTGGCAAAGCTAATCAAAGTGCACCCTGGAACTAAGGTAGGATGACTCTCGCAAACCGTCTGGCTTCGAAATTCTGTGTTCTGTTAAGAAATTACAAAGTTGGAATAGTTGTTCAGAGAACAATCAATGAAAGTCCAATACAACATCACATATCTGTATTTCTTGACCACGAAAGATGATCACAATATATGATAAATTGAAAAGTTAAAGAAGAAGAGTATGTCTAGAAGATTCCCATCTTACAAAATGCACATGTATACATGTACACATATATGTGTATATGTATAATATATATACACATATACGTGTGTATGTATAATATATATACACATATATGTGTGTATGTATACATGTGTGTGTGTACACATACTGTATCTGCTTAGCGGTAACGACTGGGGTGGGATTATGGATAACTAAGCATTTTTGTTTGTTTTTGTTTCTCTACCTTTTATATAATTAAAAAGTATAGTATTTTATGAAAAATTTCAATATGGGAAGAAAGTCTAAGATACAATGTGAAGCATGTTCACCAATCATCCCATTTCCTGCTCCTAGCACCCTCTAGTCCATCCTAGGACCTAAGGCTGACCTCACCAACCATCTTTCATGTTACCTAATGGAACTCTAGGCAAAGGGTTGAGCCAGGCTCAAGAAACTTCTCCCATCTCTGTACATTTTGCTTCAATATCCCTAAAAAAATCACAAAAGTAGGATCTCTTGCTCAGAATAGAAAGCAGTCTATTTTCATTCATAAGCAATTCTAATTTCACTGGTTCTCTTCCCTCTCTTCCCCTCTCCCCAAGCCCTCTACCAACTCCCATGACCTCATCATGGTATTTAGAATAATAGCCTTTTCCCACAGGTCATCAGCTTCTAAAATAAATATATTTCCATCCACGGAAGCTGCAGAGTCACTGGAATTATTATACCTCGGTTCAGAGTCACAAGCTCATTAAAGACTGATTATTGTGCTTTCCAAAAAGAATGACAGTGGAAGAAGCAGGATGATTATTTTTTATTTAACTGAGGAAGGAGATGCACAGGCAGATTAACGTAAAAGTCGGCTTCTGGAGGAGGTAGTTGAGACAGCTAGGAGGTAAGAAAATGAGAGAACAACAACAACAATCTGAAGTCTTGATAATCTGAATTTCCCTGGAAGACACCAACAACAATGAGGCAGTTTGGTCAGAAGGAAGAAGAAAACTTAAGAATAGAAATCAGGAATTCTCGATCCCATTCTGTTCCTTCCTCCAGTTGGGACTCTGTCTACATCTCTGAGCCTTTGAAATTGGGTACAATCAAGGATGGCGAATGACTGACCTCCCCCTACCACCCTTTACTAATCCATCCCAGCACCTTTCCCAGTGAACCCAGACAGCAACCCTGTGCTCTAAGCAGCCACTCTCCATTTATCAAAATGAGCACATGAGGCTGTCTATTATCCCTAGCCTAAAGATTTCTAAAATGCCCATACAATTCTGACTTTCTGATTTGCCTCTGCTTCCCTGGGCCTACTTCACTTGCTAAAAGCTCATAGCTGGCATTTAACAATCAGTCAAAACATCATTTATTAACATCACTTATAAAAACAACCGATAGATATGATATGTTGACTTTTGAGAGGAGATGGAAACAATGGTGACACATCAAACTTTAAATGTCAAAGGGACTGTCACATGCAAGAGGCAGTCAGTATAATCTGTGCAACGCCCAAGAGATAGGACAGGGGCCACTGAGTGCAGGTTACAGGAAGACTAAGGGCATTGTTTGCAAACAATGAGCTGATCCATACAAGGGCATTTCTCAGTCTCTGGAGCAGGCTAAGTGGCCTCAGCCACCTCCAGGGGAGGCTGTAGAACACCAATCACAAGACCAACACCTATAAGGGCCAGGCAGCTGATGTAGTCAGGGTGTGTGGCAGGGTGTGGTGAGCAGAGAGCACAGGTCTGGTCTGGAGGGGACAGTCACTTTGCAGCCCCACGTTTCTCCCTCCCTCCATTCCCTGCCTTCCAGCTGCCCTACCTCCTTTCATGCAAGCCTCCTTCCTGTTGCTTTCCCTACTAAGCAACGTGTCATGTCTGTCTGCATGGAGGCATAGGTAAAGAATGAGAAGATAGCGTGAGTGGCATAAATGAGGTGCCATGGGAACAAGAGCAAAGAGAGATGGATTTGGTATAATGGGATTGATGGAGAATAAGACATTGGCTCTGGACTTTGAAATGGGGTTGGGGTCTAATGTGCATAGTTAAAAAGGAAGTGTCCTCCAGGCAGGAAGACAGCAAGAGCAAAGGCACTGAGGAAGGAAGATGTTGGCACAGAGAGAATATGAAGAAGAAAGACATAAAGCAGAACTACAGATCCCAGGCAGGTCACAAAAGTGCTCAGATGCTTTGCAAAGTAACTTGGGCTTTACAAAACAGGTTAGAGATTTTCACATTGTTCCTTGATTCTCAGCTTTCCCAGGATAACCCTCCTAGCCGCTTGCCCCACTCCTTACTCATGCCTTGCCTCAGGAGGGAAATGGGAAATAGGTACAACTCATCTGACCGATGGATTTGGGAAGAGGAAACAGCGTGGGTGGCTCAGTCCCTGGGGACCTGCCTACTGCGAACATTTGTGCTCTGAGCTAATCCTGCCATGGCATCAAAGGCAAAGGTCCTCCCCACAGCAAAGCACATGGTGGCCTCACTCTGCAACCAGATAAGTCTAATTCAAGGGTGGCTTCATTAAAAAGCCCGATTAGCCAGTACACCTAAAAGCTGCGTTCTCCAAGCAGCCTAATCAAGAATGAAGGTGAACTTTTGTTCCTCACTTGCCTCAAGTGGTTTCCTCAAGTCATTCAGAACTCAGGCTTGCAATGGTGGTGAAAGCGATGGTTGGCAGCTGGGCACGGTGGCTCACGCCTGTAATCCCAACACTTTGGGAGGCCGAGGCAGGTGGATCACAAGGTCAGGAGATCAAGACCATCCTGGCTAACACAGTGAAATCCCATCTCTATTAAAAAATAGAAAAAATTATCCAGGCGTGGTGGCAGGCACCTGTAATCCCAGCTACTTCGGAGGCTGAGGCAGGAGAATGGCATGAACCCGGGAGATGGAGCTTGCAGTGAGCTGAGATCGCACCACTGCACTCCAGCCTAGGGGACAGAGCAAGACTCCATCTCACAAAAAAAAAAAAAAAAAAAAAAGGCTGTGGTTGGCGCCTGAAGCATCAACAACAAACCTCTACCCAGATCTACCCAATTTCAGGGATTGAAGCCCAAGCATATGCCTTTGAAAAAGTTTCCAAAGTGTTTCAAATACACAAATAACTTCATTATTTGTGTAGTAATAATCCCTGACATAAATACTGGGGAACCATAGAAGGTTTTTGAGCAGGAAACATGTGATGGAGATTGATAGTTGCCTACCCAAGTATCTATATTCCCCATCATTATTAACAAAACCTCCAGTTTTATTTAGAGCATAAATGTGCCCCCCCACCCCCGCCGCAAAAGGACATTTCCCAGGCTCTCTTGCAGGTAGATATGGCCATGCAACTGAGTACTGAACAATGAAATAAAAGCGAAAGTGTTGTGGTGGCAGCTTCTGAGAAACTTTCTGAAAAGGCAGCTGGCATTGACTCTTTTTTCCACCATGTTTAACCTCTTCCTCTAAACTTCTGCCTAGAATATGGATGTGATGGCTGGAGCACTAGCTGCCATCTTGAATGCTGAGTACAATGGCCACATTCTTGGCCAAATAGAGCTAAAAGCTTCCAGAAACTTGAATCCCTGATTGCCATGGAACCACCCCATATTAGAAAAAGAAATAAAGCCTTATCTTGTTCAAGCCTCTATTCTTACTTAGTTTTGGGTCACCTGCTGCTGAATCTAATCCTAACTGGAAGAGAAGTAATACGAACCAAAATGTGTTTTAATCACACCACTCCCCATGTTAGACACACTCAAATTATTCAATCAACAAATTGAGGACCCATAAGATGCCAGGCACTGGGGACAAAATAAGGGACAAAGCAGATTATATTCTGCCCTCTTATTACTTACAATATATTGCAGGATATAGGTGATTATTAATTAAACAAACAATTACAAACTGTAACAAGAACAATAAAGGAAACACATGTGGTGCTGAGATAAGAAATAGGGGAGGTAGTAGTGATCAGAAAACCTACAGTAGCTATGGTAGTCAGAGAAGCTTCTCTGAGGAGGTGATAATTAAACAGAAGCCTGAAGAAGGAAAGGAATCAGCTATGTGAAATGGGGGTGGAAGGAGGAGCTTTGCATATAGAAAGTATGGCACATGCAAAGGCCCTGGGGCAGGAAGGGCCTGGTCAGAAAAAGAAACTGAAAGTAGAACAGGGTAGCTGGAGCATCAGTGGAGCAGAGATCATCATTCTCATAGGAACTGGCATGACCCATTGACAAGGAACAAGTTCTTTTGAACATGTATCTTGCTAGCCTTCATTTTAAATCTTTACATCTCATATGAAGTAACTTTCTGAGTATAATGGATACCTCTGTGAGGCCAAATGGAATATGATCATGGCCAAAAGGAAGGGGCAGACAAGCTTTCATATATTGTGGAGCTGAGGGAAGTGGTGGTGGAAAAACAGATGGTTTTCTTGTTGGGAAATAAACTTTAAGGAGAGAAGAATATGTCCTTTGAGTTTATTCATAAGTCCACAAAGCTCTGCTTTCTTAGCCAAACACACCACACCCCAGGAACCTTCAGATACCAAATATTAGCATCTTTCCACCAGAAAGGCAGTGCTCAGTGGTAGCATGTCAAGATGGAAGAGAGGGACAATTTTTTAAAAACGGGGAAAGTTGCAATGCTGATGAGAAGGAAGAATGATGGAAGAATCTAAATTTGTGGGATTTATCTAAACCAAATTGCAAATATCACCAAGAACAGAAAATTAAGCAAAGATTCCTTACAAAAGCAAGTTGATGCTCCCAAAGCATTGGCTCTCAACCCCAGGAAAGCTAAGACCACTGGGGCCCTGGCTTCAAAGTTTCAAATAGAGACACTAGGTCCATCCCAAAGATCTGGGTTCAGTAAACTGGGGATAAGGCCCAGGAATCGGCCTTTTTAGCAAGCACCAGGTGTTTCTGCCATCACTGAGAAACACTGCCCCATCTGGGTTTGGGGAGTAGGAAACAAGGCCAGAGGAAGGCTAGAATAGAGACTCATTGGGTCTGCACAGCCCCGAGCTGCATTCATACTGGGCTCCATTCAGACACCCTCAACAACTCCTTGCCAGCTCCCACTCTGTTGTCTGCTGGCAAAACCCCAGCCCTGAATAAATTCCACTTCCTACAAACCCTAGCAGCTCACACTGTGGCTACAAAAGAAGACACACACAGCTGACTGGTCTCACTTTAACTTTCAGGCCACAAATTTCAAATCCCTGCTGATCCTTGGACTGAAGCCAATGCCCCCCTCCATGCTGGGGGACCCTGTTGCTTCTCTCCTGCTTGAGGACTTTGCTGATATATTTCTCCCCATTCTCTCCTATGTGAACAGCCTTTCCTTCTTTGCTGGATCATTCCTTAGGCCTATAGAGACTCATGGTAATATTTCCCAACACCTTCACACCCACATCCCCCTCCAGCTAACACACTCTTTCCTATGCCTCCCTTAGTGCAAACTTCCTTGAAAAAATTGTCTCTTCTTGCCACCTTCAATCCCTCCCCCAGTCATTGTCTTTGCTATCTTCTTCAGCAAGGCTTCCAATCCTCTACTCTACTGAAAGATCTCCTTCTAAGGTCCCATCCAATTCGTGTCACCAATCTGATGGGTCACAAGCGCTTTTCCTCCATAATTCTTACCTGTGCTGCTAGCAGCATATGGCACAGTTGATCACCCCCCTACCTTGTTGGAACGCTTTTATCACTAGACATCTAGGAACCTACCCTGTCCTGGTTTCTCTATCAACTCTTTGGACTCTTTTTTTTTTTTTTTCTACCAGATCTTCCTGACCTGTTGATATAGGAGGGCCCCTGGGCTCTGCCCTGGGTCTTCCTCTCCCCAACTTCTATCCTTACTGTCTTGATGACCTCATCCAGCCCTGTGGTTTTAAATACCATCTATATCCTCACCCCAAATTTATATCTGCTGCCCTGGCATTTCCTCTGAATTGCAGATTGGATTATCTAACTTCTCACTCAACATTGCCCTTTGAACATCTTTTCAGTCTTCTCAAACTTAATATGTGCTAACCAAATCAAATTCTCAATTTCCCTTTCTCACTCCCATTTTTAAAAGTATATGCTCCTCCCTCAGTGTTTTCCTTTGTAGCAAATGGCACCTGATTCACCCAGAGTTTCAGGCTAAAACTGTATCATCCTTAACACATCTTTTTCCCTCACACTTTACCTCCAATCTCACAGCACTTCCTGTGCAATTCCATGCTCCAACATCAAAATACATCTTAAATTTGACCACTTTTCACCACCTCCACCCAACACTGTGGCCCATCATCCTTCCACTGGACAACTCCAGGAGCTTCTCACCTCCTCTCCCTGTTTCTGCTCCCATGGTCTGTTCACACAACAGCCAGAGGGGCCTTCTCCATCATTGAGTCAGATCATGTCATTTCCTTGACAGACACTTTCTCATCACACTTGGAATCAAGTCAAAAGCCTTTATCAGGAACAGCAAACTCCCACTCCAGGTTCAGCCTGCCTGACAAACCCATCATCCACCACTGTTCTCCTCACTCACTCTACCCCAGCCCTTCTTGCTGTCCTTCAAACACCCCAAGCTGAGCCTCACCTCCATGCCTTTGCCTCCGTTCTACCTGGAAGACGTTCCTTTCAGCTTTCCCTTGGCTCCTGCCTGCACTTCATGTCTCAACACAAACGTCACCATCACAGAGGGCCTTCTCCTCCCCACCTCATTTTCTCTTCTTCCTTCACCTTGCTTTCTTTTTCTTCATAACGCTTAAAACTACCCCTAGCAGGCTGAATAACAGCCCCCAGAGATGTCCACATCCTAAACCCTGGAGCCTGTGAATATGTTACCTTACCTGGAAAAAGGGGCTTTGAAGGGGTGATTAAGTTAAGGATCTTGGGAAAGAGAGATTATCCCGGATTACCCACATGAGCCTGATGTAAGCACAAGGGTCTTTATAAGAGGGAGGCAGGAAGGTCAGAGTCAGAGGAGATGTGAGGATAAAAGCAGATGTTCAAGTGATGTGAGGAAGGGATGAGCCGAGGAACACGGGCTGCTTCTATAAGCTGAAAAAGGCAAGAAAGGGTTTCTCCCCGAGAAGTTCCAGAAGGAACATCCCTATGCCATCACCTTGATTTCAACTCAGTGTGACACATGTCAGACTGCTGACCTCCAGAACTGCAGGATAATACATTTGTGTTGTCTTAAGCCACTCTGTTTATGGTGACTTGTGATGTTAACAGCAGGCAACTAACACACTAACTGATGCTATATTAATATTTCATATTTTTGCTTAATATCCTTCCCTCCAAAGAATGCAGACTCCGTGAGGGGCAGAGACTTAGAGTGTTCTTTGAAGCATTTCCAGCACCTGAAACATGCTCAGGCAACATCTAGAATATTTATTGAATGAATAAACAACCACTCCGAGTTGGTTGGGTTTTTTTCAATGATGAAAGACAAAGAAGAAATTGGAGCTTGAAAATAGAAGTGACAAGCCAGGCATGGTGACTCATGCCTGTAATCCCAGCACTTTGGGAGGCTGGGTGGATCACGAGGTCAGGAGTTCAAGACCAGCCTGGCCAACACGGTGAAACCCCGTCTCTACTAAAAATACAAAAATCAGCTGGGCGTGGTGGCAGGCACCTGTAATTCCAGCTACTTGGAAGGCTGATGCAGGAGAATTGCTTGAACCCAGAAGGTGGAGGTTGCAGTGAGCCAAGATCGTGCCATTGCACTCCAGCCTGGGTGACAGAGCAAGACTCCATCTCGAGAAAAAAAAAAAAAGAAGAAATTAGAAGTGACTAAGGGCACCCCAGAGCCTCCAGTGTACTAAACCCACACTACAAGTCATGTATGCCTGGAATTCACAAGGATGTTTTTTTCACCTATGAGCTTAGATGACTCCAAAATCTTTTTGCCCCCTGCTCTCGTCATATCTGAGCTCATTAAATTGCTTCGGTGCAATTGCAAACTCCCACATCACAGTTGCTTCTCCTACCCCCATCCTTACCACCATATGTACTTATATAGGTCACTTCTGGCAAAATTAGTAAGTATGAACTAAGACTTTTAAATGACTGTGGCAGCACCCAAAGATGTTAAAATCAAATGCTCTCCTTCTTTTTTTTTAACTTCGGCTTCCACCTCTAGTATAAGAGAAGATGCTTCCAGAAGCACTTAAGAGAAATCACTCCAACTCTGTGCTCAGTTTTCTGCCACTTGCAATGTGTTTCTTGCTCATGAAACTCATGATGGCATTTAGCTCCTCCACGGACACATCTGAGAGATAACTAGGTGAACAACATTGTAACTCACCACCTGGAAAATTATAGACTCTAACCTCATGGCACATCTTGAAATTATCACAGACTCTTGTTTCCCAGTTATGGAGAGCTCTCCTCAAACTGTCTTACCACAGAATGGAATGTGCTGGCTCACATGACCAGGTGGCCCTGCAGGGGCACTAAGTTTAGGCATGATTTGATGGTCATCAAGGCCTGGCCCCTCTCCATCTCTTGACTCTCCCCTCGCTATGATTTCTCCATTCTCAAGCTCTTCATGATGTCAAGAGGGCTATCCTCTCTCTGACTTACATCCTTCCTGCTTCAAACCCGGAGGAAAAGAGAGCCATGCTCCTTCCTCAGCAGTTCTCTTTGCCCAGAACCAGGTCCCATGTCCATCCCTAATAATTACTGTAGCCAACAATGTGATGCCAGACCTGAACCTCACAGGCTGATCCCTGAAGCCGAAGGTGAAGTCAACATCACTTCATCTAAAACACATGAATTGCAATTGGAATTCTAACAAGAGTTCTAAGAGGAAAATCAGGTGCAATAAACAACAGAATTCTGGAGGGGTGGATGCGTGCTGACGAAACAAAAGATGAGATCTCCCTGCGAACATCTCAGACACATGGTCAATCAACTTCTGCTAGTTCACTGCAAGGAACAGGGAACTCACTATCTTATGAAAGCAATTTACTCCATCTTTTATCATAAATTATTAGAAAAATCTTCCTTACCTCAGGTCACGCATAACTTGCATGAACTATCACTGACTCTGTTCTCAGAACAATACAGGAGTGTATTCAGATACATGACAGCCCTTTAGATATTCAAAGGCAGTTTTCAGAATTCTCTCAAGCTTTCATTCCATAGGCAAAACATTCTGATTCCTTCAACTGTTCTAATGACATTTCACCCTTCTTTTTATGAGCTCTGACTTGTCAACATCTCTCTCAAACTAGAGCAGAACCATTACATCCATAGATCTTGACACTGTAGAGTCATAGCTCACATAGAAAGCGGACTGTAAAGTTAGCACACAAGGCAAAAACTGAGTATTACCTAAACTGCCCTTGAAAGGGGTGCCACTTTGTAGAACAGTATTATTACCTCTCAAGAAATCCAACATCTTCAGATTTCTCCAGTGCTAGATCACTGTCTTTAGTGGATCACATGATCAATTGCTTGCATTTAGGAAGCCATTTGCACTCTAAACTTGGCATTAAAATATGTATCTAACTACAGCAGAATCAGACTCAACACAGAGAAGTACATATACTTGGACAGGCACAAATGAAATGAAAGTAGCAAAGGGAATAGCAGATTAATAAACCTCAGCTTTGATTCAACCTAGGGCATACACTCATTGAGTGATAGGGCAAGCTAAATTCTCCCTCTCTCAATATCTCTCTCTCTCTCTCTCTCTATCCATCCCTCTCTAATCCAGCAGCCCCATCCATGTCCATAGACTAGAAATAAGACTTGATTATACCACTATTTATAAAATCTAAAAACATTATCTGGCCAGGCACAGTAGCTCATGCCTATAATCCCAGCACTTCAGGAGACCAAGGTGGGAAGATGTCTTGAGACCGGGAGTTTGAGAACTGTCTGGACAAATATATATACAATTATCCACATTGTATTTTATATGGCAGTCACTTTATATTAGCTTATATTAAACTTACTCTCAACCAGATTTCTAGGGTTTATAATCTTGTAGCAGAAGGCCAATTATCAAGTCAGTTCTCCCTAATACTCCATTTATATAATCAATTATTGAAATTTGAATATAGTGCCTTAATATTTACTTCTGTTCAATTTCATCCTGCTGATTTTACCCATGATTCTTATCTATGATGATCAATTAAGGATCCCAATTTCATCACACTGTGCATTTTTACCCTTCCCAGCTTAGTGCCAGGGATGGATCTGATGAACTAGAGTTCAATCCAGTGTTGCTAAAAGTATGGCCCAAAAGAGGAAAATCTGAGTACAAAGCCCTGAGACAACCCATCCACCTCTTCATTCTTACTTGCCAGATACAGTTGGTCACTCCAAAAAAGAAAAAAATCATCCTAGTCATATATCCGAAAGAGATGCTGCCAAAGTTCTGCTGAAACCCAGACTCACTGTGCATGTCACTCCCCAGAGCACCAGTCTCACAACCCCTCTAAGACTAAATGAGTTCTTTCTGGCATGACTCTTAGAAACCAAACTGAAGTGCACAAACTACTCCTTAATCCAATTGCTCATCACATTCTATGCAAAAACCCATTCCAGAATTTTGCTGCCAGCTGCCAGCAAGTGGAAAGCTGTTCTCTCTCTTTCATTAAGGTCCACTAAAAATTATTCTCCCAATACTGCGCATCAAGGTTGGATTCATTCTAGGAGAATACCGGGAATACTAAAGCTGGGGCTGAAGGAGCGTAACTATCATCTAGTCCATGATAGATTGTGTCCATGTCACCGATGATTCCCAGTCAAAAAATTAGACATCCTCACCGCTGTCTTGTGACTGTCAGTGCCCTCCTGTGGGAGGGGTATACACAGGGTCAACCCTCTATATTTATGGTCTGCATCCATTCATTCAACCAGCTGTGGATCACAAAAACAATAAAAACAATACAACAATAAAAAACATAAATTTTAAAATACAATGTAATGACTAGTCACCTAGAATTTACATAGTAAAACCATGTAACGCTCATAAAGACATTTTGGTCAATCACAGACCACATATATAAGGGTGGTCCATAAGATTATAATACCATATTGTTACTGTTTATTTTCTATGTCTAGCTATGTTCAGATACACAAATACTTACCATTGTGTTACAAATGCCAACAGTATCCAGTATAGTAACATGCTGCACAGGTTTGTAGACTAGCTGCAATAGGCTATCCCATATAGCCTAGGTGTGTACGAGGCTGTACCATCTAGGTTTGTGTAAGTATAGTCTATAATGTTCACACAATGACAAAATCACCTAATGATGCATTTCTTAGAATGCATTTCCATCGTTAAGCAATAATTGACTATATATGGTATTATAAGTAATCTAGAGATGATTTAAAGTATACAGGAGGATGTGCATAGGTTATAGGCAAACACTACGTCATTTTAAATCAGGAATTTGAGCATCCTTGGATCTTGGTATACACAAGGGGTCCTGGCACCAATGCCCTGAGGATATTGAGGGACAACGGTACTTCCCTACCCTGTTAATGGTAGGCTCAGCTGTGCGGTTTGCTTTGGACAAAGGGATGTGAACATACATGAAGTAGGCTTTGTTCAAGCAGAAGCTTTAAGAGCCATTGCACAGCTCAGCAAGCCTCCATCAGAGCTGCACTTTCTACCTGGGCCCACAATGAAGATTCTCAGTCATCAATGGAGACAGGCAGCTGACCCATGTCCACAGCTAACTCTAGCAAGAAATAGACCTTTGTTACTATTGACCACTGAGATTGGGGATCATTTGTTATCACTGCAAAGCTAATACATAGTCCATTCTTGACCTTCAAACATAAGGAAATCAAAGCCCTAAAACTTTAGATGATTAGCTTGTTAGCATAGTTATCAGTAGTTATCAGTAGATTTCATAGCTCTCAGTAGAACTTGAATTCAGGTCTCCTAATATTCAGGTCATCCACTTACCTTGCAATGAATGAACATGAAAATGTTATCAAAGAATAAAGGATAAAGCTCTTAAAGATAATGAGGAAGCCATTTTAATGATGTTACTATGGTCACCCTACTGATATTAATAGGAGACCTGTAAGATAAGAACTAAGACATATTATATGAGAATTCAGACATTCAGGTGTACCAGCCACATCTTAAAAATGGCAAAGTTCATTCGGAAGTTTTTAGTTCAATTGCCATCACAGTCCATGTACCCACCATGGACTTATCACTCTCAAAGATACTGGGTGCTCAGGTGGAAATAAGACCCAGCCTCTCTCCCTAGAAACCTGTAGCCTAGTCTGTCATTTTTACCGTGTGACCTGTGGAAGACCTATCCCAGAAAGTGCTGATTGTAAACACGTGGGTGCACTGTATATTATTTTCTCCTTTCTCAAGAATTCATGATGAAGTTAGTTTAATAAAGCTCTAAGAAGTCCTATGGTAGAAAAACCTGCTCAACTTTATTTAAGCCAGTAAGTATCTCACCAACTTATTTGACTGTGGAATCCCCATTTTGAATAACACCTTACATCCTGCAGAACTTGTGTTCCAAGTACAGCCTTATGGAAACAATACCCCAACTCTGCTCCCAGTGATACTTACCCCTTCACCCCAATCAGGCCAGTCATAAGAAGGATGCCACCAAGACACTGTCTTTCAAAATTGGTTAGACCTTGATTTCCCCTTTCTCTGGTCCCCTTCTTTCATTTTCACCAGTAAAATTACTTCATCTGGGCTTATGGGATACTGGAGGGGAATAGCTTGATGTAGATCCAGCACTAGTTCTGGGTAAGTTAATCTCTTGTTTCCCAGGAAGGAGCTTCCTGGAGCAGGCCAGGAGATGGGCCTATTTTGGTCCAGGCAGGTGGTAAATCACAGTGTGGAGACAGCTGCCCACTCCTCCTGCTGTCAGGCTGCCCTGGGAGATGTTCTCACTCTCCGCAGTCCTGCTGTTGCTCTTCTAGAATGTCACCCTAACCCTGCAGTGTTAAAACAGAGCTGGGGTAGGCAACTTGCCTGCATAATGTATGCAACCTCCCTTATTCACAACTTCTTCCTGTCCAGAGTCACAAGAATCCAAAGGTTGAAAGAATTCATGTTTAAAGCTTCTCTGGTCCAATACCCTCATTTTGCAGATGAGAAAACTGAGGCACTGAGAGGCTAAATGACATGCCCTAAGTCAGTAAAGAGTGACAATAGCCCAAGCTCTTGGGACCCCAAATTTAAGATGTTTTCCATTCTACAATGAATTGCCAGTGATAGCAAAGGGCTGGAAAGAAGCTATGCATGCACAAGCTGCTATGACATGAATGTACATGCATAAATGTGCACATGCTTTGAAAAAATACAAATGACATCATCCTTATGGTTCTGCATCTTGTTTTTGTTTTGTTTTTCACTTAATAATGTTTGAACATCTTCCCCATGGTTACAGATAAATCTATATCCTTGCAAAATTTTGGTCTCTCTATTTTGGCTCTTGTCTTCCCATCATCCATGCTGAGCACAGCAGTCAGAATAATCTTTTTAAAATGTAAATCAGATTCTATTACCTCCAGGCTTAAAAACCTTCAATGACTTCCCATTACTCCTATGATAAAGGCCAAACCACCCAACCCGATGTCTCAGGCCTTAGGTGACCTTACTTTTCACTGCCCCCTCCCTGGCCTCACCTCTGTACAGAAACACCAGGGTTTCTTTCATTTCTTTAAAGGAACCTGGCTTCTTCCTCCACCTCAAGGCCTCCTGGAATGTTCTTCCCTCTCATTAGAATACCCTTCTTGCATGCATGACATACATATACATGTGTGCACATATATACCTGTGTGCATGCTCACATTTACACATGCACCCACACACACGTATGGGTCTTCAAACTTCAGCTCAAACAGAACTTACTGCTTCTCCTGACCCCCTCCACTTCCCACCCAACTCCAGACTTCACCAGATCTGACATTACTCACTCTTGTAGCAGCAGCTAATTTTTCTTTAAGGCTTTATCCCAGTGTATGCACATATATATACACATTTGTAGAATTATTTGATGAACACATCTTCCCTGTGAAACTATGAGATCTCTAGGGAATGGCAGGTGGCTTGATGCATCATTGTATCCTCCACACTTAACCCAGTACCTAACAAATAGTAAATCCTCAATTAATATTTATAAAATGAATGAACAAATGGAAGTGCCAAAGCAATGAGTGCAAGTGGTATAGGAAATATTGTCACAGGAAAAGAACCCCCTTTCCCTGAATTAGTCTGCACCCTGGAATCAAGTGGGCAAGTACAAATTGCAGGCCTCAAACTCAAGTTTGAGAAGAATATCACATTCTTTATTATTTAAAATCAATTTGTTCCCGAAGAATGGAGATGGAGGGGTAAAGTCCTTATTGGAACACCCCATTCCCTCCCTCTCCCAGCTGCAAATAAGAACACAGTATAATTGTGTGATGGTCTGGAGACAAGACAAGGATCTGTAACCTCCAGCATATCATGAAACCCCTGACTCTTCTAGGTCCACATCTATGGTGACCCCTTGCATGGAAGGCCTACTCTTTTTTGATGCCCTGCATGGGACACAGAACTCCACTGAGACCCAGTTCCCCAGCCTCAGGGTCCCCAAGGGAGCACGAGCTGCCATCCCCATTGGGTCTCTTTATCCCCTTAGGCAGCTGCCACAGAAGGCTCACAGCTACCCACGGCCAGAGAGATGTCCACAGAGAGCAGAAAGTGCCACTCTTTGAGAATGTGCCTAGGAGATTCATCCCCTGGTCTCTACCCCAGGCTGCCCCTGCCCCAGACCTCTCTTCCCTTCCCATTCCAGAGAATTGCTCCTTGCCTCCCCTTTCCCCTCCACCAAGGACACCTAAGAGCATCTCTTCACAAGATCCAGATGAACCATGGGCTGCAGGCTGTTTCTGCTGACAAGAGTCCCTGAAGCAAGAAGCCCAAGCTACCTCATTAACATGGGGAGGAGGAAGGCAATGGAGGGAGCTCAAAAACACATTAATATTCCAATAAATCACAAACTATTGCTTCACATGTCATTCTGAAGCCTTTCACACCTCCAATTCCTGCCTGAGCCTGAGCCAACTGCCATGTGCAAAAAGGTTCCAAGGAGAATGGGAGGGAGTGAGGACCAGAGGAAAGGCAGGAACTTGAAGAGGGATTTAGGAGGACTAAAAAGATTCAGAGGCAGGATGGGAGCCATCTATTAGGACATGTCCCCAAAGCCTTCACTAGGAGACCCTTCTCCCTCCTCATGGTCACTGCTGCCCCCTGCCCCGCCTCTACTGCTTTTAAGGCACTCTTCTGAGACCTTGATGGTAGAACTGTTTATACTTACCTCCATGGGAATTCAATTGGATTTCATCTAAGGGGTGATGAGAATGGCAGGCCTCAAGAGCAGGACTCTTGCAAAGGGCGAGTGGTGAGCGGTGGGTGAAACTAACACTCCCAGTATTAGACTGCTAGGGAGAAGGGGGCACAGGCCCATTCGTCCCCAACTAATCAACCAGAATGATCTTCCCACCCCATGGGACACAGATGAGTGTCCCTGCCCACCCAAATCACATAAATGCATAAGCTGTAGCCTCAGCCCTTGGAAGCCAAGCCAAGGGGCAGACTGTGAGCCCAGAGCCTGAAAATAGAGTTAATCCTACACTCTCGAGTCTGGACCTCCCCATCCACAAAGCTTTCACCTGAGCCCAGCTGATATCTCCAGCAGCTCCCAGCCCTCCCAGGAAGACCTTCCCAGCTCCCACTCTGGCGCCAGCCCTTGGGTGAACCGCAGGTGGCTGGGATGACTTATTTTCTTAGCTGATCGGTAGCAGCAGCCCAGCTGGCTCATACCTCAAAGGCAGGAATTCCTCCTCTAGCTCATCAGCACTAATTTGTGCCAAGGAGCCAGGGAGGGGACAGACTCTGACCTCCCACAGGCCCCTGCCTGGCACCTGGTCCAAGGCTCAGGCTGTAGTCAATGGAGCCACTGATTACACATGACCTCACGAGCTCAGTCTGCGGTATTATCGGAGTCGGGTATCTCCTTACCACAGGCCCTGCTTGGCCAAAAGTCTCTACCTGGATCCTGGTGGTGATAAACAAGGTAATTGTGAGGGTCTCACCTCACCTTGTTTTAGACAGAGATGAGAAACCCAGAGGACTAAATACCAATGGCTGTGTCGGCCCTCGATGAATGCACTGAGGGGGAACACGTGGCTTTGTATCAATAAATATCAACTGTATGGCATTCTGGAACCATTGAGGTTCTGTGGGGGATACAGACATAGTTTTGGATACTCTCCACATGTAACTACAGCCTAGGTGAAGAGACCAAACTAATGCAATGAACCGTCTTCATCCGATAAGCATTTACTGAGGCCAGGCATGGTGGCTCACACCTGTAATCCCAACATTGGGAGGCCGAGGTGGAAAGATTGCTTGACCCCAGGAGTTTGAGACAAGCCTGGGCAACATAGTAATACCCCAACTCTCTATATTTTTTAAAAAGAAAACATTTACTGAGCACCTACTCTGTGCTAGTCACTGTGATGGAACAACAGCTGTGTTGTCCAAGAAGCCCCTGCCTTCCTGGAGGTTATATTCTCATGAGTGCAACAAGAAATTAACAAGTAATTCATGATAAAGTATAATGGATATTAGTGCATGTTGAGGAATGCAAAAAGAGGGGAGCTTCAATCAGAACATGCTATTGAAAAAAAAAAGGCTTTTTGGGGAAGGCAGAAGGAAGAGGAAGGAAGACACCCATGTTTCACAGGCTTGGAGGGCAGACCATGCATAGACACACCATCTCAGAAGCTAGTGCAGAAATTGAGATGTGAACAGCTCCTCATGTTCAAACCCCAGCTCCACTACTTGCTATTGATCTTGGACAACTTTCTCACTTAGTGCCTCAGTTGTACCATCTATAATAAGATGGTGATAATAATAGTGCCTATCTTATAAGGTGGCTGGGAGGATGAAATGAGTTAATTAACACAAGGAAGGCTCTTACTTAGCAGAATAAGTCTTCAATATGCAACCACTGATATTGTTGTTATTATGACCAGAGCTTAGCTGAAGGTAGAACAAGGGAAATCATAACAAAAGCCTGAATCCAAGTCATCCTGATGGAACAAAGTCATGGGACTTGGTGACAGGCTATGTCCTGGTAACTGAGAAGGAAGAAGAACCAGCATGGATTCTCTCATTGTTGATGAACAGAATGGAAACTGCAATAAGCCCTGAATTAGGACACCGAAAGACCTGTCTTGCTTTCTGGCTCTGACATTTGGTAGCAGGGTAACATTGGAAAATCACTTGAGACTCTTTGCCTCAGTTTTCACATCTATAAAATGGAGAAAACATTGGCTGCTCTGCCAACCATACAGGGTCATACCTCAAAGCAAGCAAAAAAGTGAGTGTGATGGCCTTTTAGTCACATTGCGAAGTGCTACTACCATCATGGGAATTATTATTATCCTAAAGGTTGTAGCTTGGGAAAACAAAAGTACATGCTTCATACTGAATCTCCAATGATGATAAAGAAATTCTAGGCCTCTTTTCTTCTTTTATTTGCTTTTTAAATTTCTGAGGCTGTGCTTCTTAAACTCCTGTGCGTACAAAATACCTGGGGATCTTGGTAAAATGCAATCTGATTCAGGAGGTCTGGAGAGAGGCCTGGGTCTCTGAATGTCAAACAAACTCACAGGTGAGCAGTTCACTGCTGCTGCTGGTCCACGGACCACACTTTGAGTAGCAAGGTTCTCTAGCAGACCATATAGAAAAAGTGGTCATATTCCTCAGGGTGAGCTGACAGAGTAGACAAAGGGGAGAGGTGTTCAGGATCCACAGCTGTAGGGGCCCAACAAGCTGCCCCCCACCTGCCTTTATTGACAATCATTCTGTGTGCTTGCTAAGTATCAAGCACCATGCTAGATGCTTGGCAAATATTTGCTAATATAATCCCTGCAATATCCCTATGTAACTGATACTATTATTGTCCCTATTTTACAGATTGAAAAAAACTAAGGCCCAGAGAGGTTAAATTATTTGCCCAAGGTCACACAGCACACAGTCCTTCTACCTCCAACTCCAGAGCTGAGCCCAGAGCAGAAGGTAATAAAACACAGCACATTCTGTGATCAGCTCCCACTCCAAACCACAGAGCAGAAAATCAGCTGCTGAACATACACTCCTGAAGGCTGAGTCATTCCATGGCAATGGCCTAAAGAAACAGTCCCAGATCTTCCTTGGTTCCTGTCCCACCCAACCTTCCTCTCGCTTCCATTCTGTGAGCTACCTAGAATCTAATAAACCTCTTCTTTTTGCATATCACAGGGTTTTAAAGCTTTGGCTCTGGAGCCGGACTGCCTGGCTTCCCATCTTGGCTTCACCACTCACTAGTTACTTAACTGCTCCAAGGTTCAGTTTTCTCATCTGTAGTGTAGGGATAAGAATAGTACCGACTCCACAGTGTTGAAGAGAACTAAATGGGATCATGCATGTTGAGCCCTTAGCCCAATGTCCTATACACAGCACAGGCTCTATAGCTGCTTCTAGTATGATTATTAAGGTAAAAGTAAGAGTAGGTTTGTAGCCGCTGTTATGTTAAATCAGCCCACCACACCCCAGCCACCTGACACCCTCCCTGGATGCCTTGAGAGGCCTCCAGGGTTTCAGGGCTTGGGCAAGCGTGAGTGATTCGCACTCTGGCAGGAAGTTCCAGGCTATTGCACCTGCCAGCAGTGCTCGACTCTCCTTCTCGTAGAGAATGGGGAATGTGTCACATTTATGGGGGCCCTTTATTGCACATCAGGGAAGCGCTTTGCACAAATGTTTGGATCAAGTTTTCATGACTCTGGCCCCAGGCCTGCTATGAATCAGTCTTGCAGTCCCAGCTTACTCACTCCAGAGATGGTCCTGAGGCTGTGGTTTCCATCTCTGCCTGCCTCCCACCTCTCCTTCTTCCACTCCTACCTGCTGTCACCAGCCACCACCTTGAATCCCCCAGGAACCCAGGACGAAAGAGATGTGGGGTGATGTGAATGACAATTGCCACGCTGGCCCTCCAGGATGTGTTAACTGCTGTTAAAAGATACTCCAAGTCATTATTGTAACATTATGAGGACTGAGCTGATTGCCGCTAATCTCAGACTCCCCTTGTGTTCCTAATGGAGGGGAGCCGCCTTGTGTGAAAAATCCCATTTTGTGTCACTCTTCTAAAATTTCATTTAAGAAAAATAGGGGCAAAATGTGATATTCAGCAATGGAAAATGAGTAAGATAAGGATTTAAGTACAGAGCAAGTGAATCACAAAATAGAACTTCGTGCAGTCAGGTAAGCACTGAAGAGAGCAGACACACAGGAGGAGTGAAGGGGTAGAGGACATCAAATCGCCCTTCTGATCCACTTTCACCACCTCTGATGACATCAGCAAGAAAGTCTCTTTTTGTGTTAGTGTGTCTTTAACACCCTTGGACACAAGACAATCTCCCTTTGTTAACAAACGGAGAGCAGGCCCACACCAATAGGCAAACAGCACAGCTTGCTTGGGTTAAAATCCCCGCTAAGGCACACAGGCACTCTGTGACCTTGGAGACGTTAATAAACCTCTCCACGGCTCAGCGTCTTCCTCTGTGAAATGGGGTTAATAGTAGTCCTTCTTTCATAGATTTACCGTGGGGATTCAATGAGTAACTTCACAGGAAACAGGTTTGTCACTCTGCTGATGTGAGCAACCATTACGTGGCAGCTGACAGTATCTGAATTGAATATAATTGCTTTGTTCTCATTGTACTTATTTTTAGGATTATTTTCTAGTTAGGGAACGTGATACTGGTTTTTCATTTTTAATAGCAATACAAAGTATATTTGTAAGAGATGTACTTAAAGTCACCCAAAAATAGTATATTAACAATAGAACAGATAATATGAGGTTGTGGCAAAAATTGTGAAAGTGGTACTTGAATAACTAAATTTTGGGAAGCCTGATCCTGTCTAATTTACTCATTTTACAAATGCAAACCTGAGGCCCAGAGAGGGAAAGTGAATTCCCAAAGGTCACACAGCAAGCTAGCAGCAAAGTGGTTCTAGAATTCAGAACCCAGCTGAAAGTTTTACCTAACACACTGTATTCAGGTCACTCAAAATAATAAGAGCTGTCTAAGACAAACCCACAGTCAATATCATACTGAATGGGCAAAAACTGGAAGCATTCCCTTTGAAAACTGGCAAAAGACAGGGATGCCCTCTCTCACCACTCCTATTCAACATAGTGTTGGAAGTTCTGGCCAGGGCAATTAGGCAGGAGAAGGAAATAAAGGGTATTCAATTAGGAAAAGAGGAAATCAGATTGTCCCTGTTTGCAGATGACATGATTATATCTAGAAAACCCCATCATCTCAGCCCAAAATCTCCATAAGCTGATAGGCAACTTCAGCAAAGTCTCAGGATACAAAATCAATGTGCAAAAATCACAAGCATTCTTATACACCAATAACAGACAAACAGAGAACCAAATCATGAGTGAACTCCCATTCACAATTGCTTCAAAGAGAATAAAATACCTAGGAATCCAACTTACAAGGGATGTGAAGGACCTCTTCAAGGAGAACTACAAACCACTGCTCAATGAAATAAAAGAGGATACAAACAAATGGGAGAACATTCCATGCTCATGGGTAGGAAGAATCAATGTCATGAAAATGGCCATACTGCCCAAGGTAATTTATAGATTCAATGCCATCCCCATCAAGCTACCAATGACTTTCCTCACAGAATTGGAAAAAATTACTTTAAAGTTCATATGGAACCAAAAAAGAGCCCATATTGCCAAGTCAATCCTAAGCCAAAAGAACAAAGCTGGAGGCATCACGCTACCTGACTTCAAACTATACTACCAGGCTACAGTAACCAAAACAGCATGGTGCTGGTACCAAAACAGAGATATAGACCAATGGAACAGAACAGAGCCCTCAGAAATAATGCTGCATATCTACAACAATCTGATCTTTGACAAACCTGACAAAAAGAAATGGGGAAAGGATTCCCTATTTAATAAATGGTTCTGGGAAAACTGGCTAGCCATACGGAGAAAGCTGAAACTGGATCCCCTCCTTACACCTTATACAAAAATTAATTCAAGATGGATTAAAGACTTAAATGTTAGACCTAAAACCATAAAAACCCTAGAAGAAAACCTAGGCAATACCATTCAGGACATAGGCATGGGCAAGGACTTCATGTCTAGAACACCAAAAGCAATGGCAACAAAAGTCAAAATTGACAAATGGGATCAAATTAAACTAAAGAGCTTCGGCACAGCAAAAGAAACCACCATCAGAGTGAACAGGCAACTTACAGAATGGGAGAAAATTTTTGCAATCTACTCATCTGACAAAGGGCTAATATCCAGAATCTACAATGAACTCAAACAAATTTACAAGAAAAAAACAAACAACCCCATCAAAAAGTGGGCGAAGGGTATGAACAGACACTTCTCTAAAGACATTTATGCAGCCAAAAGACACATGAAAAATTGCTCACCATCACTGGCCATCAGAGAAATGCAAATCAAAACCACAATGAGATACCATCTCACACCAGTTAGAATGGCTATCAAAAAGTCAGGAAACAACAGGTGCTGGAGAGGATGTGGAGAAATAGGAACACTTTTACACTGTTGGTGGGACTGTAAACTAGTTCAACCATTGTAGAAGTCAGTGTGGCAATTCCTCAAGGATCTAGAGCTAGAAATATCATTTGACCCAGCAATCCCATTACTTGGTATATACCCAAAGGATTATAAATCATGCTGCTATAAAGACACATGCACATGTATATTTATTGCGGCACTATTCACAATAGCAAAGACTTGGAACCAACCCAAATGTCCAACAATGATAGACTGGATTAAGAAAATGTGGCACATATACACCATGGAATACTATGCAGCCATAAAAAATGATGAGTTCATGTCCTTTATAGGGACATGGATGAAGCTGGAAAGCATCATTCTCAGCAAACTATCCCAAGGACAAAAAACCAAACACCGCACGTTCTCACTCATAGGTGGGAATTGAACGATGAGAACACATGGACACAGGAAGGGGAATATCACACACCGGGGACTGTTGTGGGGTGGGGGGAGGGGGGAGGGATAGCATTAGGAGATATACCTAATGTTAAATGACGAGTTACTGGGTTCAGCACACCAACATGGCACATGTATACATATGTAACTAATCTGCACGTTGTGCACATGTACCCTAAAACTTAAGGTATGATTTTTTTTTAAAAAAGGTACCCCTTGAAGTGAGTGATCACTTCTTTGACGTCCTGGTACTGGAGCTATTATTATGGAAATCCTCAGCTACAATGAGCCACTTCACTTTTTTTTTAAAAAAAAAAAAGGAAATAATATCATTTTCAGGGTTTTCAAAGAATTCAGGCAAGGAGCAAAAACAATTCAGAACTCAGGATACTGTTTTCTTTGAAGCATGTGTAAGATATGCCTTTTGGTTCCTAAGTTTTCTTCATAAAAGCATATTCAGGCTAAAACAGAAAATACTGTGATGACTTTTTTTCATAAAAGCAGAAAGGGCAGGCAAGAAAGCATTTGTTTCATTGGAGGACAAAGTATGAATTTATGTGGTCCAGTGTAACCATAGCATAACAAGATTACATCGCGGGGGTAAAATCAGTCCAGTGGCAATTGGAGAGCAAAAAACAAATTGCTCTCCAGCCCTGTCTGAGTGGTTCCTGGCTTCAAAACTGAACAATAAATTCCCAACCCTTTCCAGTTCTTTCTTGTTAGTAGGCAGGGCTGGGGGCCTTTTAATTTCCAACTTTCTTTAAATATTGATTACTTGTAAGTGCACTAGAGACCAGGCTGTGGGCTTAATTCTATTAGTAGGAATGAATAACCACCTCCGTCCAGCACCTGCTGCAATGAGCAATGTATTAAACTTCTCCACCTCTGAAGAGGTTCTTCTTTCCTTTTAGGAATATCGAATTCGTGTCTTATGACTAGAATCTGGGCAAAATGGAAAAATTTGAGGTGAAACCAGGAAAAGAGATCTACCTAGGAGTTATCCAGTGACTGTGAGTGTTCTCCCCTCGATGTATTTCCCACCCCTTACTCTATATGAGGATCACAAATGTGGAAGTCTTCAGCGGCTAGGCAGGGAATGGAAATGGAGGGAGCTGTCTAGGGAAAGTGGGGACCTGGAGCATGCCTACCTCTCTAAAGGGGCGGCAGCCACTCAGCTGCAGTCACCTGTCGCCTTGTGATGTAGGCCCAGTATTGCCAGATATTCTCATCACTAAAGAAATGCCAGAAACCTAGATTTTTGTAAATTGCTCTGATTTTTAAATGCCAGTGACTGGTTTGCTTTTTTCCAAAATTCAGTGTAGGCTCAACACAACCATCAGAGTGCGGCTTCAGCCTGCAAGCACCTCTGCTCTGTCCCTTCCCCTAAGCAGTCTTGCTCTCTCTGATCTCCAAATGCCAAGCATGAGCAATGACTCACCAGTCTCCACTCCAGCCTGACCCCCACCGGAGCACTACATCTGCACTTCTCAGCTAGCACCCACCTCCTGGTTTGTGTGTGTATGTGTGGGCTTTTTGCTTTGTTTTTTGATTTTTCTTTTTTGCCAACATTTAAGGCATTGATGAAGAAGAAGGAGCCAGTGAAGGAAATAGAGGAAAGGAACCCAGTTGATGGCATCCAACATGGCAGAGAGGTCAGGATGGTCCCTTGTTCTTCTTGGTCATGGTGCCTGGTTCACAGAAGGTGCTTAATAAATCTTTGTGAACAAATGACAAAATGAGGGAATAAAGTGAAAGACAAATGGAGTCACTGTGTAGTCCATAAGGAAAAATGACCAGGATCTGAAGCAGAAACTATTAGCCACTGAAATTGAATCAACAATGGAGAAACCAGAGCTTATAAAGTCAGAGGTCCAACTAGGAGAGAAAAGAAAGGTAGAGAATTTAAAATCCCACAGCCTGAGTCAAAGTTGGGATGTATCATCTGGAGACAGAAAGCCTGAATTTGAATCATTGCTCTGCTAATCAGTAGCCACAAGACTTGGGGCAAGTCATGAATCCCACTGGGTGTTGGTTTCTACATCTGAAAACAGGGACTGAGATTTTCTAGCTCCTGGAGGTTATTGGGGGAATCAAATGAAACAGTGGAACTTAAAATGCTTTGCAAACTGAAAGACACCCCAGAATGGGGAGAGGGGAACAGGAGAGTCAAGTCACGTAGAAGGCGGTGAGTCAGAAGGACGGTGCAGAGCCAACATGTCTCTTGGGCTGTCTGCATCATTTAACTTGTCAAGATGGCTGTTGGCTTTGCCCTTGGCTTGGGTCACCCTGATTAACAGGTGCCTGGCCAGCTGGAAGTTTGACTCTGACTAAGCTGACTGGACGACTGAGTTGGGAGGAGCTCCTTAACTTGGCCAGTGATGGAAGACAGCTAAGACAGCAGCCAAAAGAAAAAGCAACCTTCCCCATCCAGCCCAAGGATGACTGGATTATCTGTGAAACTCATCCGACAATCTGTCTCCAAGGGTACACATGAAACAATCCTTCCAGGGCCTCATTGTTAGTGGAGAGGGTGCACCAACAAACAAGCTCATTCAGGGTGTGAATTATTTGTGTTCATAGGATGCAAGTTTACACAGCTCCATTAACAAAAATTACATCTGGCAATCACTTCTAAACAAATGCAGTGACTGTGGTTTTAAGTAGTGAGCTAGACAATAAAATGGAGCAGCTTCCTCAAGCCTGCTAAGTAATTCTCTCCTTGACCTCAGCAGCTGGAAGCTCGATAAATGGTTAAGAATGTGGGCTCTGGAGACAGATAAACCTGGTTCAAATCCTAGCTCTGTCACCTTGGGCCACTTAACCTCTCTGAGTCTCAGTTTCCTCAACTCTAAAATGGGAATAATAATAGTAGCTACTTTCAAGAAAAGTTGTTAGGATTAAATGAGATGACCTTTTCAAGAAGCTAAGCACAGTGCTTCTCTCAAAGAAAGCAGTCCAAAAATGATAGATAACACATTTGCTCCTATGGTCACTCCAGAATTTCATTGTAGATCTAGTCTCTTACTTGCTGGGATTTGGAGGATTCTAGACTGTTAAAGATGTGAACACCATTGAATTAAGACTATTTAGTACAAAGAGTTTATTTTCTTGGGGCCTGAGGGCATCTTGAAGGCCCATAAGAAACTTTTTGGGAAGACATAGAGGACCCCAAATTTAAAAAGTTCTAGGCAACCTGTGAGCTCTTCAACTAGAAAGGCTCCACTCTGACCTGTTTTTTTTATACAGGAGCTGTATGTACCATTTTGTTTGATGAACTGTTTTTTACTAGTACAAATAAGTCAACCTCTTCATTGTACAAAGAGAGAAGCTGAGGCCCAGAGAGAAGCTGAGGCCCAGAGAGAAGTGACTTGACCAAAAACACATTGTGAATACGTACCAGACACAGGACTGGGTTTTATGTCTCCAAATGTTTGTTAAGCATAAAAAAATTAGTTTAATTTATTAACTATTAGATAATTAATATTCTCAGTACAACCATTCTATCTTTAATTAGATCAATGTTACACTCCTTCCAACATGCTTCTTCTCCTTTGAGACATAGACTAAAAAGATCTATCTTACATCCAGACACATGGAGAGCTTCACTTAGGCACACATATACCTTGTACCTAGGAGCTGCTGTACAACCCAAGAACTTTCACATTCTGTTATTTTGCTTTTGCTTTTATTGTCAAAATGGTTCATAGAAGAGCAAACCAAGACAAATTCAAAGAGATCGGGACAAAATAAAGAAGGAGGGAGAAAAGAGAATCCATGAAATCCCAAATTAGGTGAGTTCTGTATATGTACAATGTCTAGTTCCTAGGAAAACCATTAAATTATCATCCTCACATCCTCACATGCAACCTCAGAGCTGGCAGCTATTGAGTGTTTATCTGAACCAGGTTCTGTGCTTAACATATCACACCTGTTTGTTTTTTCATCTAGATCTCTCAAGAACTCTATAAGGCAGGTATTACTATTCCCATTTTACAGATGAGGAAAGAAGAATAGAATTAAGTAAGTAGCACAAGATCACAAGGCAGGGACAGAGCCAAAATTTGAATTCAAATCAGCATAACTCCAGAGCTCTTGCCTTTAACCATGGATTCACCTACAGCCACATGTAACTTACACGAATTGAACTAGATATATTCAAATAAACAATCAAAACAAGTAGAGAGAGAAAAACAAGTGAACAGAGTACATGATCCCACCTGTCCTTCCTCCCTCTGACCATGGACCTTAAGATGAGTGCCAGACTGAATATGTACTTTGATGGTCCATACACAGCCACACACACACATCATCACCACCACATGCAGAGAGTGACTCTACGGTTTAAAGACATACTTTAAACACTTTACTAAGTGTGAGCCAGCTACATCATCTGAGGCTCCAAGAAGCCGTAGTGATCTGGTCCAAGGTTGGGAGAAAAATGACTGCATTCTATCAGTCTCCGACAAGAGCAAGGAAGCCCTTCAGAGGGACATTCAAGGGAAATTTTGACCACACCGTTTTTCTCCTTAGGTGTTCACTTGAGACCTCCCTTAGGAGTTGTGTATTCTGTCTCTGGACTGAAAAGGAGCCTAATGGGGAGGCAGGAAAGCCAGCTTCTGGCCCTCACTCTGCCACCACACTAGAGTGAGATATCTTCTGTCTGCCAAAAGAGGATCACTTAGGGAGCCAAATGATTAAGAAGCCCTCACTTGGTATGTGGGTTTCTTCTCCGAGGGCTGCGGGAACTGGGTTACACCAAGTTGATCTCTACGAGGGGACTGTCCAGACACTCAGGAGATTCCACATCTCACACGGAGGACATCTACCAGTACCTCCCCCATTTCCAACAACTCCATGTTTTTATAGTGCTTGAGGCAATCCTCTCCCTGGGTCTATGGGGGAATAAAAAGGGACAGCCTCTTGGCCTGGAGGCACAATTGCAGCTGGCCTGGGGCTCAGACCTAGACTTGGAAACAAGGACAGGCTGCAGCCCCTCTCCATCCCAATCAGCAACCCCTGCCCATTCCCAGCAGCTGGCCACTTGATCATTCACAATATCAATGACAGAAGAAGGTGGCAGGAGCCAAGAGAAAAAAGGAAATCCTTTCCAGCCAACTGCAATCTGAGCTGTCCAATCCAGAAGTTTATATTATTAAAAATAAAAAGGGAAATGAAAAAATTGACCAAATGTAGTTATAGGGAGGCTGAGATGGCACATTGCAGGGCCTCTTGGTAAAAGATGAGGACTTCTTCTCTCAGCCAGTGGGTTTTGTCTTTATCATGTCAAACAACCATTCTCAATGGCTTTGTTTTCTTTAAAGGAATTGACCCATTTTATTCAAACAAATAGACCAGTTGTTTGAGTGCCAGGCAATATAGCCTTCATATTCTTCTGCAGCTTAGCAAAGTTTCTCAAATAACAGCTTTGCATGCCCGTCTGGGCTGAAGAAACATACAACTTAATCATCTAGGGCCAAGAGCCAATGTGACTGTTGGAGGAGAGAATCAAATGTAACTGTGTGGAATGAAGGTCCACGCTCTGTGGAACTCAGTGGACAGCAATGCCCTTTGGAGCTGGACCCAACTACAGTAGTTAGACCCTCGCCCAATGGAATTTCACCTGCAAGTACTGAAAGGACCTAGAAACAAACACTCCTAGACCTAACTGTGCTGCTGCTTGCATTGCACTTTGTAGCACAATAGCCCCTGACTTCTGTGGTCTGCTCGTTGGAGAGGGCCCTCTCCCTCTAACTAGAGGGCTGCTCTGTAGGTCAACCTGTTTAGCTAGGGCTCAGGAAACCAAGCCCCATCCTGACTCCAAGGCTAAGATAGATAGCCATTTGCTACTAGTACCTTTATTCTCCAGTTTTAGGGAGGGATGGATAGGGGTGTGTGTGTGTGTGCGTGTATGCACATTTAATATTACTATTGTATATATGCATATATATCATATGCATACTTCACTGTTATATAACCCAAGAACCTTCCTCTGCTATAACTCACTTTTATTCTCAAATTGGATTGTAGGTAAGTCTTTTCTTCTCTTTCCAGGTTATAATTTACTAGGCCAGAATTTTCTCTTGTATCCCTACATTGAGAGAATGCCAATGGATCTTAAAAGAAGAATCGTAGAGATCCATTTTCCAGTCCAATGCTTGGCTCCCCACCCAGAGCCCAGTACAAGACTGGCTCACAGTGGCACTCGGTAAATGTCTGGCAACTCAATCAAGAGGTTGGTCAAAAGGCTGACTGGGGTTTGCCCCGCTCAAAGGCAGCTTCAGGTTCTTGGCTCTATGTCCTTGATTAGGCTAGAGCTAGAGAAGACCCCAGCCATTATCTAATAAACACATGCACACACAAAATTGTAAGCTCTACAGGACAGGTTAGCATGTCCCAGTCCCTTCAAGGGCCAGCCCCTGAGCCAAGGATACAAGCACCAGTAGTTCATTTGGGAGGTGATCCCAGAAAGCACCAGTAGGAGATTTGGAAAGTAGGATGGAAAGGAAGGCAGCCAAAACATGATGTGTTAATGGGCAACTGAGTCATATTCCCAGTGGGGACCTCTGGGTGACAATGTAGCACATGCCTCAGAGTTGTCCCTACCAAGGAATATTTTCTACCAACTTCCATCTGTTAACTGAAGGCTTCTCCTGCAGATCTCAGTCCCTAGCACCCCCAGACTGCCCTGAGCATTGGCCAAGCATGCTGAGAAAGCCCTGGGGCAGAGTCCTGGGTGCATGCAGCAAGAAGCTGGGGAGTAAAGGAAAGTTGAGTCCCTGTGGGTAGGAGCAGGGCTATAAGAGCAGCCGACACAGCTGGAATCCCTGGTGCCTATAGCAGTGCCTGGAACATAGCTGGTGTCAAAAAAACAAGTTACATAAATGAATGCATTCATTCCATTTGTTTTACAAAACTTTTTAAAATTATTTTTTTAAAGGGGGAAACTTTCTTCAAAGGAAATATTATGAACAAAGTTCAAAATGTAGAAGAGATTAAAGAAAGTTGCCTGATCTAAGGACCAAAGCCCTGTCTCCTCCTTCCACTATCTACAGACACAGGTGAGGAACATCCAGGGTGCCTCAGAGCACAGGGTGGAAAGTCCTGGTCTAATTCATTGGCTTCATTTTACAAACAGGACTATTGAGTGCTCTGTCTCTGGTTCACCAGTGTGAACCCCAGTGGATATTAGCATGCTGTCTCAGTCTATTCTCCAAAGCTGAAAACCACGAGTTAGTGCTGAAAATCAAAGGTAGCCTGGGAGAGTTGGCCAGTGAGGGTGGGCACCACCCCTGGGCTTTGGCTCAGACTGAGTAAGAACCTCCCCTGGAAGCACCTGGGAAGCCCTGGCTGAGGACTGGGACGTTCTTCCCCAAGACTGGAGGAAAGGAAGAAGCATTATTGCAAAATCATGACACCTCAACTGTCTCCAGGAACACAAGCCATTAAGTCCGATGTCACTTGCATCCCATTGCTCCAGAAGCAAACTTAGTAGCTGAGGGGGTTGTCAGCACCATCCGTTGTCACTCTCACAGAAGCTGCTTTTCACAGCTGCCAGAGGGACTGTCATCTTGGACACACATGTGTGGAATTGAGTCCCCTTGTCCCTGGGAAGATTTGCTGGGTAAACACATCTTGAGGGGGTGGTGGCTGGGAACAAAAATCCTGAAGAAATTAGAAACACAAGTTTGTGCTACAAAGCCAAGTTTGAGGTCACTAAATTAGAATGTACACTCATGGACAGGGAGAGAGAGGTGGAAAGAAAGATATGCGTTCACCTCCAGGAGCTGGACATCTTGGGCTTCCTGTGGCAATGTTTGGATCACACACATGGTATTCACCCCCCTGGGTCTAGGTTTCTTGCTGTGAACACTGAAAACCCCAGGCCAACTGCCTTCCCTCTGGTCTTGACATTATCTGGACATCAGGTGAGGCAGCCAAAGTTCACCTCCTAGTTCTATGGATGCAAGGGGAAACATATCCCTTCTTCGGTCTCTTTGGAGCACCCGGCATTCCCTCTGCTGACAAGAAAAAGAAAAGAAATAATAAAAATGGTTTGGTGTGAACCCCAGTGGATATTAGCGTGCCGTCTCAGTCTATTCTCCAAAGTCAAAAACTAATGGATCATTCCACCTAGGACAACTTGCCCCCTCTCCTCATCTTACAGATGAAAATGTGAGGCCCATAAAAGAAGTGACTTGCCTAAGATTGCAGTTATTTAATAAAAGATCTGGAACTAAAATGCCAGTTTTTTCTAATTCCTGGTCCATCACCTCTTTTTCTAAACTAATTTTAAATAAAATCTACCTTTTGTTGTTTTAGCTCTGCTTTTCTCCCCCTTTTCCTTTCTTTGTTCCTTTAAAATTTTTTTAAATTTTTTAGCTCTGTGCCTGACACATAGACTTTCATTTAATATTTGTTGAATAAAGTATTGTATGAATATATAAATGAATCTCCCTTCTGAGGGAAAGTTGGGGCTTCTTAATTTATTATATTTTATTTATATGAGATGGCATTTCACTGTGTTGTCCAGGCTGGTTTCAAACACCTAGGCTCAAAGGATTCTCCACCTCAGCCTCCCAGGTAACTGGGATTACAGGTGCACACCACTGTGCCTAGCAGGACTTTTCTTTTTAATCCACTTGTCAGTCATCATAGATCTTTCAAACGGTACACACATAAGCATGTTGGATAAGCTGTGTTCTTTATAGAAAGTTGAGATTGCTAGATGCAGTTCAGGGTTCAGAATAAGAAGGGGTGATAAAAAGTGAGCAGCATTTGGTTGCAATTGAGAAGACTGTTGCAGTAACACCTCCTTGGAGCATTCTCAGATCCTTGTCCACGGCCCAAGGCAAAAAGAAGTTCAAGAGCTTGCCTAGTGGTGGGCTGAAATTACTTCCAATTCCAAAATTCTGTAATTCATCACATCAATTGACCTAAAATCAGGATATCCCTGCTGCTGGCTATAATCGTATCTATACCCTCAAAACACTCAACCTGATAAGGTGATTTATGAAATCTTGTTTTTTCTGTCCAAAACAGCCACAGTGATTTCCACCTAAGAGAGAAGCCTCTGGACATTAGAATGTCTCTGGCGCAGCCTGAGCTTGTCTCTCTCGGCTTTATCTACTTATCCTTAGCACTTAAACATTGCAAACCCAGCAATAGGTTTCATCTTTGTTTGTTTGGATTTTGCTATTTACTAACCACTCCTTTTTCCCCCAATAAAACATGCTGACTGCAAACACAATTTTTTTTCAAACAGCACAGACACTAACAATGAAGAAAATTAAAATAGCTTTTAGCTTTTTTATGAGCACCCTTCCTTTCACTTCCCTGACTCCATCACCCAACGTTTGAACCTCATCCTGGTGCTCTCAGCGCTGAGCACCACCTTTCTCTTTTTTTTTTTTTTTGAGATGGAGTCTCGCTCTGTCATTCAGGCTGGAGTGCAGTGGCGCAATCTCAGCTCACTGCAACCTCCGCCTCCTGGGTTCAAGCGATTCTCCTGCCTCGGCCTCCACAGTAGCTGGAATTATAAGCGCCCACCACCTGGCTAATTTTTGTATATTTAGTGGAGATGGGGTTTCACCGTGTTGGCCAGACTGGTCTCGAACTCCTGACCTTAGGTGATCCACCTGCCTCGGCCTCCCAAAATGCTAGGATTACAGGCGTTAGCCACCACGCCCAGCTGCACCACCTTTCTTTAAGTACACTGGGTGAAGCCCTTTACACTGCCTCCTTTCATTCTCACAACATCCCACAATGTGGTGATTACTGGTTCCATTTTACAGATTGGAAACTGAGTCTCAGAGAGGTTGCAACCTGCCCAAAAGCACACAGCCAGTAAAGTGACAGAAATGGGTTTCAAATCCAGTTTTCATTTCCAAAGGTCAAGTCTAAAAATAAAAATAGCTACTAAGTTTTTATACCTTTACTATGTGCCAGGCACTATGCTAAGTGCCTTATGTACATTATCTCAAATATTTACAGCAAATCAATAAAGTGGGCTTTATTCTACAATTGAGAAACCGAAGGCAAAGAAGGGTTAAGTGACTTGCCCAGCATTATACAGCTAGAAAAATGCAGCCAAGAAGCAAATTCAGAATTTCTAACTCCTAAGTCTGTGCTTTTAACCTGGAAACTATGTGATTCCCTCCACTCTGTAGGCTGAGACAGATTTATGCATAAATGGAGTCATATTCTATACTCTATTCTGTAATTTGTTTATTTTTCTCGTCAGTAAAGGTGGCGAGTTTTCTTTTTTTCTTTTTTTTTTTTTTTTTTTTGACAGAGTCTCACTCTGTTGCCCAGACGGGGCTCTCACTCTTTTGCCCAGATCTCGGCTCACTGCAGTCTCCCCGATTCTCCTGCCTCAGCCTCCCGAGTAGCTGGGATTACAGGCACATGCCACCACACCTGGCTATTTTTTTGTATTTTTAGTAGAGACAAAGTTTCACCATGTTGGCCAGGCTGGTCTTGAACTCCTAACTTCAAGTGATCCACCCTCCTTGGCCTTCTAAGTAGCTGGGATTACAGGCATGAGCCACCGCACCTGGCCTGGTGGGTTTTCCATTCTTATCTGTAAACTTGAAATAATGTGACCCAATCCTGCTCCCTTAAACCAACAATTGGTGCTTCCTCTATCTGGAGGTCCCTCTATCTGATCACAGCCCCACACCCTGGCCACTGATGTCAGCCATCTTGCCCTCTGTGACTCCTTGACTCCTTACTTTTCACTCACCTTCAGTTTGCCGTCTCACACCAACCCCTCAAACCTGGAACTTCATACAGGCCACTGACCCAGACCTCGGGTTTCAGACGAACCCTCATTACCCTGATTTGGCCACTTCTGACCAAGACTCTGGAAAGACACATCAACCCTTGCAGCCAGCAACCCAGTACTCTAGCCCTCAACACAGCCCTTGCCTCGCAAGCAATTGTCCTCCTCCCCTACATGGATTTGCTCTGACTTCATAAACAAGTCAATGACAGAAAGTCCATCAGATAAGCTCTAAAATTCCTATAGTTAAAAAATAATATCTAATGCTGTCACTTCACTTAAGTAAGGAGATGAAAGTTTATTAATAAATATGCACAGATGACACCACTCTGAGGTTGAATTATGTCCATTACTCTGCTTAATCTAGCTGCGTGACTTTGGGCAAGTTACCTCACCTCTCTGGTTATCAGCTTCTTTATCTGTCAAATAACGGGTAGAACTAGGGAATCCCAGGCCCCTGCAAACTCTGAAATCCTATTATTCTATGATTAAAAGAAATGACAAGCCTGGTAGCTATTACTCCTATCAATGTTTTTGTCCAATCATTAACCAAACTAATGAGGTTGTTTCTGTAATCCAACTGCAACGTTCACTTTCAGAGAAAAGGGGAGGATTCGGGAAAACTGGACATTCCTGGACATTGCTGGGAGCCAGACACTGAGTTGATCATAGTGTGCTGTCAACAGTGAAAGAAAATCTGAGGGATCCTCACAGAAACGGGGCGCACTTTGGAATGAAGGAGCACTTTTGGTGAGTCGAAAACTATTAGCTGACTGCAGTCAAGATGAAATCCACTTTGGAAATGTTTGGGTGTTTTTTTAAGTTTGGCTCAATCACTTGTTTTTCACTGTTCCTTATGTAATCTTGTGGGATGTGGCGTCAGAAAGTCATAAATCATTCATGGTGCTTTGGGGAAAAAAAAAACAACACTGTGCAAAGCAGATGCAACTTAAAATGAAATGAGAGAAGTTTTTGGGTGAAACCGAAAAGAAAAGCGTAACTCGCATGGTTTGTAGCCAACGCTGATCACTAATTCTCGCAATCTCTATATGGCTTGGTCATTTGTTTCCAGTTTCTTGTGCTTCACTGTAAATGGAGAGTGAGTGAAAGATATAGCCTATCACAACTGCATTGCATTTTTCCAACAGTCTTAGAAAAGATGCTGTAGTAGCGGCATTTTTGGAAATGATTCAAACTGGCAGATTTTTATTTCCTGCTTGAAGAAATCCAGAAAGCCCCATTTTGTTCAAAAAATCCCTTTTACGACATGCTTGTCACTGCTGTTCATAATACCTATGGATCAATTAAACTCTCTTTGTAAAATATATGCTTCCTCAAAACCTACATACAAAAACACAAGTAGCCCCTGGCAGACGTAACCCATAAAGCTAACTCTAAAACATCAACACCTTAATAAAAGTGGTTTAGCTGAATTATTTCTGATGTGGCAGCTAGCTACAATGAGGTTTCTAATAAACAGATAAATTATGTTTTTTAAATACTCTTTCATATTCATTAACTCATTTCAGCTTTACATAAGTAGCAAGGAGAGTTGGGTGTTCATTCCTTAATTCATTCCTAAAACAAACTTTATTGACTGCCAAGCACTATGTAAGAGTTCTAAAGATACGGACAAGATAATGATGCCCAGCCTGGGCAGCATAGTGAAACCTCATATCTACAAATATATATATTTTTCATTAGCCACCCATGGTGGTTTATGCCTGTAGTCCCAGCTAATCAGGAGGCTGTGGCAAGAGAATCACTTTAGCCCGGGAGGTCAACGCTGCAGTGAGCAATGATCATGCCACTGCACTTCAGCCTGGGCAACATAGTGAGAAAAAAAAAAAAAAAAAAGATGCACCGGGCACAGTGGCTCACACCTGTAATGAGGCCAAGGCTAGTGGATCACCTGATGTCAGGAGTTTGAGACGAGCCTGGCCAAAATAGTGAAACCCCGTCTCCACTAAAAATACAAAAATTAGCCAGGCATGATAGCACATGCCTGTAATCCTAGCTACTCTGGAGGCTGAGGCAGGAGAATCACTGGAACCCGGGAGGCGGAGGTTGGGGTGAGCTGAGATCGCGCCACTGCATTACAGCCTGGGCAACAGAGTGAGACTCCATCTCAAAAAAGGAAAAAAAAAAAAAAGATAGTAATGGTACTTGCCCTTGTGCCACTCACAGTGTAGTGGGGGACAAACACATAAAAACCATTATGTGCTTTTATGGGAGAATGTCTCCCAAAAGTTAAGTGTTTTTTCCCACGTCAAACAGCTAGAAACTTCTGGGGCAAGAATTTTCTGCAAAGTCTAAGGTCTCCAAAGTCTAAGTTCAGAACACTCTTAACAGCACTCTACAGCATTTTATAAATGAACAAATTTTGATGAAAAAAATGAGGAAAAGAAAGCTCACAAACTGCGGTTCTGATATTGGAGGGATAAGCCGGGTTAGTTATCTCAGGAACCAGTGAGCAGCCAGCAGAACTGAGAGAGATTTCTCAGCAGAACAAAACAGGGAAGTATTCCCATAGATCTACTTCATAATTTCTCCCCAGCAGCCTTGAAGCGATGTCCAACCTGGCACAGAGTCTGGCATTAGATTGGTGCTCAAGAAACATCTACTTACTCTCTGTTCAACTGAATTTAAATTAGTTATATGACCTCTTTTGGGTACGTTACCAAATGTCAAACAGTTGCCCACTGGTCCCCTCAAAATCCTTGAAATCTCAATGATGTTGCCTTGAACCCTGAATTCTACAGCATGGGAAAGCCTTAAGCCATCCTCAAGACATTTGCATTTTTCTGGTGTTGAGAATCTTTTTGTTGGCTCACTAATTCCATTCTACCCCGTGTCCCAAGGCATAGTGCTTTCTCTATCTTCCATGAGAAATCTATTTGTGTCTGCCCTTTGCTAAGCTTTCAAGAATTCACTGAAGATCATGCAGTTCTGGGGAGTGATTATATCATGTACAATGCAGTACAACTGATTCACCATCTTGCTGGTTCTACCACCCTCTCCCTCGCCCTCTCTCATATTTTCCTCTCCCTTTCTTCCTCTTCACTCAGGTACAGCTATACTTGCTGTTAGTATTTTACAGCTATACTTGCTGTAAGTATTTTACAGCAAGTGGGCTTGTCAAGGGGTTTTTCCACATCAGGGTGGATGTCTCCTCAGAAAGAATTCTCAAACCAACTGCTAAGACAATAAAAGTTTTCCATCTCTTATTCCACCCAAGACTGAAATCAAAGATGGAGACCACTGTTCTTTACTTTCCATTATTTCCTTTGACCACATGATGACAGATGTCAGAGAGTCCCTGTCATAATAGAGCTCCTGAGTGCTCGCCTAACTCAATGGAAGAACTGCTTTCACCTTGATCCAATTGCCAGCTTATCTACCTGGCTTTGATTCTCTGGAACCGCAGGCTTTCTTCACCACAAGTGTGGTCTCACGTGTTCTGGATCTGTGTCTATAAGCAACAGAAAAAAAAACTATTAAACACCCATTGCAAACAAAGTAAAATTCTAGGGACTGAGAGAGAAGAATCATGGCCTCTGTTCTATAAGAATTTGTGAGCCCAGCTCTGGCACCAACTTACCATGTAATTTTAGGAAGATGACTAACTTCCCAGCCTCAGTTTCCTCATATGTAAAATGGTGATATTGTAAACACCTACCACATAGGGTCATTGCAAAGAATAAATAAGGTAAAGACAAAACAAAAAGGCAAAACAAGTAAAGTACTTGGCTTGGTACATGGTTAATAATGATAATAAATTATGTACAAATAAATCAGTGCTGATTGCTCAATGAAATGGGAAAAGATGCATAATATAAGGCAGACTTTGATAAGTTTTATAGGAGAGTTACAATTTCCTATGGGGAAATATGGGAGGGAAGGATTCATTCTAATTGAGAGGATTGAGAAAGGATACTCAGAGTAAACAAGAGTTGAGCTAGGTGTGAAGAATAAATAGGATTGGGACAAAAGGTCTTGGGAAGTTTCCACAAGGTATTGAGAATCAGTGTTGAAAACTTGTATATTTTTGGTAGTGTTTCAGTATTGAAGGATGATGATCTTGGCTCCTACCAGTTATGGTGAGAAACTAGGTTGCTATATTCAGAAACGATTTGGTGGATAGAAGTCTTGAAAGCTTTGTGGCTAAAACTCTACCTGATCCCTATGCAGTCTATGGGTGGCATAGTTTTTGTAAGGCCAGAGGTTACATTACCTGAAAGATCATTTAGACCAATACTCATTAGATGTCTCAGCTGTTGTTGTAGGTACAACATCCTTACTCAAAAGCCAACTCATTATCAGTTCATACACCTCCAATGATAGAAAGTTCATTGCCAACACTATTTTGACCACAGTCAATATACTGAAAAGGACCAGAGGGCAGGAAACCCATCAGGTTCATGGGAGATCATAGGAAGAAGGACATAGTTTCCAGAAATTATCAGTTTTAAAAGGAAACTTAACTTGACTCTAAGCAAACCATTCAACCTCTCTGGACCTCAGAGCATCTCTCATGTTGCTTATAGCTCTAATATCCTGAAGCCTCAAATCAAAAAGGCAGCAGAGATTAAACAACATATTGTAGAGAAAAACCAACTGAAATCGGGCACACATACATATTTTGTAATTTTCAACTACAAAGTAAAGAGATTATTATTACCACTATGAAAGCATTTCATTTCAATTCAACAAGCATCATGTCAGTCCCCAGGGTTACAGAGCTGAATACTCCTACTCTATTCCACCCTGGACAAACCATTCCTGGAAAGCCTTCTATCCAGGTGTGGATGCCTCAGTTTAACAGGTATAGCAGTACACTATGGTTTGGCCAGAATCTGGAGATATAGCTGGAACATAGGCTGTCATCTAAGTGAAAACTCTTATCAGAGCTATATGAGAGGAACTAAAGTTCTTTTAAACTACTGAGAGCAGAACAGGTGTCCACAGGTAAAATTACCACAGAAGTGGATTTCAGTTTTATGTAATGAAGATCATCCTAGTTATTAGAGTTGCTCACTGGAAAAGCTAATGAATCCCATTGCAAGAAGTATTTCAGAACGATCTGGAGAACTAACTCTTAGAATAGTTGTAGAAGACATGTTTGCACTGGCTAGGCAATTAGTCCAGAAGATACACAGTAATATTGATCATGATTCATTCATTTATTCAACATACATTAGTGAACACTTCCTGACTTTGGGGCTGGCATCCCTGGGTTTAAGTCTCCACTGTGCTACTTCCTAGCTGTGATACCTTGAACCAGTTAGTGTCCCTGTATCTCAGTCTCCTCATCTACAAAATGGGAATAATAATCGCTCCTGCTTCAGAGAGTTATTGTGAAGATAAAAGGAGATGATTTATGTAAAGCAGTTTTGAACAGTGTCTGGCACATAATACATAGTCAATTAATATTAGACATTAGTAGCAGTAATATGTGATATGTTACTGCTGTAATATATTGCAGCCAATGGCAGGCACTGGGCTAGACACTGGATTACCATGGTTAAGAAAACAGACATCAATCCTACGTTTCTTGAGTTTAAAGTCAGCCAAGAGGTTGGAGGGTGTAAAAGACAGTAAACAAAAAGTCACAGAAACAAATAGTTTCAAAATGTGACAATGCTATGAAGGGAAAAAAGAGAATTCCATGATAGCATATAACAGAGAGGAAGGAGACTCATCTAGACTCGGAGGTACAGGGAAGGGTTCTCTGAGGAACTGACACTTAGGCTGAGTTGCAGTATAGACGCATCCCTGTACCAGTGATTTAGAGGAGTGGCCTCACGCTTGACTTATTTTAAGTCCACAGAGAAAGCAAGCCATCTATCTGCAAGAGTGTGGCATCACCTGGCAATCTGATTCCCAGTTTGTGCATCAAGACTCACACTGGCAGTGTAAATGTAGACAAGCTCTCTTTGCTTTAGCTATTAGATTCCATTTAATTTTTCTCTGAAATCTATAAACATCAATAAATCCATCCATCCATCCAACCATTCATTCAATGATCCACTGGCCTATGGGAGATTCAAAGATATGTAGCCCCCAATGTCAAAAAATTCTGCAAGGGAAGCTGATGTGTGTATAAACTCCTGTAAGTGAAGATACATGGGAGTGATGGAGGGAAATGCTATGGAATTTTGAAGAAGTTAGAAATTCAGCACCAATCCGGGTGTGAAGGGAGAAGTTGTTGGAAAAAGTGGCATGTTAAAGTATGCTGGGGGATTCTAAGCAAAGTGAACGCAAAGGAATCAAATCTTATTCAGCATTTGTGTTCTAAAATCAATGCATAAAGCCAAAAAAAGTCATAAATAGAGGATAGTCAAAAGTTCCCTTGAAAATCCCTTATGAGAGACTGTGTTGGAAAATGACACTGTCTCTCAAGAAATCCAATACAGTCACTGTGTCCTGTAGTCCCAAAATCAATTGTTGTTGCTTCAGCTGAATTCGTGAGCTTGCTTTAAGGGGCCAAGTTGTATGAAAACCATGAAATCTTCCACATTGGACTCACACATGTTGTGATGAGATGCTCATCCTGTGGGAAGACCATAGAAGAGGTGAGGAGGAGTAGTTGTGGCCATGTTTCCTGCAACCTGCAGGGCAGCACTCACCATTCAGCATGGAAAAGCAGACAGAGCTGTCCCTAGCAGCTTAGCCATCAATTTGCTCTGCTCTCAGCCTCCCTCAGTCTATTCATGTTATTTTTTGCCAACTAAATAGTTAACTGTGCTTGCATTAAATATAAATATAATAATGTGTCCAATGCAACATGGTTAAAAACCCGAGGTCAGCAAACAGCTGGGCTATTCAGGAAACAGCTCAGTGGCCCATTATAACTGGAAGTTGGGGTCTATATTGGTCTCTAAGGCTCCCATAACAAAGCACCACAAACTCGATGACTTAATGCAACAGAAGTTTATTCTCTCATGGTTCCTTTTGGAGAGCAGAAGTCTAAAAATCAAGGGGTCAGCAGGGCCACACTTCCTGTGGAGGCTCTACAAGAGATTCCATCCTTTGCCTCTTCCAGCTTCTAGTGATTCTAATTCCTTGGCTTGCAGCTCCTCCCCTGTGTCCTTATGTCTCAACTCTCCCTCTCTTTTATTTTATAAGGACAACACTCCTTGAGCTTAGGGCCCACCCTAAATCTAGAATCATCTCATCTCAAGATTCTTAACATCTTCAAAAGCCCCATTTCCATTAAAGTCACATTCACAGGTACTGGGGTGGTGGGGTGGGGTTAGGACTTAGACGTATCTTTTGGAGATCTGCTATTCAACCCAATACAAAGTCTAAGAAAGAGAATTTTAAAAGTAGATTGAAGCCCTGTTTTGACAGTCTTTGAATGCCAATTTTGAATGACTTTGAGGTTATAGTTCTCTTTAGAGTTGTGATGGTGGCAACTTTTACTTACATGCTATTTAAACATCTCTCTGCAGGGTCTCCTCCTCTGCCTTACTGTTCCTCTCTGACACCCTGGAGCCCTTCCCTACTACTTTATGTACTCATGAGGGATCCTGCAGGACAATAAGCTTTGATAAACTTGATAAACTCCAACATTGCTTTTTCATGTCCTAATCAAAATGCCCAACTTGTATCATATCCTCTACATGAGTGACGATTAATCAACTAAAATAATCTTATAAGATTAAAATACTCTCATGATTAATCAAATAAAATAACCTTATTTTAAAATAATAAAATAATTAAGGCACTGGCTCGTCAACATTGTTAGAAATTGCACATGTGGCCTTTTGAGTGTGTCTATGTTAATGAGTGCTCTTGCTTGCAGAGATGCAGCTGCTGCTGGGGACACCACCTGAAGCAGGGAGGGAGAAATGCCCTAACTAGCTGCTTCTTCTTGTCCCCAAAATATCATTGGCCAAACTCAGCTAGAAGCCAGCTGATGCAGGAGCCTGGGAGCTACAGCTTGCAGAGATAAGATCCCTGTGATACAGAACAGAGGTGGGAAGGGAAAGACACTATGGGAAGACAAGTGGGCCCTGGACCAGCAAACTATTATTATCCCCATTTTACAGAAAGGGACATGGAGCTCAGAGAAGGTGATGTGATTGCCTAGAGTCATGCAACTGGTGAGTATGAGTGTGGACTTTGAATCCAGGTCTGTCTGAATCATAAGCCTGAGGTCTTGCCAGTCTTGCCTGGCTCTCACTACCATCATAGAAATTTCACTTGCTTTGTCTGACTGCTTGGTCAAGAGATAGACCAAGGTCCTGAGAGGCAGTTTCATGGCTCTGAAATCTGCAATAAAACCTTCCTTGGATTCAAGATCTGGGCTTTTATAAAAAAAATTCTGGGATACATGTGCAAAACGTTCAGGTTTGTTACATAGGTATACATGTGCCGTGGTGGTTTGCTGCACCTATCAACCCATCATCTAGGTTTTAAGCCCCACATGCATTAGATATTTGTCCTAATGCTCTCCCTCCCCTTGCCCCCCACCCCCAAACAGGCCCCAGTGTGTGATGTTCCCCTCCCTATGTCCATGTGTTCTCATTGTTCAACTCCCACCTATGAGTGAGAATATGCGGTGTTTGGTTTTCTGTTCCTGTGTTAGTTTGTGGAGAATGATGGTTTCTAGCTTCATCCATGTCCCTGCAAAGGACATGAATTCATTCTTTTTTATGGCTGCATAGTATTCCATAGTGTATATGTGCCACATTTTCTTTATCCAGTCTATCATTGATAGGCATTTAGGTTTGTTCCAAGTCCTTGGTATTGTAAATAGTGCTGCAATAAACATAAGTATGCATGTGTCTTTACAGCAGAATGATTTATAATCCTTTGGGTTTATACCCAAGATCTGGGCTTTTTGAAGGGCACAGAGTTGCAGGGCTCCAGCCTCCTTCAGGAAAGAACCCACTGAGTCCGCTGCTGCAAGTGCCATCAGCAGACACTCCAGCTGTCAGCATGAGCTTGGCAGCCTCAGCTGCAGAGAGCCACCTTGCCCAGGAGAGTACCCTTCCCTGACAGCACATACCCAATCACTGATAAAGGCTCAGTCTTTTCAGCTCACTGAGGACAACTCTAATAAACATCACAGTTCAACTTCTGCCTCTGTTCAATCCTGTTTCCTCTCCCTTCCCCAAGTGCCGATCCCTAACAACAAACCCTGACTATGACAGCCTATGACAGGACTTTTCGTTGTTATTGTGCTCATCTCAGAGCCCCCTCAGTCTACACATATACTGGATGATGGTGGCAACAGGAGTGAAAGCCATGGCAATGACCATCGTGGAGGTGGTTTCACCTCCTTCCATCTCTAGACAGTGTGCAGGCCTGTCCCCAGTGGAATTTTTCTGGTTAATTTAGACAGAAAAACAAATGGAGATACCATGAAATGATGAGGCACTCCATCATTTTTTTTGATGATGATCCATTGCTTCATTCCCCCAGAATGAATCACCAAAATAGTATTTGATTGGAAGGTCAGTGGAAGTACAACCATCAGCTTTTTAACCCCACCTCTTTGTTTTTTTATGCAGAGGGCAGAAAATGTCTTCTGGACGACTTACTGTCTTGATAGTGTCTTCATACTGGAACAGAAACACAACCTAACATTCTGTAGCCCTTCTGGGCTATTGGGGTCTTCTCTCTAGAGGTAACTAGACTGGTTTCTGCCTTTCTGTAAAATATTCCCTCTGAAGATTCCCAGGATGCTTGGAGAAGTGCTCAGACCCACTGATTTCTAATACCAGCCCCTAGAGCCACAATAAAGGCCTGAAGCTTGGTGGGGCTTCCAAAAGCCATCAAGTCCACCTCTCTGCCCTTGGGAAGAACCTCCCACCACCACCAACATACACATATTTTCTTTCTTCAAAATGAAATAAATTCCTTATTTTCTTGGCTATCCCAGCTCACCACTATCCAATCAGATGACACAAGCTACTGAAGCTCTGTAGAGCTGTGGGTGGCCTCCTTCACAATTTTCTTCCCTGCCAACTAATTCCTGACCTTAACCTTCTTAGGTGTCAGTGCAGCACCTATTATTCATGACTTCATTGACATTTCTTCCAAATCCCTGAAGCTGGTGGTGACTCATTCCCTCTTGTCATCAAGGGGCATCATTGGGCTGTATACAGTACATGGCATGAAGTTCATTTTAGCTGTTCTCTGAAGTCTTGCAACAAAGGAGCTCTGAAAATTTTTAATTTGATGACCTGGAGGCAAACATGAAGATTTCCAATTTAACAGCCTGAAGAATTAAATTAAACAACCTGTGTGGGTCATGCAGGGACAAGGAGCCTGGACTTGCCCCCTTGGGGGTCAGAGTCCTCAGGTCCATGGAAAGTTGGTCTAACAAAGGTCTAAAATGTCCACAGCAGTCCAGGCCTTCCCTAGAGGGCCCCGTTTGAATTTATTCATGTACCCAAATGCAGTTTGCACGAAAAGGGTATGTCCTTGTATTTTCCATGGGATATTTTCTTTAGCTGAAAAGAACTGAACATTTATTGGGCTAAATGAGAACTGAGAATTCGTGCTCCTAGACAAAACTGGTGTCTTCACAGCACTAATTAAGTCAAACAGGATGGCAATTTCCTGGGAAATTGCATCAAAACTCCTAGCTTCATGGTCGTTTGGTGGTATAGGTCCCCTCCACCCCGATTCTTAGAGCCTGAGCCACACTGGCATTTAGATAAGAGAAGGGGGCTTTGGTAACATAATTCATGGTGGAGAAAACAACAGTGGCCTTTTCAGTAAAATCATGCACAGGACTTATACTAAGAGAAGGTTTATCCTGCAGGATAAAAGCTTGTTGGCTTGCAGATGTCCTACCTTAATGTCAGGACACAGTTATATCCTTTTATTCTCTTTTCTCCCCTCCTCTATTCCCCACTCCCACAAAACTCAAGCCCACAACCGCAGCTCCTACCCAAGAGCAAAATCTGAAATAAGTCACCGACAGCCTTAAGGACCAAGCTCAAGGAAAAATGAAACTCTGGAGTTAAACCCAAGTCACAAATATATGACCCTGAGACCATACCTAGTGCATGGATACATCAGTTTGGTTCATATACAGTATCTTACTTTAAAATTTCAACATGCATTTCTAAATTGAGAGAGTCCACTAAAACTCCAGTTTTCCAGTTTCTCCTGAAAAATAAAAATATCCAGCCACAGCTGGATAGGATTCCTGCACAGCCAGAACCAGCTGGAGCTCAATAACCAGCATCAGCCCCTTCACAAGGGGCACACCCTCTCTAATTCGCCTTCCTTGTGCCACACAAGTTCCAGTTTTGCATAGTTCTGCTCTGGTCCCTGCAGGCATCCAGGTTTGAGTCCCCTGAATTAAAGCAGGGAAAGGAGAAGAAAAAGGGAGGGTCAACTGAGAAGAGGTTTCCCTGATATATTTGTTCAGATGCTTTGGTATAGATGGAACAGCATACGTGACTAAAAGTTGCTTAAACAACAAGGGCCGGGCATGGTGGCTCACGCCCGTAATCCCAACACTTTGGGAGGCTGAGGTGGGCGGATCACTTGAGGTCAGGAGTTCGTGACCAGCCTGGCCAACATGGTAAAACCCCATCTCTACTAAAAATACAAAAATTAAGCAGAAATGGTGGTGCATACCTGTAATCCCAGCTACTCACGAGGCTGAGGCAGGAGAATCGCTTGAACTCAGGAGACAGAGGTTACAGTGAACTGAGATCACGCCACTGCACCCCAGCTGGGGGACAGAGCAAGACTCTGTCTCAAAAACAAAACAAAACAAAACAATAAGGACTTTTATTACTTCATTTTAAAAAAGTCTACAAGTTGGCATGGTTAGATTGTGGCTCAACAATGTCAAGGCTCTGCATCGGCTTCTGTGCCATGTTTTTGGCTTTCTCCTCACAGTGGCAGGATGGCTGCCAAGCACCACATCCTCATGACATGCAAAAGAAGAAAGAGAGAGAATGGGATTTCTCCTCCTATGTCTCTTTCTTATCCAGGAGCAAAATATTTTCAGAAGATTCCAGAAGACTTTGACTCAGATCCCATTTGCCAGAACTAAACCACATGACCATCCCTAACCCAATCACTGGTGAATGGGAATGAAATTGTCATTTCTGAGCCAGACCAAACATGGCTCATTCCCTAGATTCAGCAGAGGGGGGTCCATCTTAGCATACTGCTGCAGATACAGTTCTGTGAAAAAGAAGATGGGGAGAATGGTAAGTATGGGCGACACATACCATTTGTGAAAGGTGGCATCCTGAGATTCTGTTAGAGTGGCTCTGTGTTGGAATGCTGGGGAAGAACTGAACATGTGGCTGAGTGGAATCCGCCTCTGTGGGGTCTGTTGGTGCTATAAGTAAAAAGTAAAGGACGATTTGTCCCTTCTTCTGGACTCTATGTATGACCAGCTGACAGTAAAGTCATTTTGTTATGAACTCTACCACTCCTCCCTTTCACCGTTAGGGGCCTGGCGCTTGTGTTTCAGGTACTTGCCTGGCCATCAGAGAGCAGGTTCCCATCCCTACCAAGGGCCCAGAATTTGTTCTCCAGATTTTCTTCCCCTAAGGGGTGCACAAAAAGGAGTTGCCTTTGAGAGCAGTCGTGGGACTCAGGCCTGCAGTCAGAAGGGCAGCCCCTCTGGTTGAAGCTCTTTACTAAAAGGACTGATGATGTGTTTTCTGGAATGGGAGCCTCAGTTCATAAATCAAGGCTTGTTGCCTGCCCCTTTTCGCCTTCTCAGAGCCGTGCGCTCTGAAAAACACTTAGCAAATAAAGTTTCAGCTCCCGGTCCCCTGTGTCTCCCCTCCACCCTTTGTAAACCACTCTGCTAAGCTAGAACTGAGCAAAGCTGATGACCTCAGAAGACCCGGGGACAATAGGAGAACTCTGTCCAAGCCTCTTCCCTCCCACTGCACCAGATGGGAAGGTCATGCCGGGAGCCAGCTCTGGAGAAGTCCTTCATGCCCTCTGGTTGCCGTGCACCCAATCTTTGGGTGCAACAGCACATCAGTTGGCAAATGTCAAAAACCGAGAAAATAATAATTTCAGTACTCCATGTTGGCGTCATGCTCTCCAGCCTCCTTCTAAACACTTTCATATCTCATATCTCATTGGGTCCTTCTGATGACTCTGAGCAGCCACTAGGGCAGTGGTCACAAAAATCATTAAATCACAGTCATCATAGCCACTATTTTATGGACTCCCTACTGTGCACCAGGCATTGTGCTCAGCACTTTGCACCCATTATGTCTCTCAATGCTCTCAGCCCCATAAGGTAGGTACTGTCCCTAACCCCACTTTATAAGTAAGGAATCCAAAGCTCAGAAAGAAGGTGCAGCGTGCCCAGGGCTGCTCAGTTCACAAACGACAGAGGCAGGCTTTAAGCTCAGATCTCTTTAGTTGAAAAGCCTGGGCTTTTAATAACTACTACTTTATTCTCTCAGTCTAGGAAGTGATGTTTTGATGGCAGCTGGAGTGAATGCTCTTGAAATCCACTTCCTGATTCTTCCTTCTCTCCCGAGCCTTACTTCCTGTTTTCTGACCTCTTCTGGGAACAACCTGAGTTTCAAGTGCCAGATTAGGTGCTCTGAAACCTAGAAAAACAGGTTCAGGTCTCTTCAGCTTGGTCTTGTCAGGACTCCAGGGCTGAACGAGGCCCAAGAATCAGAGGACCAAATGCCGAGGCAGTCTCAGGCAGCTCCGACAGTCCGGGACGCCAGGCCCAGCAGTCCTACAGTTGCCCTCTTGAATCAGTCGGGTCCAGAGATGAGCAGCAGCTGTTACCTAGGCTATGTCAGGGCCAGGAGCCAAGGTAAGGGTCAAGGACTAACAGGAAAGCACATGAGGGCTGAGCACAGGGTTTGCACTGGGCAGCTGGGATCCAGTTCAAGGGGCCTCCTGCCCCAGATGGGAACAAAGCTCCAGGAACACACTTGAGCCAACTGAGAAGAGAACTCCCACTCAGAGTAGGGCTCCAGTCCAAGGAGGGAGGCTGGGAAATAAGGAGCCAATAAACCAGACCATCTCAGGCAGTTCTGGATTCCCTGTTTTCCGCGTGCAATCTGTCTGATTAATTCAGCTAATGTGTTATTGGCTGATAACAATACCTCATTTCCCCCAGGTAGCACATATAATAAGGTGAAGTAACCTATTTCACCATCTTTAATCCTTACCATGATTCCCAAAACATAGCAGGTGTTAGGGAGTCTCCATTTTACAAGTAAGCAAACTGAGGCTTGGAGAGATTAGGTGACCTGTGCAAGGTCTTCTACAGGAAGTGACAGGATTGGAGTCCTAGTCTGCTTAGCTCCCTAAAAAATGTTCTTTCTTTTCTATCATGTATCATGTATCACACTCAAGAACCAGAACTGTGGGGTCTTCACACACTGCAATATTGAATAGATCATGCATGTATCCATTTATCAACTAACATCTTCTCTGTGCTTGGTGCCAGGAGTGCCAGAGTGGATAAGACAGACAGCCTGTACCCAAGGAACTTACTGCTCATGCCCCCTAGACTTTTCTGATGTCGCTCAAAACCCAGCAAAGAGCCAGCTGCCTCCTTACATCCTCACCCCGGCCCTGGGTGAGGCAGGTCGGGTCTGCTACTGCATATTCCTCATGCCACTTTCTCTGCTTGTTACAGAAACCACACTGTTGACAGAGGCAGAGCTGTGGGACCAACGGATTAGACTGTATCATTTTGAATCTAAGCTGCATCCTCTGCAATCAGTGGCCTCTGCTGTCCCAGAGGTTTCTGTTTGTTTGGGGTTGGGAGGATTTGCTCGGATTAGCGTAGAGATTGTCTGTTCACCGGGGAAAGGGGCCCAGTGACTGACGATGGACCAGCTGGAATGCAGTCAGCTTGGCTCCTCCCATGAACCACAGCTCTGGAGTGACACAGCGCTTCTGCTGGCTCCAGCAGCAACAGGCGCCTGCCTGTAAGCACGACGGTGGGAATGACATCTTTTGGTTATCACTCCATCACTGAAACTCTTTAGGAATAATTCCAGCCCCCTCTCCAGCAGCCAGGACTATAAATAAAGATTCCCTGGGGATGCTGAATCCTGCCCTTCATCCTGGCTGCCTCTGTGACTCATTCCACAAGCCAATTCTTCTTCTATCTTCTTAATTATGGGGAGGGGGGAGTGAAAGTCTGTGCATATCTACCTGCATGCTGTGTGCATTGTCTTAGTTGCAGTCCACACGCATATGCATGCGTGTGTGTGGGTACATGTGTGTTTACCTGTGACTCGGTGTTTAAGCTTAAAATGTAGACAAGTGGCTGGGTGTAGTGGCTCACGCATATAATCCCAGCACTTTGGGAGGCCGAGGCGGGCGGATCACTTGAGCTCAGAAGGTCAAGACCAACCTGGCCAACATGGTGAGACCCTGTCTCTACTAAAAATACAAAAATTAGCTGGGCGTGGTGGCGGGCGCCTGTAATCCCACCTACTCATGAGGCTGAGGCAGAAGAATCGCATGAACCTGGGAGGAGGAGGTTGCAGTGAACTGAGATCGCACCACTGCACTCCGGCTTGAGATACAGAGCGAGACCCTGTCTCAAAAATAAATAAATAAAATTAAAATTAAAAACTTTAAAAAGTAAAGGGTAGAGAAGAGATGCATTCCTCATACATATTTCAGTGTGGCGATTGTTAGCTAAGGCTCCATAGTAAATCATATCTCCATTTATGAAGGCCCTTTTTGGGCACTACCCTATGCTAAGTAAGGTGAATAAGACACAAACTCTATCATCTTCATAGACTACAATTGCTTAAAGCAAATAAAATCCCTGAAGCGGTGGCAGCAGTTGAGAGCAGCATTTCATAAAAAGAAAACCCTCACCTATAACAGAGAAGAGTAAAGGAAACATTCATTTACTGAATTTCTTCTTCCCCACACCAGGCACTTACTAAGTGCCACATAATTCATTCCTTAAAACAGTGCAAGAGTTTCCCATCCCACTTTTCAAAGGTGATAAAACAGGCCTATAGAAGTTAAATAACTGGCCTAAAATTACAAAGACCATGTGGACCCAAGATGAAATGTGAATTCAAGGGTTTGGGGCAGAATCTTAAAGGTCATCCCATCTAAACCTTCATCTAATGCTTGCATCTACCCTACAAAGCTCATGAAAACTGGTCATTCAGCCCCGTGGTAGGAGAAACTCAACTCTCAAGTCAAGTGGTTCCATCTTCAGACAGTGTCAAACTGCTAGCAAGCTCTCTTCTATGTTGAGGCCAAATCTGCCCCCTTTTTATTTCTACCCATCCAAGTTTTCCTATGCCCTCTGGGGCTAACACAGCAGGTCTAATTCCTCCTCCTTATCACTGTCTTTCAAATAAGTCGTCTTCCATTTCCTTACCCAGCCAGGCCATTCCACACTTGAAATTATTTCAAATCCCTAAATATTTGTTCATCACTGTATCCTTCATGCTGGTACCCACAGTGTTGCCACTTCTAGGTTAGGTAAATATCAGTTGAGTGAATGAAGAGATACATGAGCTCTTTCAGGGTAGATGGTGCCATGACTTGTTTCATTAAATCTTTGGTCTTAATTAAAGATTGCCTGGTTTCCAGGAACAGTCTATTCTGGCTACTTTAATAAAAATTCTGTGTAGTCCCAGCTACTCGGGAGGCTGAGGCAGGAGAATGGCGTGAACCCAGGAAGCGGAGCTTGCAGTGAGCCGAGATTGCGCCACTGCAGTCCGCAGTCCGGCCTGGGCGACAGAGCGAGACTCCGTCTCAAAAAAAAAAAAAAAAAAAAAAAAAAATTCTGGCATGATGGAGGGATTCAGGTGACTCTAAAGACAGGTAAATGTAGAAGATTACAGGGTCTTGTGGAATGAGAACAATATCAGAAAGTTCTCTCTCTCTCTCTCTCTCTCTCTCTCTCTCTCTCTCTCTCTCTCTGCCCTTTTCTCCTCTGCCCCTACCCATTCCCATGTTCTCTATATCTACCTTCATTTTGTGTATCTACTACATTCTCTTCTTGGCATGCCAATTTTCTCTATTGCACATGGCTCAACATGGCAGCTGTCCCAAAGACATACCCCCTCACAGCTTCATGTCTGTCAGCATCTAAATGACAGAGGCTCTGTGTCCCAATAGAGAGGAATTGATTGGTCAAGTGGTCACTCCTAGACCTATCAGCAGTGGCTGTCAGGCAGTGGGGAGGAATCTACTGGTACAAAATGTGGCTGTATTAGGCATCTCTTTAGCAAGGATTCGAAGGCTGTCTTAGAGAGGAGGGAAGAATCTTTGGGAAGGAGTATGAGTGAATAGAGTAGAAATGCTGACATCTCTTGTACACCTTTAAATACCAATATTATAAATAGATCTGAGAGGTCAGGACGCTCTCAGAGAAGTATACTATCCTAGGATTTCCGGGCATGGGCTGTAGGGACTGGAGGCTTTCAGAACTTCTTGCACCTCTGAAATTCTGATTCAGAGCCATGAAGTCCTGGAAAGCCTGACTAGTGGCATGGGTGTCCCGAAAAGGGCTCAGGCTTCGCTTTTGCAGAAGGACATTGCACTGGACCTATTTGTGGCTCCTTAGCATCTTGTCAATGATCCTAGCCATCTCTGGAAACACAGAAGGTCCCATCTGCAAGCGCTGAACACAAAAACTGCTCATTTTCTTCCTCCCTGTGTGCATAAAGTTTGTATGTGTGCAGTGCTGAGGCTTATGCAGTAGGGAGGGGATGAAGAGGAGGAACTATGGAAATGTGACTGTTTTGTAAAATAAATTAATAGACTCGTAGGCTAGAAAGTCCCTTACAGATCATCTAGCCATGTAGTCATCAAAGGGTGTGCCTCAGACCTTGAGGGTTCCCCAGAAGAACCTCAAGGACCAAAAGAGGAGGTAGCAGGAAAGTGTACAGGAATCCTTCCTGAGTAGACAGGATTCCACCCACCAGCATCCTCTGGCAGCAGTGCAATCCTGCTGTTCTTAGCTTTATATGTCGGGTTGTTATGTATTGTTTCACTGGTTTATAGGTGAGGAAACTGACTGCAGAGAGGTAGAGCAACTTGCCCACGATCAGATAGTACTGGTTCCCAGCTGTGCTGACTCCCAGAGCCCTCCTTCTGCTGGCACGGGTCATATTGAGACAAAAAAGAGAACAATGATTTCTGACAAGGAAAACTGTCATAAGAGCTAACCATCTGTGTCTTCCACCTGCAGCAAAGCGTCAGGCATTCACTATTGACATGTTTCCATCACCCAATAGCCTGATCATACAGCTGTGCTTGGTAATATCCAAGCTGCAGAACAGGGATGAACTCGTGGCTTCAGGGCTCAAGCTCTCTAAATTGCCAAACTTGCTCCTGGGTGTCTGTTCATTTTGCAATTAGTTAATTGGCAAAGGGACCCTGTAACTGTTAGGGCAATTTAAATGCAATCAACAGAACTCAACTCTAACCAAAGAGAGAGAGAGGGAGAGAGAGAGAATGCTGAGAAGCTCTCCAAACTGACAATATCAAGACGCCATGGCTGGAATAAATGAAGGCCAACCAATCTTCCCAAGATTCAAGGTCCTAGGAGAGGGAGACAGACTGGATAAGCTCAGTTCACATGACCACCTCTTTACTGGCCACTGACATTCTCTTGTGCCAGTTGCTGGTTCTAGGCTTTCCAAGCCACCATGTTTACTGTTACCCTTAAGGCAAGTCTTAACTTGTCACTCAAGCAAGCTCTCTATCTCACAAGTGGCCCTTGCTCCTTCTCTTTTTCCCCCTTCCAACTTGGTTTTTATCATGCCTCCACTCCTACAATCAAAAAACCCACCTCTTTTCAAACTCCCAAGAAGAGTTTCCCTGTGTTCTCAATGTCTTGCAGTCTGGCACGATGATTCTTTTATTTGACTCACACATGTAATTTTTTTACCATGTTCCCTCTTCTAGGAACTTCAGAGAGATTTCTTTGGGATTGAAACAGAGGGCAAGATGCAGAAAGTGTTGAATCCAAAATTACCCCTTCTCTAACAGACTATCCAAGAATTAGACTCAAACTTAGAGTCAGTTCAGTACAAGACTTAAAGGGCAACTCTTGTTGTCCACTTTGGTTGAAGAAATTTAGCCTAGAGCAACAGTCAGTGCCAACATGTTCCCCACTGGTTCTCCTAGAAGGCCTACAGGGACTTCATATAAACAGAATTTCTGTGTCAGAGTCCCTGCAGCAGGACACAAATTAGGCCTTCCCCATGGACTTGGCTGCAAAAATATTTAAACACATAATGTCCAAAGTTACTTCAAGCTCTAAGAGTCTATGACTCCCTGATGATGCAAATGGAATTTATTTCTAAGAAGAGGGTGATGAACATCTTACTCAATGAACCATAATTCACTTTGCCAGATTCCAGAGACTTCCTGACTGGTTCTTGAGAGAACTCCCATGGTGCTGAATATCTGCCACTTGCCTGGGAGTTTATGACATCAGACAGCAGGGTCTAACCTGACTGTTGGAAGGAATTGTTATCTACACTATGAGGCAATAGGCTCATATATACCCTCAATACCAAACACATCACTTTTACTTGACCCAGGCCAATTGACCAGTGGATGAGGGGTTGCCAGTGGTTGAATGAGCTGACTACTTGCGACAGAGAGAAGTGGTCTGTGGCATCGTCTCCACAAGCAGCCTTTGTTATGGCCTAAAGCCAAAAATAAATTAAAAAGAAAAAAATCAAATCAATTATGGATGTAGACTTAAGCTATGCTTCAGGATTGGGATGCAAAAAATAATTGATTGTCCCATGTAAGTGAGGAATATTTTCCCAATCCCTAAATGGCATGCTATTATGTTTGGGGTTGTGTTATGGCTTGAAAGTTCATATGCTGGAAATTTGAAAACTTAATTCCTCATGCAACAGTGTTGAGAGGTGGGACTTTTAAGAGGTGATTAGGTCATGTGGGCTCTGCCCTCATGCAAGGATTAATGCCATTATCCAGGAAGTGGGTTTGTTATTATGGAAGCAGGTTCCTGATAATTGGATGAGTTTGTCCCCCTTCCCCTCTCTTGTGTATGTTCTCTTGCCCTTTCCACTTCCACCATGAGATAATACAACAAGGAGGGCCTCACCAGATTCAGGCCCCTTGATCTTGGACTTCCCAGCCTCCAAAACCATAAAAAATAAATCTTTGTTCTTTATAAATTACCCAGTCTGTGATATTCTGTTATAGCAGTGCAAAACAGACTAAGACAGGTTGTTTCTCCAAAAATGGGAGTGGTTTTTCACCAATCTATCCACACTGGTTCTTCTTTGAAAAAAATGTATCAACTATGTAATCTGTAACCATAAAACACAGAGGAGTTAGCCAAATGAACTAGAAATGTTCAGATCTACCACCCTGCAATGCAAAACACTATTTGAGATGGACTTGCCATCTTGAATAGAGAAAGGCTTCCCATATGTACAACTGAAAAGGCAGATGCTTTGGCACATAATCAACTGTCTCCTCCGCTCAGTTACACAACTCACTGTTGTGAGTGACAGGCTGGAATCTTGAAATTAATTTCCTTTGGCTGGTTCTTAGTAGCTCAGCACACCTGGGAATGTTTGGCTCTTCCACCTGAAGTGTTTGTAAGAGGGAAAAGAAAGTTGGAAGCAGAAATGGTACATTTCAGCTGCCCTCTCATCAGAAGATGCAGGGACCAAATTAGCCCAGCCCACACTGAGAATGCTGAGTAAGATCAGAGTCACAGACTATCAGAACAGGAAAGAGACTGGGAGAGCAAGCAGTCCAAACAAGAAAGTGATGAGAATAACAGTAATAATAAAAATAATAATAGTGAAATTTATTTATTTTTCTGGAGATTTTTGTCAGATGCCTAGCCAGCATCCATATCAGCCTTCTTCCTTCCTAATAGAACCTCAATCAACTTCCCTCCATGTAGCCTCAGGTGAAACTGACTGCAGCCCCCAACTCCAGGGTGAGTTCTATTGGTCAAATGCTGCCTACCAGTGATTGGTCACAACAGGCATGTGACCCAATTCTGGCCAATGAGACATAAGCACATATTTGCTAATGGGATTCTACAAAAAAAGTTTCATTTCAAATAGAGAGTCTCAGAAGAGACATCATTCTTCTTCCTCTGGACACTAACACTAACACATCTAGATGTGATGCCTGGAAGTGATGTAGTCATCCTGCTATCAGCCTAAGGTTGGAGCCAATGCACAGGATCACAAAACAGAAATATGGGGAATCCCAGGTCCTTGATGACACCACTGAGGCACTTATTTAACCAACCTTGAAGACATCCTCTTCCAGAACTTCTTTCTAAATAAAGCTATTACACATTCTTTTTTATGCCACTTTGAGCTGGAGGTTTGATGAGCTGCAACGAAAAACATCCCAAGTTAGACAGTGTTTACCATGAGCCAGCCTTTGTACTTGTAACTCTACAAGCATTGTTGCACTTAACCGTTGTGACAACCTCTGAGAACAATATTATTATTATCCCCATTATACAGTTGAAAAAGACTAAGTCTTAGAGAAATTAAATGACTTTCTCAGAATCAATTCATAGATGGTAGAGACTAGATTCAAAATTTAAGCAGTCTGACTCCAGGGTCTGCGCATTTAATCTCCATGCTATGCAATCCAGAAAAGGGAAAAACTTGCTCCAAAAAGCACAATAAGTTAGTATCATTCAGGGATTAAAAACTGACATCCAGTTGTCTTTCAATGCTTAAGTAATGGTGATGATTTTGGAGAGCAGGAGCTAGTGTAGCCAGTGCCATCACCTTTAACCAAGGCATCCTTTCTCAAGGGACCCATAGTCTGCCTTAAATGTCTGGCTCTTTTTTCTAATCTTTGATCACATTCTCTGTTTGTCTATGCTCATCTCCCTTCCACCTTCTTCTTCATTTCTGCCTTTTCAGCTCATTAATTGACTTTTTGTAGCCATTAAAGAGAGACATGTGAATCTCCTGGAAAATCCCCCATGACAGGAGCAAGATCCTTGCCAATGAGGAGTTCTCACCAGCAAGGAAATTAAGCTGTCTGCTGGGGGCATGGAGGATGAGTTGGCAGGTCTCCCATGCTAATTGATTTCATCTTGATTCAGTGAGTCTCCCAAGCCAGGTGACAACTCAGCAGTGCCCAGAAGTTCCAGGCCTAGAAAGAAAGCAAATACTTGAAGCTGCCTCTTGCTAAGGATGAGTCACAGGGGGCTCTGCCATAGGGACCTCATAGGCCTTGGATTGTCCATGAGCAAGGGGACATATTGATGTTGGCAATGTCATCACGCTAATATAACAAACAGAAATGGGAAACCCACTCTTACATTGCGGAGTGTTGTGGTTATGAGCATGGTCTTATAATTAAGCAGATACGGATCTGACTCTCAGTTCAGTTACTCGCCAGCTGATGAAAAAAAAGAGAGTAATGGAACTTTCCCTGAATTTAGTTTCTTCCTCTGTAAATATATATATACATACATATACATATATATACATGGTTGTGGGGATTAGATATGATGAGTATAGTATCTAGCACCTAGTAATGCTCAGTGCCTTCAAAGACAATGATATTGACTTCAAAGATGATGATGATGATCATGATCATGATGAAAAATTGAGTGGATAGATAACGTGTTAATTCTCATGGTCAAAGATTCTCCTTAGTAACAACTCAAGACAGGTGTCAGACTCATTCAAAGAAACTCTCTGCCTCAATTTTGCCACATGTTACCATGTTTCTTCCCTCCTAACAAAGACTAGACTACGTACAATTCAGTGCACTTGAGCTTTAACCAAACAATCAAGTGGCTCTTCTGTGGTTGGCTACAAAGATGATTTCCCATTATATCAAGCTATGTTAATGGCAAACATCCAGCTCAACTAAATAGAGCCAATTAGTCAGGCTACATGTGGAGTTGGAAAATATAAACCAACACAGATATGGTTAATTTCAAGAGGGAATGTCAGTTATAGGACAACTAAGCTTCAGTGTTCAAAGCTATTATAATCATCTTATCAGATGGATGTTGAAAAGACTTCAACTATCCTTATTCAAATATCTCCCCAGGATTTCATCTCTATCTACCATTAAGTGTGGTGTGGCTATCCAGTTGACCAAAATATACATGCCTTGTTTGACATGATTTTGAGGAAGATAAGCACCCAGACTTCTAAATCAAGTGGTATAAGTAAGGCCATGTTTAGACTACCGTTTGAGCAATGCATCGGCATCATATTTGGTTGGTTTTGGAAACCTACTTGTTTACCTGAACTTCGGTTTACATGAAGCTATTACACTTCCTTTTTTAAGCCACTTTGAGCTGGAAGTTTTATTAGTTGCAGCCAAAAACATCCCACATCCCATCATGTGCCAGCCTCTCTGTGTAGAGGTGGAATATATAGACGTCATCTAATGCAGAGTTATAACTATGCTCCATGGAGCCCTAGCATTTCGGTGGAAGTGCTAACAAGGGTTTGGGGATGAGAGAGGAGTAGAGTACACAGAATTCTAGAATGCCCACCCCTCACTTCAAGCAGTGTACCTATTTCTGTTTTCCATATTGGGCTTTCAAATAATATTACTCATAACATTTAAAAGAGGTTTGTAAATCACACTCCTGATTGAACCCATTTATTTTTCAGGAGAAAAGCATGCAGCCCAGAGAAGTCAAGACTTGCCCAAGGTTGCACAGCTAGCTACTAATAAAATCTGGACTAGAATTCCAGGCTTAGAGATCAGCACACTTGCCTAAAAAGAGCTATTGGAAACATTTTTTTTTGCAAACATACACTTCAAATATTCATGACCGTCACTGTAAACATCAACAAACACTACTGTCATATACCTACTATGAGTATGGGGTGCTGTATTTGGCACCTTAGAGCTTGGGAGGACAGAGTGTGGGGGTTGATAACAGAGAAGACGTCATGGAAGAACTAATGCCTGAACAAATTTTTGAATAGTGCATACGAGTTCCCCAGATGAAAAGGGGAAGTAATGGAGCCTATTTGGAATAGGCTCCTTCAAACATGAAACCTATTTGGAATTGACAACTATGTTATAAATGTAAAGTATTTTATTCTTACCAAATTACCATGTATATCAGTAGAGTCTAGTCAGGAAGCAAGAAGCATATTAGGTATTTCAAATAGAGGGAATTTAATCCTAAAACCTAGTTATACACTGCTGGAAATAGTAGAAGAACAAAAAAAAATGGGAAAGGAGAGGAAACCCAGAGAGTAGGAACTGCAGAAAGCACCTACCCCTCCTAGGGCTGGAACAAAGATGAGACTGTGTTATTATCTAAGCCCAGGAATGCACTTATGACTGCACCACTGGGGGTGCCAGGAAGGGTGATGGAACCACCAAGGAGAGGCCACCAAGCCAGTACTAGTGGAAACCTACTTGTTTACCTGAACTTCAGTTTACATGAAGCTATTACACTTACTTTTGGAAACCTACTTGTTTACCTGAACTTCGGCTTACATGAAGCTATTACACTTCCTTTTTTAAGCCACTTTGAGCTGGAAGTTTGATTAGTTGCAGCCAAAAACATCCCACATCCCAACATGGACGGCTCATCCAAGCTCCAAGCTAGTACTGAGCTTCTATGACTGAAGACGCAATTGTAAGATATACAGTCACACCCAAAGATCACATGAGAAACAGTGAAAGAGAAAGAACATTGCTTCCTGCCTTCTCTCAACTTCCAACCTCCTACCAGTGCTTCACACTGACTGAACCTACCAAGGGAGCCTGGGGTCGGTGGTTTGCAGTGGTCCAGGACCTGTGATGCACCTCATGGAAGGGCAAGAATGGTGCTGAGAATAAACAGGGAAGTAGCCGCCACACTGTATTTTCTAAATGTAATATTCCTTCTAGCAATTTCTCCATAGTTCTCCAATTCAAGGTCTATCCTCCCTCTCCCCATCACAAATACACATCTACACATTGATATACCCATATAGCAACAAGTCCCCAACAGCACAGTAGTGGGCATTTGTAATTTTTTTCTGTCCTGTACTTGAAGCCTCTTCCTATTTGGAGGGAATTCCCCATTGTCCAAAGACAAAACTCTAGATCCCTGACTTGCCAGTTTCCCTTGTAGCTAGGAAGTAGCACATGACCTAGACTCCATCAATCAGAGGAGCTAGTGAGATGAAGAAGTAGAGACAGAGAGGTTCCATCCTGATGGCGAAGTAGCCACGTACATCCAGGTTCGAAGGACCATAATGGGGGTCATGCCAGTGGCTGCATCTGGGGTTCAATGGCATTCAGGTTCCAACGGCTGTGGCATCCATGTCCTTACTAAACAGGTTCTGTCATGTGAATTGGCCCTTATCCTCTAGACTTCCCAGTGATTTTGAGATCTACCCAAATCTTTTCAATAATCTCATTTTCTGGTTAAATCATCTAGAATAACTGTCTGTTGCTTGCAACCAAGAACATGGCTACTATAAATTCCTTCCTTGTTTTATAACCAGAGATCTTCCTTCTTGAACCTAACACTTATGATTGTCTAAAGGCTTTAAGGAACTTCATCTCCTATGATATCCAAAAGAAATGAACAATGGCAGATAAATAGACTCTGGCACAGAAGCCTCCAGAAGGTGCTAAGATAGGCTGCCAGCCTCCAGCATCCAGAGGTGTAAGAGCATGCAATCTCCAGACATGACCTTGGGCAACGGGTGCTTGCCTTGAGGGTCCGGCTCCAAACCTAGTAGTAGACACCGAGTTGTTTTTCTGCCTCTCCCTCAAGGATTCACCCTGTCCAGGAAGCTCTTGGTTCAGTTGCATTTCCTGCCATCTCCCAGACCATAGATGGCCCCAGGAAGCACTGTCAGAAATTACTGATCTCTACATCCTTGCAAATTCAGAACCCCCAACCTCCTTCCAATAGCAGCCAAGAATTTTCCCAGGTGTAGGATACTTGCCCTGCTCCTCCTATTCTAAATCATCATCTATTAAATTAGTCATCTATTGCTGCATAATAAATCACCTCAAAACGTAGAGGCTTAAAACAACAATAGTCATTTATTACCTCTCATTGTTTCTGGGGATCAGCATTCAGACAGGGTAGGGTCCAGATAAGTTGTTTCCATGATCCACAATGTTCAGGCATCTCAGTAAGAAAATTCAAAGGCTGAAGGCTGCACTCACTTACAGGCTCATTCATTCATATGTCTGGCTGTTGATGCTTGCTCTTGGCTGGGGGCCTAGCACGGACCATCAAGTCAAACCCCCGCACATGTGCCTGGTCTTCCTTACACATGACACCTGGGCTCTAAGAGCCAGACAGAAGCTGTATTGCCTTCTACAGTCTAACCTGGGAATCCACGTGGCATCACTTCTACCACATTCTATTGGTCAAGGCAGCTACAGAGACTTGCCCCATTTCAAGGGAAGGGAACAGAAACAATCCTCCATCGCCACCCTAAAGGTGATGTGTCAATTTCTTATTGTAAAACAAACCTGTGAGATGGGAAATACATTGATGTGGCTATCTTGGGGAAATATTTCCTGCCACAGTCACCTTCAATAATTCCCAGGTTTAAAAGACTTCCTTGGACTCATTCCTCCTTGGATCATATGGCAACTCATGCTGCACCTGCCATTCTAACTATATCCCCTCAGTGAGTCCAGAATATCCTACACCTACCCCCCCTCTAAGATGGTAGCTATGCTCAGTGAGTTCCAGATGGTCTTCTGGCTCCTTCTTCTGAAGAAAAACAAATAAACAAATGCAAATGTCAACTCAAAAGGGCTCCCTGCTACAAACGTTAACCCAACGATACTAATTTCAATAACCCCTCAGAGCTATGCACTGCTTTATAGTACTTTTGCTTGCACAGGCTTATTAAATCAATAAACTCCAAGATGACTTTTCTGATGAAAAACGTAAATAAATAAAACTACACTGTATTAAGTACAAACATGGCTTGAAAATCACTTACACCACTCTTCCCCATCTCAATTTCCACCTACTTCAATGCCATTGGTTAAGACCCAGCCCCTCAGGGACTGACACCTCAGCAAGAAGTAGGGTTCCGCATGAGCAATCTGGTTGATGGGGGAGGGTAAGAATGTGGCTTACCCTCTTAAGCAGGTAAGAATGTGGCTTACAGAGTAGGAAGGGGAGGCTCTGGCACACTTGAGTTAATGTTCCCAAGCTAAGGGTCCTGCAGGAGCTGGACGACTTGGAGGTGGAAAGGCGCAAAATAAATTGACTGTGCTTTTAACCCTCGGGCAAAGCATCAGTGATTCATTGTTGAGAATTTTCATAACACCCTCCTGCAGCCCTCCTCCCTCAGGTCTTCAGCTGTAGGCCAGGCCTGACTCTGCATGCAACAAGGGCAAAGTGGTAGCGGAGAAACCAGAATTGGGCACAAACTTTAGACTGCTCAATCTAGGCCCTGATTTTGGTAGGGGAGAGCCGCCTTAGGATTCAACCATGGCTACAGAACAGGAGTAACTCGCACCTGTCAAAAAGCTTGAGTTATCAATGCTGAAATTTGAAAGGGGTTCCTCGTGATAAATGAAAGTAACAGCTATCTGGCCAGGCGCGCTGGCTCACACCTGTAATCCCAGCACTCTGGGAGGCCGAGGCGGGCAGATCACGAGGTCAGGAGTTGGACATCAGCCTGGCCAACATGGTGAAACCCCACCTCTACTAAAAATACAAAAATTAGCTGGGCGTGGTGGCGCACACCTGAAATCCTAGCTACTCAGGAGGCTGAGGCAAAAGAATTGCTTGAACCCGGGAGGTGGAGGTTGCAGTGAGCTGAGATCACGCCACTGCACTCCAGCCTCAGCAACAGAGCAAGACTCTCCTTCAGAAAAAGACAACAGCTATCCTTTGAAGACTCTTGGTTTGTGCCAGTCACTGAACATTTTTATGAGCATTATATAACAGCTTTATGAGCATTACATATTTTTTTAAGGTTCCGGGGTACATGTGCAAGATGTGCAGGTTTGTTACATAGGTAAACATGTGCCGTGGTGGTTTGCTGCACAGATCATCCCATCACCTAGGTATTAAGCCCAGCATCCACTAGCTATTCTTCCTGATGCTCTCCCTTCTCCCCCTCAACACTCTGACAGGCCCCAGTGTGTGTTGTTACCCACCACGTGTCCATGTGTTCTCATCATTCAGCTCCCACTTGTAAGTGAGAACATGTGGTATTTGGCTTTCTGTTCCTGTGTTTGTTTGCTGAGGATAATGGCCTCCAGCTCCATCCATGTCCCTGCAAAAGACATGATCTCACTCCCTTTTACGGCTGCATAGTATTCCATGGTGAATATGTACCATATTTTCTTTATTCAGTCTATCATTGATGGGCATTTAGGTTGGTTCCACATCTTTGCTACTGTGAATAGTGTTTCAGTGAACATATGCATGCATGTATGTTTATAATAGAATGATTTCTATTCCTTTGGGCAGATACCCAGTAATGGGATTGTTGGGTCAAATGGTATTTCTACCTTTAGGTCGCCGAGGATTCGCTACACTGTCTTGCACAATAGTTGAACTAATTTACACTCCCACCAACTGTGTAAAATCATTCCTTTTTCTCCACAACCTTGCCAGCATCTGTTGTTTTTTGACTTTTTAATAATAGACATTCTGACTGGTATGAGATGGTGTTTCATTGTGATTTTGATTTGTATTTTACGAGCATTATTTAACTTAATTAATGGAATTAATTAATCAAACATGTGTCATTGACTATCTGTCATGGTTTCCTGGAACTTATATTCTTTGAAGCAGATGCTGTTAGAACTGGGACTGAAAAACATCTCTGTGGAATTTCAGAGCCTGACACATTAGCCACAAAGCTGTAGAATCCATTTCTGGTAACTCTCACTCCTTTGGTGACTTGAGCAGTTGATGCCAAGTTGGATGAGTTACTTCACCTCTCTGTAAAGCGGGAATAAAACAATTAAATGAGATAATGAGCTTATGCCCAGTGCCTTATCCATAGGAAGTGATGGAGCAATGCTTAATAGGGATGAATATGAGAATGGAGAGGCAGCTTGGAAGGAGGGGCTCCAAGTGGCAACCACAGCCTGGGAGCCAAGACTGATAGCTGAGTATGTTGCAAAATGAAGTGGAAAACAAGACATACATGCAGGGACCTCAAAGGCAAAGACTAGGGGTTGTACTAAGCCAGGAAGAAGGGAAAAGGTCAAATGTCAAGAAAGATGCAATTCTTTCTTTCTTTCATTTGTTCAGTCATTCAGTAAGTATTTCCTAGCTTTCTGCTGCGTGCAAGATGCTCTGTTATGCCAAAAGGAGCAGAGAACTGGGTGCTGTCTGTGGAAGGTGGGCAGACAGGCAGTCGGGGGCTCAACTGTCATCAAAAGGCTTTTGAAAATACCAGTCCAGAGATTTGGGGGCTGCCCTGATGGGTCAGGAAGCAAGCGGAAACTTGCAAGTTTTTCCCACAGTTCAAATAGCTTCACAGGCCCTGAATCTGCACCAGTCTCTGGGAGTTTAAGAGGCCAGAGGGGCCTGGATTGGAAAGGCCTCTCTGCATAGTGTGTCCAGTCTGGACCATCCCAAGTAAACCTAATCACTCTTGGAACCAAACACTAAGATAGACCCAGTTTCACAGGACTCAGGCTGGCCCCTCACATGGCCAGAATATCCACCTACCTGGCAAGGGGCCAGGTGGTCAACAGCTACACCTTGCTGAAGTGTTAGAAACCCCCTCCCTACAGACAGGCTGTGGTGCCCCGCAGGGAGACGCCCATTCAGTGCCTTCCTTCACATCTACTAAGTGCCTACTATGTGCCAGTTCTGGTCTAGGCCTGAGGCTATGGCCTTAAATAAAACAAATGTGATCCCTGCCCTCTTGGGATTTATGTGCTGGTTGGGAAAACAAACAACTAAGAGTCTGCAATCCTTTAACTAAAACGCTTGTCACCAGATGTTTTAGGGGATAGAGAATTTTTCACATTTTAGAGAGGTTATGCACTTCAAATACCATATAATACGCTCTACTCCGTAGAATCCAGGCCAGCACATCAGAGTCAAGCATATTCACAGTTCTGTCTCCACACATGTAAATATTTACACTTGGAGGGATAAATTAAGGAGGCAGATAGCTTCCCATCGGTTTAGGTCAAATTTTGCTACAAAAACTGTAAATTTGTATCAAAAATAAACTGATGTGTGCCGAACTTGTTTTTTTTTAACATTCAGTTTTCAGAATGTTTGGAATTTCAGTGTTATGGAGAGGAATTGTAAACAAATTAATTTTAGTTCGTGATACAATAAAAGAGGGCAATATAGTCATGCATGAGGTAGGGATAGAGCAACATCAGGGGAGAGGGCCACTCACTATGCAGGGCCCCTCACACGCATTCTCTCGTGTCAGCTCTCTAGCCCCAGGAAGGTGATGTTGTCACTGTCATTTTACAGACAAGGAAAAGGAGAACTACTACCATTAAGAACCTCATTCCAAGCCAGCATTCCCTATGCTCCTTTTAGCACAACAGAGCATCAGACAAGCACCATCATGATTTTGCCATGTTCACATACCTCCGCTAGTTCTTAAGTTTCTCCTTTAAATCAAATCATGTTTTAATGTATATAAATTTATCTTTAAAGGAAGCATTATAGAACTACTGTAAATGGAAAGATGATATCTTTGTAATACACAGAAAAATACACAGCTCTTCAATTTGTTCAGCACTTGCCTCTGTACCACTTCAGCGCTATCTATGCAGCCCACACGCTCTGAGAAAGGTTGACCTAGGCCGACAAGTGGAGCCGGCTGGAGCCTGATGCTCTTCCTCTCACAAGACACTACCCTTCTAGACCAAGATGGCAGCAAGGATCACATGGACCCATTTCGCCAGCTTACCACATCCCAGGCCCAGTGGAATCTTCACCTTCCAAGGATCTTGTCTTTATCAGAATTAACTCTGAAAGCAGAAGAGCAGCCACCAGGAACTGTGCTACATGCTTTCTTTACAAACAATGCCTCATTGAAGCTTCACCACCTGGAACAAGATGCTACTGCTACCTTCTTAGAAAACAGGAAATTAAGACAAGGGGACACCAAAGTTACACAGCTACTAGAGACAGAGACAGAATTCAAACCCAGGTTTCAGGTTTACAAGCTTGTGCTCAGTATTTACAATCCCACTCTTTCTTAAGATCATTCCCATCCTTTCTGTGCAGCAAACCACTATGGCAGACGTTTACCTATGTAACAAACCTGCACATCCTGCACATGTACTCCTGGACTTGTAAAAGTTGAAGAAAAAAAAAGATCATTCCCATCCTCCCTTTGGCATTCCAAAGCTCTCTGCAGTCCAAATGTATTCAAGGCTTTACATACTGTTTTGCATTTCTTGTGCTATATCTGCCCCATACACCAAGCTGTGAGCTCCTGGAAGGCGTGGTCCAATTTCAGTGCTCCCGGGCCAGGTGAGGTGGCTCATGCCTGTAATCCCAGCACTTTGGGATGCCAAGGTGGGTGGATCACCTGAGGTCAGGAGTTCAGTGCTCCCAGCGGACTATAGGGGCTATGAAAGCAAGTATCTCTTCTGTCTCATTCACCTGTGTCCCCTTCACATAGTGCTGTGCCTGACAACTATAGTAGGTGCTCAATAAATACTTGCTGGTGAATGGATGGATGAAAAGCTATATTGGTATCTACCCAGAAATCTGGTATCCCCAGGACCTAGCACAGTGCCTGACACATAGAAGAATCTCAGTAAATATTTGTTGAATCAATAAATGACAGTCCTGTTACTTGAAGATGAAGCAGAACTAAGACTTTGAAATTCTAGTTTCTAGAATTCAAAAGAATATGACTTTTAAATGGGACCTCCTTCTGTTAAAAATAAATAAACAAGCTAAAGGAAGGAAGGTAAAGGAAGAAGTTACTCAAGATCAATTTAGATAAACTTAAATTTTTAAAAGCTTTGGATGTGAAATCACACCTGAGCCCAAATGCAGCCATCTTCTGGGGAACATGCTTCCATGAGTGTGCTTGCTATAATTCCCAGTTCTTGTGTCAATTCTCCTGAGACTGATGGCACAACTAATTTTAAGTGATTAAATGTGTTCCTGGAATTCTCATGTTCCTTCTGAGTCAAATGAAAGGTGTGTGCTCAGAGAAGAAACATTTAAAAAGCTACTGTTTAGTGAATGTGGGCACAGGTATCCCGTATTTCTCAGGGTTTGGAAACGAAATATGATGTGAAATGAATTGCATGTGAAGAGCATATTAGGTCCTCTGTCAAATCCATCCTTGTTTTATGATGTGATCATCTCAGGGTAACATACTCATCAGCCGCGCTCCACTGAAATCACAAATGTAACAACCCCCTTGACAAAATTCTCAAGGACAGAGAGTACTGCCCAGCACAGGGGGAAAACAAATCCTATTTCTCCAAGTCACCAAGTCAAAAAGATGCAGGATTGTTGCATATTATTTAATGAATTCCCATGGAAAAGCACCTAACTCTATGCTCAGCACATCAAAACAAGTAAAACAGCTCCACATAACCAAATTCTGCCCAGGTCTCAAATAATTATTCATATAATATGAGACAATGGAAAAATAGCCTGCATATCTTTTATTCTTTTCTCCCAGCAATCCTTTGGGGCCTATTGGCAATGGCTAGAAAGTCAAGGCTCAGACAACCAAGCAACTGATCCAAAGTCACACAGCAAGGAGATGACAGAGCTGGGAGGAAAATGCAGCTTTTTAAACCCCAGCAACTATTTTCCTCGTTTCCTGTGCTTCTCTCACTAACTAACCTGGCTATGCTTAGGACTGGTCCCAGTCAGGCGTGGTGGCTCACGCCTGTAATCCCAGCACTTTGGGAGGCTGAGGTGGGTGGATCATGAGGTCACGAGTTCAAGACCAGCCTGACCAATATGGTGAAACCCCGTCTCTACTACAAATACAAAAATTAGCCGGGCGTGGTGGAACGCACCTGTAATCCCAGCTACTCGGGAGGCTGAGGCGGGAGAATCGCTTGAACCTGGGCAGCAGAGGTTGCAGTGAGCAGAGATCACGCCACTGCACTCAAGCCTGGGTGACAGAGTGAGACTCCATCTAAAAAAAAAAAAGAAAAAAGGACTGGTCCCTCAAAGCAGGTAGCCATTTAGGTGGAGTGATTTTTAAAATTTCCCCACTGCCAGAAATGTTTCCTCCAATGGCTTTCCAAGGTTCCTAAAATCGCTGCCCATTTCTCCTCAAGATTAGGCGCAACTACTAACCTCCCACAGAGTTGTCCTGTATGGGTCTTTAAAAGAGCCCAGGCCTGTCCTTGTTGGTAAACATGTGAGTCAAGATGGTGCTTCCAGAATCCCAGTGCCCTCATCTGTAAAATTAAGAGTCTGGGTTACATGATCCTGAAAGTCCCTTCCTGCTGGGACATTCTCTGCCATTCTGACCTAAGGGGACATCTAAGGGGTTTGGCCACCTTTTCCTTGTCCACTTATAAAAGGCCCGATGGCAGAGTAAGGACAAGGGCACTGGCGCCTGAACAGAAATGTTCCTGCCAGAGGCTGGGATGACAGAGGGCTCGGGGCTGGCACAGCTCCCGCATCTTATGCCATAGCTAATAGGGCTCCCTGCCACTTCCGGCTCCCATCCCCTTCCCTCTCTTCCCCTCTCCTCACCCTGCCCAGCCAGGCAGGCAAACCACAGGCAGAGAAGCCCTGGCAAGCCTGATCTGTGGTGTCTCTGCTGGCTCTGTTGATGATTCCACTTAAAGGAACCAGTTGTGTTGGCATCTGGGTCCAGCAAATGTGTTTGGTTGCTTCTAGAATGCCAAAGGGAGCCACTGAAGCTGCTCTTAACCCCTGCTGCCCCCACAACCCTGCATATCACTGGTTCCCTGTGAACACAGAGAGCAGGAAGAGTGGGAGAGAGACTGACTCAGGAGACAGCTGTAAGACAGGAGGGCAGAGAAAACTATCGCCCATAGATTTTAGCAGCTTCTGGATCACAGAAACTGATTCCCAGAAGTGGGGTGTGTGTGTGTGTTTGATGACTGAAACTCTGATAAACATATGATTCTCAACAATACTCAGCAGTTTATATCTCTAATGTATGTTTGGAAACTAGGGGTTAGATTGAGAATACATTAGAGGCTGTTAGCAAAACAAACACATGTTTATAGATTTCAACAAGGTGATTTTTAAATAGTTCATTGTTATTTGAAAATACTAATTATTGGCAGTCACTATCTAAAGATTTTATCTGCATTTTTGCATTTAATCCTTAAAGCATCCTATAATGTTACCATGGCCGTATTGATTGTTTTGTTTGGCAGTTTCATCACATCTATGTTGATATCAATGAATAGAAGCTGAGAAGAGACTTGGAAGGGGGATCCTTCTGAGGACAAATTTGAGCTACTCACTTAAAACAGTTAAAGCAAATGGATTTTATTTAGTTCAAGGGCCAGCTACAATTGAAAACTAGTGGAGGCCAGGAGCAATGGTTCATGCCTGTAATCCCACATTTGAGAGGCAGAGGCAGGAGGATAACTTGAGCCTAGAAATTGAAGACCTGCCTGAACAACATAGTGGGACCCCATCTCTACAAAAAAAAGTTTTTTAATTAGCCAAGTGTGGTGGTGCACACCTGTAGTCCCAGCTACGTGGGAGGCTGAAGCAGTAAGATTGCTTGAGTCTGGGAGGTTGAGGTTGCAGTGAGCCTTGATCATGCCACTGCACTCCAGCCTGGGTGACAAAGTGAGACCCTGTCAGGAAGGAAGGAAGGAAGAAAGAAAAGAAAAGAAAAAAAGAAAAGAAAAGAAAGAATGGAAGAAAGAAATAAAAGAAGGAAGGGAAGGAGGGAGGGAGGAAGGAAGGAAGGAAGGAAGAAAGGAAGGAAGGAAGGAAGGAAGGAAGGAAGGAAGGAAGGAAGGAAGGAAGGAAAGAAGGAAAGGCAACTAGTGGAAGAACTGGGTTGAGATATCTTAGAGGATTTGGTTGGGAAAGATTCTGAGATTAAGTCTGGGCTCAGTGGGAAAGACTAACATGATTGACAGCCAATGCCTGGAAAATTGATTGACAGCCATGTGTACTGGAGAAAGAAGCTTCACCGCATGTCATAAGTATTTATCATCCTTGCTGAAGAATGAATTCCAGATCCATCCTCCTGAGCAGGACTCCTAAGTATGCCCATACTGACAGTGCTCTGCACAGCTCCAAAAGGGTACCACTCATATAGATTTTGATGTAAATGGATCCCCCTGAAATGGTACAGTCATAACCTGCACAACGGCACCCGGCAGCCCTACTCCTGTGATGCCTTATGGAAATGAAAACTGTGGCAGGAGGCAATGAACTGGACTGTAAAGATGGGTCTTTAAAGGGTAGACAGCTCCAAATCGGAAGTAAAGAGTCCTTGGCCCTGCTATTAATGTGTTGTGTGTCCTCAGGCAAGATCTTTCTCCTTTCTGTATCTGTTTTATAGCCTGTGAAATGACTGTTTTAGACCACAAGATTCCCAGAATCTCTGCCAAGAGATTTATCTGGAATGTACAGTGGATGTAAGATGAGAAGTAAGGCTGTAACTTTATTTTTTCCAAATACCCAACTAATATATTGATAAAGGTGATATTTCCTTTCCTCACAAATGCCTTTATCAACACAGTAATTCTCATACGTGCTGAATCTAGTTTAAATAGTCTATTCTAGTCCAATAATCTGCCAGCCTGACCTTCTGCCAGTAGTACTGTTTCAACTACAGTTACATTATCAAGCCTTTTAATCTGGTAGGGAAATTCCCTCCACCTACCCTTTTTTTCTGAAAGTTTTTGGTTATTCTTAAGCATTTATTCTACCAGAAGCACTTTGGAATCATTTTATTAAATTCCCTCCAAATTCCAGTGATATTTTCAATGGAACAACATTAAATTAATAGGTTAAATTGAGAAGCATTGACATCCTTACAGTGCTCCCAGAAGTGGAATACATCTTTCCGTTTATTCAAGGCCTCTTTTATTCCCCTCAGTAAAGTTTTGTCACTTTCTTCATATAGGTCTTGTACGTTCCTTGTTAAAGTTATTCCTGGGCATTGCATATTTGGTTGTTATGGTGAGTAGAATCTGTTTTCTTTTATATTTTACAGCAAATTCATGCTGGCATGTAGCAAGCCATTGATTTTATTTTTATAGATGTATTTGTACTACTAGATCTGTCCAGTGTAGTGAGAGCCATGAAAGTGACGAAACTTAATCAGAAATAGCCCCTGAGGGAGAGAGAGAGTCAGCAAAGGGGAGCAATGTCCTCACTTCTCTTGTCTCTCTCCCTTCTGCCATACCCCCCACTGAGCAAGCCCAGCTGGCAGGTTGGGGGGTGGGCAGCCCCCCAGCCATGCAGAGCAGTGCAAGACAGGCCATGGAATGGACTTGGGACAGACAGGCTAAGGACCAGCTCAGAGTGTCTTCATAAGGACTGTGGATTGCTTCTGAAAATTACATCTGCTCTCAAAGAATGAGTACTTAATTCCACCATGATGGTCACAAGAATGTGCAAACTGGTTTGAGAAGAATAATGAAAGAGGAGAGAAAATAGTTTTAATTGGACTATGAAAACAAGCTCATGGCCTCCTGAGGTGACTACTCCGAAGGGAAAAACCTGCCTATGGATATACTTATTATTATATATTCATTATATTATGTTTTACTATTATACATGTTATAGATATTAGACATATAATATATATGTACTATTTTTAAGTAGGTACATTAACTTATAATTATTTATTATGTAAATTCCAACAAGCTCCCAAAGAGTCAGAGATCAAAGATAATCCATTCTCTTGAAGAACCCAGAGAAATCTCATTTTCCTCCCTCCTGCCTTCCTCAGAGGATAAAGGCAGAGGGAGAAGTGACGGGTCTTGTCAGCAGGTGCACCCTTCACCCTTTGCTCTTCCAGCACAGCCAAATAAGTCAAATAGAACCCCACTAGGATCACTACAAGAAGAGGAAGGAGGAGGAGGAGGAGGAGGAGGAGGAAGGGGAGGAGAAGGGGGAGGGAGAGGGGGAGGGGAGGGGGAGGGGAGGGGGACGGGAAGGAGAATTTCTGAATACCAGTATAAATTGATGAACCTGTTATAAGTTATAATTTTAATTTCTGTATAGTTCAAATTTCTTATAATTAACCAGATATGTTGCTTTGAGAAAAATCTCAAAAGCCTTCCTGAAAGCTTCTTGAGGGGCTTCTTGTTCATCTCAGCTCTTCTCAGCATGTAGAAGTAGATGCTCAAAGAATGTTTGCAGTGACAAATAGCCCAATTCAAAAGTAGACAAAGAATAGACATTTCTCCAGAGGAGATATGCAAATGGCCAACAAGCATAAGAAAAGATACTCAACATTAATAATCATCAGAAAAACTCAAATCAAAACCACAAGATATCACCTCACACCCATTAGGATGGTCACTATTAAAAAACAATAACAATTGTTAGTGAGGTTGGGGAGAAATTGGAAGCCTTGCACACTGTTGGTGGGATTGTAAAGTGGAACAGCTGCTATGGAAAATACTATAAAGCTTCCACAAAAAATTAAAAATGGAACTACCATATGATGCAATAATCCCACTTCTCAGTATATATTAAAGGAATTGAAAACAGTATCTCCAAAAGATATTTATGCACCCATGTTTGCTGCAGCATTATCCTCAATGTTGTGGAAGCAACCTAAATGTCAGATGAGTGAATAAAGAAAATGTGATATATACACTATATACACACAATGGAATATTAGCCTTAAAAAGGAAGGAAATTCTGATGCATGCTACAACATGGATGAACCTTGAGGACATTATGCTAAGTTAAATAAGTCAGTCACAAAAAGGCAAATACAATATGATTTCACTTACATGAGATAAGTAGTTGAATTCATAGAAACAGAGAGTAGAATGGGGCTGGGGGAGGCGGAATGGGGAGTTGTTGTTCAATGGGTCTGCAGTTTCATTCATGTAAGATGAACAAGTTCTACAGATCTGCTGTACAAAGAAGTCCATAGAGTTAACAATGCTGTAATGTGTACTTAAAAACTGTTAAAGGGGTAAATAGATGTTATGTATTTTTTAACCACCATTTAAAAAAAAAAAAGGAATGTTTGAAATGAGGTGAAGTTGAACCTATTCAAAGACAAATGACTGACATGCTAACTCCTGGGGCCCTCCCACTCTTCAAGGCCCCACCCTGGGTGACATTTCCTGTTGCCACATCTTAGTCAACAGCCCAGTTGATGGTAGAGTCAGTGTTTTTCCCAAGTTTGTGTCTCCCACACAATCTGACATGATGCCTGGCACAAAGCCCTTGCTCAACCGATGTCCATGGAACAAATGAAAGAGTGGATGTAATGGATCCTCACTTTCCCCATCTATAAAATGTGGAAAACACCTGCCTTTTAAGCAGTGTGTGCAGTGGAGAAATTCCTCTTCATCCCTTTGCTGGTGGGAGGTGAGAATGTGGGGGTTTTCCTTCCTCCTATGCCTCTGGCGTGTGTCTATTCCCCTCCTGATGAGTCATACAGGAATCAGACACTGTCGCTCTCGGACAGAACACGTCAGGTACTTGCTTGGGAGCAGCAGGCCCATGAATCTGTGCTGCATCCCCCGCGGTTACCTAGGGAACTCTGGGGCACAGCCAGGAAGGGGGACTCTGCAGACAGAGAAGGCTCTGGCCAGTGTCCCCACCTCTGCCTCAACAGCCCGGCAGGACCTTACCATTCTCTAGTTTGGAACCAGCATCCTGTCCCTCTAGAGGACCCAGGCAAGAGGCCCTGAAAAGCATCAAGGTTCCCACCCCAAATGTTCAAACAGGCAGAAGCAATCAGTTAGCAAATGACTGCACCAGGAATCAGGGCAGCTGGGACCTGGCCCTGTGTCTTAGTCCTTCCCTGTACCCAGGCAACAATAAGTAAATCCCTCTTCCTTCCACTCTCTGTCCATGTGAAGCCTAAATGACGCAATATACTAAACTGCTTAGCATAGCCCTGATATCTAGCAAACAATTAATAAAAGCAGCTGTAAATTTAACTACTATTTTTGTTATTAGTAGGAGTAGTGGTATATTATCCTCACTATGATCCTCCAAGTGTTATCCCATTTTACAGATGAGGAAACTGGACTCAGTGGTTAAGTGACTTGCTCAAAGTCCTTTAGCTAAGAATTGGATCCACTGGTAATGGCCAAGTAGCTACTTTAAAGGGTAGAAATTATTCTGGCAACTCCCGTGGGAGTGTGTGGGAAGGGCGGCCACATTCACTCAGCTCCATTCACACCCAGACAGGCTCTCTTACTGTGGCTGCATAGCAACCAGAACACCTCCAGACCTGGCTCCAAACCTCACATCCCCTCATCTTCAAATCCCATGTCTTAAGAGCACCTGGGTACTCCTTGGCTCTGATTGGGTCAGGAGTCCTCCCCTAGAGCTGGAGGGGAGGGTCCGCCTGGGCCCGACAGGTGGAAGACTCAGGGCACAGCTTCCGTTACAAAGGGAGGCTAAAAGTAGGCTGGGGTCCAAACAAAAGTCACCTGACCTGTACACACACACACCTGTATGTGTGTGTGCACGTGCATGTATGCGTGTGTGTGTGTAAATACTAGAAAGCATTTGCCGAAATGTTAACAACGATGTTCTCTTGATAGTGAAATGAGACTGATTTTCTTTTCATTTTGTATGTCTTTCCATAGTTTTGCAATGAGCACAATTTACCTTAATAATTTTTAAAAAGCTGCTTGCATTTGTTTAGTATTTGAACAATGAAAATAGCATACAGTTATTTTTAAGACTATGGGTCTGGACATTAGAGACCTCAGTTCTGGTTCTGGCTCTGAGTGACCATGGTCAAGTAACTTGCCTGGCCTCAGTTTCCCCACCTGGGAAATGAGGAAAGGGCTACACAACTTCTACAGTCCCTTCCAGCTCTGATTCTAAATGCCTCTCTCCTATGAAGGCACAGCACATGAAAAAGTGTGGATAAGCTAGGTTCTAGGAGACCTGCTTTAATTCAAGGAAAGTAGTTGTTCCCAAAAAGAAATTAATCCTGAATGCAAATGGGTACATTTGTGGAACTGAAAAAGTTTCCTCACAAATCGTGTGTGCTTCCCAGAACCTTAATGGAAGGCACCTCCTCAATGGAGACCAGGTGGCCTACTCCAGCCCAGAAAAATCTCTCCCTCCCTTAGACGGAAGAAGGATTAGCATTACTGAGTGAGCCTACTATGTGTCAGGCCCACTCCAAAGTGCATTATACACATTGTCTAATTTAAATTCATAGCACTTGTGATCATCAGTTGTTTGGCAAGTAACAAGATACTGAAGTCTCCTGAAGTGTTGTTTAACTGCCACACCATTATTGAATGTGAGTCCATGACTCTCTTCCCATAAAGAGCCTTGGGAGAAAGAAATACTTTTAATTCATCCTTGTATGAACTTCAGACCCTAACACAGTGCTCAATAAATATCTGCTAATCACTAGAATCTTCCTCCTATCATCAGTGTTTGATGGGCTCCATAGAGTCAAGAATTTGACCAGCTCATTGGAGCACACAGCTTTAGTTAAGAAAGTGATGATCTTAGTTAAAACTGAAAGGAGAGGAAGAGGAGCCAACAGATCAAGTCACTATCCAGCGTTAGCAGGAACCTATCTCTTTGAAGAGTTCATAACATGCACCAGGCCTGTAGGAAATAGGACATTGGTAGAATTTGAGAACAAAAGGTTAGAAAAGGTCAGATTTGGGGGTTGCTGGAAGCAACAGGAGACCATTGGGATCTTGGGGAGGGGTTATAGTTGAAAGGAAGAGAGGGTTGCAGAGAGGAGAATAGGTTTCTAACACAAAATTCACTACAGAAATAGAAAAATTGTGATAGACACATAGACAATCCAACAAAGCAAGCCTCCTCCTACACAATTTTGCATGCTGGAAGCTGAGGTTGCAGGAATGCAATGGGCATTTGGAATCAAAAAGGCTGGGCCAGAAACAAGAATGATAACTTTAAAATGTCTAAAAAGAGAATGCCATTGAAAGACAAAAGTTTCACAAATACTGCTTTATTTTGACTTTCAGTTAAGGCTGAGATCAAACTGTCCTTTTCATTCATTCATTCACTCACTCATCTAATAAATATTTACTGAGCACTTACTAACCATTAGACAATGCACTAGTCCCTTGGAGGAACAAAAAGAAACACTGCCCTGCTCTCATTGAGCCTGAAGCCTAGGGAGAGAGACAGAGTGTGATCAAAGAGTCATATGCAGAAGTATGTAACCACAAACCATAGCAAATGCTATAAAAGAGAGAGAGGTGATTTTCTGGGTGTGGAAAACAAAGGAACCTTGCCTAGACTGAGTGGGGAGGGGCAGGACAGTCTTCCCTGAGGAAATGACCCTGAGCTGAGGTGTGATGAATGGAGACACTAGGCAAGAATAAACTACAGCAAGTGAAAGTCAATGCCATTTTTTTTTTTTTGAGTCAGAGTCTTGCTCTGTCACCCAGACTGGAGTGCAGAGGTGCAATCTTGGCTCACTGCAACTTCCGCCTCCCAGGTTCAAGCAGTTCTCCTGTCAGCCTCCCAAATAGCTGGGATTACAGGCACACAGCACCACACCAGGCTAATTTTTGTATTTTTAGTAGAGATAGGGTTTCGCCACATTGGCTAGGCTGGTCTTGAACTCCTGACCTCAGGTGATCTGCCAGCCTCAGCCTTACAAAGTGCTGGGATTACAGGGGTAAGCCACCGCACCAACCACAATGCCATTTTTAATGAGCCCAGTGGAGGCAAGACTGGCCAGACTGGCAATCAGAAAACCTGGGTTTAAGACCTGCATCCTATAAGAATCCTCTCTATGAGACATTCAACCAAGTTAAGAACCCTCTCTATAGACATTCAACCAAGTTATGCATATAAGAACCCTCTCTATGAGACATTCAACCAAGTTATGTGTATAAGAACCCTCTATATGAAACATTCAACCATTTTACAGATGACCTCCATTGGATCATCTGTAAAAGTGGGGATGTTGGACCAAAATAATGTTTCTCAAAATGTAGTCTTCTGCAATCAAATCATTGGGTTACTTACAAAAATATAAATTCCTGAACCCCATTTCAAACCTGCTGAATTAGGATATCTAAGGCTGAAGCCCAGGAATCTGCATCTTAAGGCTTGCTCTAGATGACTTTTATTCCCTGTAAAGTTTGAGCATAGCTGGCTATGCAGACAAACCTTTGCCTACTCAACACTCTACATTCCTTCCTTTCTAAATTCCAGGCTCTTGATGGAGCAGGACCAAGAAGGGGAAAAGTGAGCAGTTCCCTAGACTGAACAAAGGAAAATTCTAAAGTTTTTGAGTGGCAACAAAGGGCCAAACTTTCGCACCTGGAGATGATCCATCTGTTTTAAGGAGAAGTTCCCCGGCTTGACTTGAGAGCTCCAGACTGAATACTCTTTTTTCTTTTCCACTTAGTCCCTGGGATTTAATTGAAAATACAAATTCCCTGGCATTCACTCCCTTCCCTTTGCTTCCTTCTCTTCATCCCCTTCCCAGAGGACCTGGAAGATGGAGGTTCACACGAGTCCCCCTGCCTTCCCTGCCCTTCTAGGGTATGAATGGCCAGCCTCCAGTGAGATGATTTATAGCCTTCGAGCCTCTTTGGTCTGATACACAAGGAAAATTCCTGTTGACACTAATTGTACCAATGGCCATGAATTATATAGTCCAAGGACCTGCCACTCCACCTGCTGAACTGAGCTGGGTTTCTCTCCCAATGCACAGCAAGTTCACTGGCCAACTGCCTGCCACACCCCATTCCCCAAGCTCACCAACACCCACACCGGCTTGATCTCCAACCTCACTGTGGATAGAAATATTTCCAACAAGCCCTGGCTCTCTGGATATGGCAATTTCAGAAGTTGCCTCTCAAAGGCCAGATATATTATTTCTGCCTACCTGATAAGATTCTTGTATTAGAATGAGATAATTCATGTAAAGTATATAACAGATGCCTAGTACACAGAAGTTCTCAACAAATGTTAGCTGTTATTATTTGTATTGTTGTTCTTTTACCAGCCGCTGTTTGTTCAGGGCAATTTATGTCAGAAAAAAAAAATGCATCAGTGACATCATTTGGCAAGTAAAGCTCTGTAAGGATAGCTGAGAGATTAACAGAGAAAATCTGTACCTAAATACTCCAGATACTGAGAAATCTTTTGTGTGTTTTTAAGATTATACAAAAATATCCATAATAACTAACATTTATTGAGAGCTTTCTAGGTGCCAGGCACAGTTCCATTTAATCTTCCCAACAACTCCATGTGGTAAATACTATTAAAATCCCCATTTTACAGATAAACAGATAGAAGCTTAAATAAATAAAGTAACTTGCCCAAGGTCACAAAGCCAGGAAGTGGCAGGAGCTAGAATTTTATCTGTCTGGATGAAGCCAGTTTGGTGTTTAATAAGCTACTTCCTTAGGGCTAACTGGCGTTTCTCATGCTGTCTTTGTCTTTGGCATCTATAGCTGTTTGTTCTCTCTCTCTCTCTCTCTGTCACACACACACACACACACACACACACACAGAGTTGGTTGCCATCATGGGACCAATAATTTTTGCCCTCCTTAAAGACAATTATTGAATCAGGTCTCCCACCCTTCTTGGAAGAGTTAAGGCAGGATCCTGACATAAACTCACTTAAGGTTCCCCAGGAAGTGTTAGGAGGAGAGATTCAATCCTCAGACCTCACCATGGAGACAGGCACATATTTGTGTTGTGCACACAGCCCAGCACAACTTCTGCCTCTCTGGACTGCCTGTGCTCTAATCCCATTTCTGAGTAATTTTGGACAAGTTAATGAATCTCTCTTATCTTCAGTTTTCTCACCTGTAAATTGGAGCTAACGGTATCAACCACGCTATGGTTTGAATATGGTTTATTTGGCCCCATCAAGTCTCATGTTGAAATTCGATCCCCCAGTGTTGAAAGTGGGGCCTGGTGGGAGGTGTTCGGATTGTGAGGGAGGATCCCTTATGAATGGCTTGGTGCCATTCTTGCAGGAGTGAGTGAGAGCTTGTTGTTCAAAAGAGCCTGGCACGTCCTCCTCTTTCTTCCTCTTTCCCCACGTGATGCCAGCTTCCCTTCCCCTTCCACTATGGAGTGGAAGTAGCCTGAGTCCCTCACCAGAAGCAGATGCCTGTACCATGTTTCTTGTACAGCCCCAATAAGCCTTTCTTCTTTATAGACTATCCAGCTTCATGTACTCCTTTACAGCAGTGCAAGCGATTAAGACATACCACGGAAGTGTTGTTCGGAGAATTAAATGAGATGACGCATATGGATTCACTTGGCACAATGCTGCATGCATAACTGCACTCAGTAAGTCATAGTTAATTCAAATGGGGCCAAAGAAAGCAGGCAATGCTTACCTGTAAGTGGGTAGCGCTCCAAAGGGCAGGGGAAATATTTGGGGCCCTCCCAGGCACTTGCAATTCACACCTCATAGCTAATTGCCATTATACCAGGCTGCTCCTGTCTAAAAGTCTCCACAAAATCTCCCCCATTCCCCGAGCACTCACTCAAGAAGTGCCACAAGAAGCCAAAAAACCAAAATACTGCCTCTTTCTCCCCTCATCTTTTCAGGACTCCCAAGGCAACCTTCCAAATCTTTTGGTTTGGTGTCCAGTAAACAGCAGAGACACACTGGGCATTTCCTGTCCCAGCATTCCTCAATGCACAATGAAGATGGGCAAAGGAAACTGCCTCTTTCTCACGCTGCTCCCCCCTTCACTATGCTCCCCGTTCCCAAGTCATGCCACATGCTATTTCCCAAGCAAGCCCACACTCATTCCAAGACCCTACACTGCCACCTCTGCCAGACAATGGAGATGAGAAGGCAGAAACCGCCTTCTGACATCACTCCCTTGCCTTGCTCCCCTGGGGCCTGGTCTGTCCTCTCCAAAGCTGGGCTCTAACACTTTGTCCAGATACAATTTTTGGATGACCCCAAGGAAAAGGTTCCCACCACTTCCTTTAGACTTTTCTGAACTTGGTAGCTACAAGTGAAAATCCCCCAAAAGGGTTGGATGGTTTGGTTCAGAGAGCACAAAAAAAGGAAGAAGAGAAAGGATGGAGAAACTTGAGATTTGTGTCATGTATTTATTTCCTTATTTAACTCACATCCCTGTTCAATGTCAGACACAATTCTCTATGCATCCTCCATTGCACATTCCCGTTATTTATCTTAGACTGTAAACTACGGGAGGACAAGGAAGGCCGGCATCAATTCACTACATTCAGTTCAAGTTCTGTTCCATAATAAATGGTGAAACACTTAATTAGTTCTATTGCCCAAAAGTGAAAGAGGTTATGCCTAGACAAAGAGAGTTACAACAGAGAGGCTCCTCAAACAAAAATAAAAGCAACAAAATGGAAATCAATTGATCAAGGGGCCCTGCCAAGGACTTGGCACTTAGGAAGCCCCTATAAGGAATTCAGGAAAAGTGTAGGGTAAAGAACGTATCCACAGCTGCATCCACAGCTTGCAGCAAATTCTCAATAAGGTCTAGAACCCAAAAAGTTTTAAGAACCACAGGTAAAAGACAGCCTTTTCCCTTAAGAAATTTGAAGTGGAAGAGATACATCTTATATATACATACATACATATACGCACACACATATATATCCTACATACATACAAACAGGTTTAAATTATAGAGAACATCAATATAATAATAGTAGAGTTCTTTGTTGAGTGTTTTTACGAGCCAGCTCCCAGCCTGAGCAACACAGACTATATACAGTTCATTTAATTTTCACAACCACCTAGAATGTGCATTATCTCAAGAAATAGAAAGCATTATCCTCTGGGCACAGATGAAAATAAAGAGGCTGAAAGAGTTTATGTAGCTTGCCCAAGGTCACACATCTGGGTCAACTAAAGCCGGGATTCAAACTCAGAATCTGTGCCATGCTGCAGAAACAGATGAAAGTGGTGGCAAAAGCAAGTTGTGGGCATGGAGTCAAATCTCCTGGCTAGTGACCCTGGCTCTACCTCAGACAAATTTCTCCCTCTTTCTGGGCCTTCTGTGTTCTCATATGCAAATTAAGAGCATTAGACTAGATGAAAGGTTAACAAATTTTTTCTGCAAAGGTCCAGGGAGTAAATATTTTAGGCTTTACCGGACAGACGGTCTCTGTTGCAGCTACTCAACTCTGCCATTATAACCTGAAAGCAGCCATAGACAACACGCAAACAAATCAGCAAGCTGTGTTCCAGTAAAACTTTATTTGCAAAAATAGGCACTAGGCTGGATTTGATCGATTAATTGTAGTTTGCAGACTCTGAACTAGATGATCTCTAGAGTTTTCTAGTTCTGACACTTCTGTAGTCTCTGATCCTGACTTGTGGCAGTGCAGCCCAGAGGGACCAAGGCCCTGAAATGTCAGCTGTAAGGAACCTATTGCCATAGGTATTTTTTGCTGTTTTTTTGTTTTGCTTTGTCTTTTGTTTTTTGCAGTTTTTTTGTTTGTTTGTTTTTTGCCTTTGATGACTTTAGGACGTGTGGTTGGGAAATAGATCCTGGCAGTAGCAATACCAAGGAAGCTTGGGAGGACTTTTGCCCCAGTAAAATCTCTATCAGCTCCCTGCCCTGGATCTGTGATGTGAACAGTGACATCTATCTTGAGAAGGTCATGGGGCAAACGGCTGCATGCCCACCTTCAAACAAGACTGCAACTTAAAGATCTTTTCCAGAGAAATTCTGGAGGCACCATAGATTTTTGGGCAAAGTGATAGTGGCAAGCCCATGGCCAGCAAGGGTCAGCCAGAGCCATTCAAGAAGGCAGCACACACTCCCCTTCACCCTCGATTCTGTAGCAGCATGGGTGGGTTTTGGCAGCCTGTTTACACTGTCCCACCAGAATAGCACGAAGGCATAAGAGAGAATGGATCTGCTCTCTAGTTCAGAGACAGCAGGCCTTTCGGATTCTCCGTCCGGCACCCTGTGCCTTCACACCCCAGCCCCCGCCTCACTCCCCAGCTCCCAGGCTCTCCCCAAACATGTGATGTGCATTCAGCCCCTGGGTGACTTTCAACCCCTGGGTGACTTGCCAGTTAATCTTTACCAGCCTGCTGCAAAGGGCTGCCACTGAGCTCTCTCTGCCTTACCAGGGAGTGCTGTATGACTGGCAGTTCTGGGTTGGGGGAATGCATGCTCACCAGAGAGTGACAAGTTGTAATTACCAGAGAGAAAACAGTCCTACCCAGAGGGAGCTGAAATTCCTCACTCTTGGGAGCCTCTGACCTGCTGCCTTTGGAGGTAGAAGAGAAGGCTTTGCTGTAGTTAGTGTACCCCACCCAGAAGAAAGAATGCATCTCATCCTCCCACCAGGGTACAGGTGGGGCAAAAATTCTTCTTCGAGTCCCCACAGACCCTAGTGTACCTCCTAAAGCAGATGCCTCACTCCTCCAATTCCTTTTTTGTGTTTAGCCTCATTTACTGGGTGTTGTGTATTTCAGCTGTGCCACTTGTTAGTCCTGTGGCCTCAGGCAAATCGTTTAACCACTCTGGGCCTCAGATTCCTCATCTATCAAATGTCAATAATAATAGTACCTACCTCATAATGTTATCATTAGGATTAAATGAGATAATGTACAGAAGGCACTTTGGGCCCAACGCCTGGCACCTAGTAAGTGCTAACTCCTAACAGATAGTATTACTATTACTCTGTGCTGAGCACTTTACACACATTTTCACATGTCATCCTCACCATAGCCCTGTAGAGCTAGGAACTATTCTGATCTTCATTTCACAGGTGAGGAAACTGGGCCCAGAGTGGTTAAGTGACTTGCCCAAGAACACACAGCTAATAAATTAGTGGAACTGGGACATAAACCCAGGTGTGTCTGATCCAGGCTCTTCATCACTTCACTCTCCTGACCAGGGTCATAGTAAACATTAAATGACAGAAGTGCAATTAGAATCCAAGTTAGCTCTCAACTCCCTCAGCAGATCAAGTGCTGGCCTGGAAGGCAAGGAAGACTAACCTAAGGTGCTCCGCTGGGGAACCTTTACTCCCAGACAGCTCTCCCTTTCCCTCCCCTCCCTGACCTCTGCCTTACTAAGGAGCCTGGTCACATTCTGTTCTCTGCTGTTATTTCCTTCAGGCTAACATTGAACCTTCTGCTGCCTTTTTCTTTTTTTAATCTCAGTCTGGTGCAGAGAGAAGGATGCAAGCTTTGGAGCCAGACAACAATGCTTTGAATACCAATGCTACTTACTCACTGAATGGCCTTGGCCATGTCACAGAACCTCTCTGAACGTCAGTTTCCTCATTTGTAAAATGGAGAGAATTCCTCCGTTGCATTGTTGTGAATTTGAGTAAATGCACATAGATTGCCTAACACAGTGCCTGGCACATAGTAGGTACTCTCTGAAAGGTGCTTTAGCATTATCATCATCTCCCACAGCACCTAGCTCAGTGTTAGGTTATTGTTTGCTTGGTTTCATTCATCTTTGGTTCACCCACGGTACTTAGCATGGTGCTTACACAGAGTACATGCATCTCTATATGCCTGGTCGAATTGAAAGCTAGAGAGAGCACCATGAAAAATTGCATGATCACAGGTGACAGATCTCCTCCCATAGATGTCTTAAGCAGATCCTTGAATCTCCCATAGCTTCAGTTTCTCTACAGGTCAACTTCAGTGGCAGCTTCCCCTGGAGGGTTCGCAGAAATGGGAGTTCTGCAACATCAGAGGTTTCTAATGCAATAAGATGGATAATGAAAAGATTCTTCTTCCACAAGCGTCGAGTGAGTCAGAGCTCTGTGCTTGACTTTGCCCCAGGGAGTACCGAGAAAATGAAATATCGTCTGTGTTCTCATGACACCTAAACAAATGGTCAAGTCCATGGGTCAAAAATCAGCCAGAGGGGTTAAGAGGCATCTCTAGCAAAGGAAGGGGAGGAGCAGCAAGGAAAGCACCATTAGCAAAGGTTGCTGTGTGGGGTCCTGCTACACGGCTGTTATTAAGGCTAATACCTGTTCCCCTTACAGTGAGATCTTTGTTTTGCCTTCACGAAACACACTGGTAAATGACAACAAGTCTGAAATCTGCAAGGATTTTGAACTTGTCAATCTGGCTCAATAATTTCTTCCACATCCTGACACCTGAATCAAGACATAAGTTCTCATCTAGGTAACAAACTATTTTCTTTCACAATGAGGATAAACCATCTCTGAATCTCAGATTTGCTCTTTTTTTTTCATCCTGGCCTTTTGCCACCACAGAAAAATGTCTGATAGGCTGAGTTTTCACATTGCAGCTGGTTACTGTGATTATGTAGACACAGCCTCAGTAAATTCAATGGTGTGTTGCTGGCTGTTCAATAGCTGGTGAAATTAATGCCCAGGGAAGTGGGAAATGGGCCACCACAATCAAAATGTGGATTTGGAACTTGCTCTTTATTTTATCCCACCCTTACCCTCCCCTACACCCCTGTCTTTGTGCTAATGCCAGCTACGTGCCAGGTTACTGGTATTCTCTTCCTCCTCCCTCTCCCCTTATAAGTAAACCAGCTCAAGAGAAGCCCCATTATCTTAGACTTAATGATACATTGGGAATGGTGGGAACTGAGTTCATGATACCTCACTCTCACCCCTACCCTGGAAGATGCATGAGAGAAAGGATAGCAGGTGCCTTCGGGGGCCACTTTATCCAGCAAGAGAAGCTGACCACCTGGAGCTACGGGATCTCAAAGATCATCTAAGCCAGGTCCTATCTGCAGACAGACTAGTCTGAGCCACCCAGGACCAATGACAGCCTCTCCTTTTAATAAAGACCCCTGACAGAGGGCTGCCAAGTTCTTCCAGTCTCACACCCCACTGTGTAGGTCATGAGTGGCTGCAGGAGCAGAAGGAGCACTGTCCTGTAGGCCAGGGAAACAGAGTTTCCTAACCAGCTCTGCTCCTGACCATCTTGCCAAGTCTCTTTCCCTAGTGCACCACCTCCAACACAGGAAGATAAGCAAACCAAGGTTCTGAGAGCTTCTGAAGATCTAAATCACTATAAACTTGTGAATCTCTTATTATCAAATCTTCAAATACAGCTTAGGGCAATTTAATTATAATAGAAAATAATCCATTTTCAGGACTGTCTCTACCACAGATTTCTTAACCCGAGGGAAACCCCCTGAAATTGTGTATTTTGCACATGTGTGGAGTCTGTGCACTTTGCTGGGAGTAAATTAAAACCTTCGATACGTGTATGATAACCACCTGCCTCCCTTCTCAAAAAATAAAAATAAAAAGAGGTTAAGAGCTTACCTCTAGGTTGAGAAGCTTAGATGTAAGTCATCCTGAGTGACTTCTGTTTTCCCCACCCGTGAATATCAAGTTATAACAAGTATCAAGAGCAGAAGGTGAGAAACCCAAGATGCAGGCTTGTGAACTGGAGTAAAAGAAGGTATCAGGCTTTACTTTTCAATCTCCAGCTGCCACTGCCCATTGCTCTGCCATATATTTGCTAGCCTATGACCTCAGGAATCAACTGACTCTCTCTGAACCACTGTTTCTCATCTCTCAATGAACAATGGTTATGCTTCTCTCAAAGAATTGTAAAGTCTCAAAGAAACTGAGTAAATGCATGGCTATCAGTAAGCGCTCAATTCATGGGAGTCCCTGCCCAGCACCAGTGGCTCAGGCCCCAAAATTAACTACTCAAAAGGCAGCTCCATCTATAACAGTGGTTCCATCCCCTACCTTGCCCCGGGGGAAAAGTATGACACAGTAGCTGAGTACCCAACTTTGGGAGAGACCCCACAGTTGAGTTCAGTTCCCAGCAGCTCTCCTCCATGCCTTTGTGAACTTGGGCGAACAGCTAAACTTCCCCATAATTTGGTGTCTCATCCATGAAATAGAAATGGTGAAGAGTGTATTCTTTCTCTCATGAGAGTCATGAGAAAATGCAAAAAGAACTCAGCACACTGTCTAGGACAAAATAAATGTTGGATAAATGTGAACTAACATAAAGTTCTTTGGCTTTTTCTTTCTTTCTTTCTTGGCCCATACTTTCTCTTCTAAGTACCATTCACCCACCTTTGGGAGTGCGTCCCTGTGACTGAATGTCCAACATGGATATCAGACAGAAAGGAAAAAACTCAACAAATAACCAAGATCCTCTACGTCCCTTCCCCAGGTCTCTGACCTCCCTCACCCCCACTCCCAGATAGCCAGCTAGCTTCCTCCCTCAATTCCCTTCATGTTTCCTCAAATATCACTTCAGTGACATCCCAAGCACCCACTTAACATTTCAAATCCACCCCACAAACACCCCACTGCATTTCCCCCTCCTTACTTTATTTTCAGCCTAACACCTGTCATCACATTACACACCTCATCATTTGCTTATTTAGTATACTGTCTGTCTTCTGTCGGGAGAAGCTACGCTCCTATAGGGCAGGAGTCCGTCTATTTTGTTCAGTTGCTATGTTCACAGCGCCCAGAGCCAGGGCAGAGAGTGGAGACTCCGTAAGAATCGGCTGAATAAATGAGTGAATGCCTGAGCGAATGAAAGGATGAAGAGAAGCCAGATTTTACTGGGGCCAAAGAGTTTGCACGGGGCGAGGGGAGCCAGATGAAGGATGAGGGCTGGCCTCAGATCCGACTCAAGTCCCTCCCACCTGCCCAATCCTAGAATTCTCTTTCCCTCTTTTAGGTGCTGGACAAGTTGCATATCCCGTTAAATCCGGGGCCCACTCCGGGAGCCCCCTATTAAAGGTAAGCAGCCCCCAACCCACCTTTGACACGGAAGAGTGACTAGCGGGGAAAATAACCCCAGCGGGCCGCCTAGGGGTGGGTGACCCGCGATCTCCACGCCCAGGTCCCGCCCTCGCGGCCCCTGCCCCCGCCCCGCCCCCCGCAGAGGGCGCGCCCTGGGAGCGGCGGGGGACGCGGCTGGCTTCCCGGCTTGCGGGGTGGCGGCGTCGGGGCTGCGGGCGCCTTGGCTGGACCCGCATTGCCCCCTAGTGCCGCGCGGAGTCAGGGCGCCGGGCTCCCCCGCCTGATGTCACCGCCGTGCAGTCAGCCCAGAAGCGGCTCATTGAAAGCAGACCCTCTTCGGCGCTCGCTGGGCGGAGGACGCGCCGCGGTCCGCAGACCCGAGCGAGCTGGGCACCGCCGGGCGCCCCCGGCCCTGCCGCCCCCTCCTCCCCGCCGCTCCCCCGCGAGCCCGGCCAGGCGCGCCTGACGTGGACCATTAAACTTGGAGCTGCCGCCTCGTCCCCTCTCCTCCTCCTCCTCCCTCTGACAGGCGAGCGAGCGACTCGGTGCAGGCAGGAGACGTGCTGCCGGGCTGGGCTGCCCGGGGGAGATGACTCCTCGCCAGGAGGGCGCCTCTGGGAAGAAGACCACGGGGGAAGCAAAGTTTCAGGGCAGCTGAGGAGCCTTCGCCGCAGCCCTTCCGAGCCCAATCATCCCCCTGGCTATGGAGGGCGGACTCTAAGATGAATCCCGACCTGGACACCGGCCACAACACATCAGCACCTGCCCACTGGGGAGAGTTGAAAAATGCCAACTTCACTGGCCCCAACCAGACCTCGAGCAACTCCACACTGCCCCAGCTGGACATCACCAGGGCCATCTCTGTGGGCCTGGTGCTGGGCGCCTTCATCCTCTTTGCCATCGTGGGCAACATCCTAGTCATCTTGTCTGTGGCCTGCAACCGGCACCTGCGGACGCCCACCAACTACTTCATTGTCAACCTGGCCATGGCCGACCTGCTGTTGAGCTTCACCGTCCTGCCCTTCTCAGCGGCCCTAGAGGTGCTCGGCTACTGGGTGCTGGGGCGGATCTTCTGTGACATCTGGGCAGCCGTGGATGTCCTGTGCTGCACAGCGTCCATTCTGAGCCTGTGCGCCATCTCCATCGATCGCTACATCGGGGTGCGCTACTCTCTGCAGTATCCCACGCTGGTCACCCGGAGGAAGGCCATCTTGGCGCTGCTCAGTGTCTGGGTCTTGTCCACCGTCATCTCCATCGGGCCTCTCCTTGGGTGGAAGGAGCCGGCACCCAACGATGACAAGGAGTGCGGGGTCACCGAAGAACCCTTCTATGCCCTCTTCTCCTCTCTGGGCTCCTTCTACATCCCTCTGGCGGTCATTCTAGTCATGTACTGCCGTGTCTATATAGTGGCCAAGAGAACCACCAAGAACCTAGAGGCAGGAGTCATGAAGGAGATGTCCAACTCCAAGGAGCTGACCCTGAGGATCCATTCCAAGAACTTTCACGAGGACACCCTTAGCAGTACCAAGGCCAAGGGCCACAACCCCAGGAGTTCCATAGCTGTCAAACTTTTTAAGTTCTCCAGGGAAAAGAAAGCAGCTAAGACGTTGGGCATTGTGGTCGGTATGTTCATCTTGTGCTGGCTACCCTTCTTCATCGCTCTACCGCTTGGTAAGTTGGGGACTAGCAGCAGGGGGACTGGGCATTTTTGGACCTTGGGTTTACTGATGAGCTTACTCTAAAGTTTTTTGTGGGTTTTGTTTCTTATGCAGTCTGTGCGTGTTCGGAGATTGAATAATATTGTTTGTTCTGCAAAGGGTTTGCAGATTGGGGAGCTGGCTAAAAACCAACTCAGGTGTTAGTAGAACACGCTAAGGCACTAGCTTCTGGAAATAGAACCAGGGAAGGAAAATCTGGTATGAGGAATGACTCACTCAACAGCCTCGGTTTAATAATTAAAAAGGATATTCACTGGGCTTGAATATCACACCGGCGTTATTTCAGTAGTAATGATGTGTCGGCTAAGGCAGCGTCACTAATGCAGCATACAAAATAGTTTGTAGTTACTGCAGACGCGGCATTTGGGAAGCAGGGAGGCAGCTCGTACACAGAAAGGCAGCATTCATTCAGCATTTCCAGGGCTAGAGCAGAAGCCACGCTTCTCAAGAGCTTTGCAGAGGCTGCATTCTCTCCCTCCCCTCTTCACTGACAGCTATCACCCAGATATACTACGTTCATTATCCGTTAATAAGAGCATTTTACAGCCACACAGCCCCAACCAGCCTTTAAGTTATTGAAAGCTTGAGATGTGAAAGAGAAGATGACTAGAGGGTCACACATTTTTAGTTTTTACCCAAAAATGTTTCTAACTCTAGTGATTTATGGAATGCCCAGAATCAAATTATAGTTGTCCCTCATCTCAGCTGACAGAGACCAAATCCTGGTAAGATGGAATTCAGTGCGTCCTCCCCCTCTTATGAAAACATGTTCGTCTTCTTTTTGTTTGGTGGTCCTACTAACTGAATTGTTCAAAAGGCTACCTGATGTTTTCTAAGGAAGAAGCCAAGGTCTGGTTAGCAGGTAAACCTAAAGGGGGGCATCTGTCACATGCTGTCCACATGGCCTGGGGATCCCTTGTCCTTCCTCTGAGGCACTGATCTGCTTTGATTCCTTCTCCTATCCCTGGGGGACACTACAGAAAATGAATGGAGGGAGTTTATCATGACACAGTCATGTGCCATGATATCAGGAGAGGTAACAGCTGCTATACTGCGGACCACATATGCCTGCAATCACACCGGAGTCTCAGGTCAGACCCAAATATAACCAAATCCCTCAAACAGCTATAAATTCTGAAGGCACACTGCTTTCAAGAGAAAAATGCAAACAGAAAGGAAGCAAACAGATATCGAGTTTCCATTTAAAAAGAAAGAAAAAGATTTTCAAAAGCCGTCTAACCTTTTCTCCATGTCATCTTTTCTAAAGCAGGCCTGCAGGCTAATGCCTTTCAGAAATATTTTCAATGGTTAGTGTTAAGCAGAAAGGGTTTGAAAAAGTTCTACTCCCCAGGCGTGATCACATACCATTGCAGGGAAGCTTGCTTTTCTTTCCCAAGGTCTCAGGGTTCTTTTGCAGGCTTGTTCGGTTTACAGTGGATGACAGTTCACACTGCATTGGGTCATTACAAAGATCATGGTTGTACATGGAGCTGATGGAGGTGATTTGGCCTCTTATTAGCCATATGACCTTGGCCAAATGACCACTCCTGTATGAGCCTCAGTTTCTTCGTCTACAAAACAGGGCTGATTAATATTTGCTCCATGGAGTTTGCATTAATGTATAGGAAGGACTTAGCACAGTATCTGGTGTATAGCAGATGCTCAATGAAAGTTAGCTATGAGCAGTACAAACCAAACCCCAATCTCCCCTTCGGTATAACTGTGTCTTTTCTCCTTCTCTACACATTTGCCAATCCCACACCTGTTACTAAAGTCTTGGAAGAGAATTGAGTCTTTCTTCCTTTGCCCCTGGCCTCCAGCCTGCAGAGGCTGTGACCAGAGCATGCTCAGGAAGGAGAAGGCCTCAGCAGGATGCAGGAATGGATCAAAGGTGCAGGCTTTGGCTTTTAGGGGCAGGGGAAATAGCTCCAAACAGGTAAGGAGGCTTCCAGCATATTCAAATGGGAAGAACACGGCTCTGGTGATCAGGAGCAACAGAGTTCCCATTTGAGCTTTGCCATCAATTAGCTCTGTGGCTCTAGGCTTGCTGCTTTGCTTCTCTAGGCTTCAGGCCTCACACCTGGAGAACGAGGAGGTTGAATTAGATTAAGGGATCTCAAACTTTGAGAACTATCAGAATCACTTGTGAAACTTCATAAACAATGGTAGCTGCCTGGGCCGAACCCCCAGCAAATAGGATTCAGTAAGTCAGAAGGATACCAGGAATCTGCAGGTATAATCAGCCCACCAGGTGATTCTGAAGAGGTAGTCCACAGACCAGGCTTTGAGAATCACTGGCCAGAAAATTTCTCAGTTTCCTTCAGGCCCAGCACCCTGGAAGCCAGGGTTTTAAATGCTGCCAATCTCAGACCTTTCCCAGCCACATCGTAGTGTGAGATGATGTGGCTTCTCTCTGGGTCTTGCTCTTCAAGTCATCAAGCCCACCCTCACTTTCTTCTTACTCACATTACCCCCATCGTCTCTCTCCTTTCTGTCTGTGCCTTTCTGAGACTTTGTCCCCCTAGCATCTCAGGTCCTGAGCTTCCACACAATAAAAAGTGAGAGGTTCTTGCCACCTTGATGCTATCTTGTTTCTCTTCTCCTTGCGATGAAAACTTTCCGACTATCATGCGACGATCTCCCAGAGATCTTCCAGTGATTTGTCCCTGAGCCGACCCCATCAACATCCTTCTTCCCTGAAAACCTAACAGATAATGTGGGGAATGTGGACTCTAGGACTTGAGTTTGAGATGGGCTTCAAAAAGTACTCAAGAGCTTCAAACAAAGAAGGTACTTAATTACTGTTTTCTTAATGATTCAGGAAGAGCATTCCAGCAAAATAGAGATGTGAGTTTCTACTTTCTCTGAGTTGAAATAACACCCAAGCAAAAGCAGCATGATATAGAACAATAACTTCTTTGGAATCTGAAGAAGGTTCCAAATTCTAAATTTTCCGTGAAAACTTTTTCACTCATAAGGGGAGGAAGCAGATGTGGGGGAGGACTGTGTTTGGCAAAGGGAGAAGTGCAGGTAGGAGCAACTTCCAATTGGTGATAGACTTTCAGGTGCCAGGATGGCACAAGATTTCCATAGCTGTGTTTGTTTTCTCCGTGGGAGAGAAGGGTTGGGATCTCTCCTGGGAAAGAGGGAAAATAGCTGTGCCCCCTACAGGATCCTGTTCAGGGGCCCCATTTGTTTTCCTTCATCTCTTATTTTTATTTCTGGAAGCAGGGTTGGGCTGCCTGCAGAGCAGGGCCTCTTGTCTCCTCCAGAGCTCTCCCCACCTGGGACATCCTCTCCAATGTCCTCCCCACCCTTTCCCTGTGGCCTCAGACCAAGTTGGACCAGGGACCAGTGCTCACTTACTCAGGAGCAGGAATGGACTCCACCAAACAAGGACCTCTTTATTTGGCCCCTGGAATCAGGCCAGGGAGGGACAGGAAATAATTGGAATAGAATATAGCAGTATTTCTTACTCCATGAGCCATTTGCAAGATGTCAGAGAATCTTCAGCTGCCCAGCATTAAAATGAAGGCTAACTTCCAGCCCACCTAGGGAAGGCCTTGTCAGGGTCTCAAGAAGTGGCTGAGCTATTGAGGATGTGCATTGCAGCAGTGGGGGAAATTGGGGGATGCAGGGCCGGTAGCAGGAAGTGCTCCGCAGCCAACCAGTAGCTGGGCTTAGTGAGTTGTTTAGAAAACACTGGAACCTTGCCTTGCTCCAAATCTTTCTTCTGTCTTTTAAAATGCTGGAAGGCACCAGGAAGCCATTATTGAACTAACTGCTTTCCCCTCCAAATAAATGAAGGTCAATTTCAAAGAAACAGTTTTGTTCTCCATAGTATTGGAACAAAATAGAAATCCCTCTCTCCATTGATTTGATCCTCCAGCCCTTTCATTCAAATGGGGGCTGACGAATTTCTACCTTCCACAAGCACAAGGTTCTCAGAGATGACTCAAGACAGAGCCACCCCGACAAACACACATTAATCTTCCAGCTCTGAGATTTCAAAACACAGGGATTTGAGTTGCCCACAAATAAATCAATTGGTTTGAGTACTTGGCAAGGGGGAAGTTTTTACACACGGGAATCCTTCCTGGAAGAGGGAAATCCTACTAAAGTAAAACCCATTTGACCATGTATTAAATCACTAATAAGGACTTCCTAAAGCATCTACTACATGCCAGGCACTGTACCAGACACTGGGTTATCAAGCCAAAAACAAACATGGCCCCTGATTGAAGAAGGCTTACAGCCTGGTGAGATTGTATTTGTTATTGGATACATACCATGTACCAGACATTCTGCTAGGCCTCCTACAGACGTTATCTCATTAATCCTCACAGCTACTCTAACAGGCAAAAGTAACTGCTCCCTTTTTATGGATGAATATACTGAAGCTCAGAGAGGTAAAACTTCTGGTCCAAGGTCACACATCAAGTAAGTGATAGGGCCAAAAGTTGAATCCAAGTCCGTCAGAACAGACCCATACCTGTTCCAGCACACCAAGGAAATGTCTGGCCCTTTTGCTGTCTGATAGCAACCTGTTTTCATAGCACATGTACTCCAGGAAACCCAGAACCACCCTGTCAAGAACTAGTAATGATGCTTCTGTTGCAAAATCTGCCTTTCTTCCACTGCCTGCTCACTTCTGAAAAAATAACCAACCTATGACATATCAGGGCAGGTCATCCATGTTCTAGCTCAGGGCTCGATGTTCTCCTGTACTGTGTATGACAAGGGTCTCTCAGGATTGGGCATTTTGTCAGCCACCCCAACCAAAAGAAAAAGTGGGAGGGACCTTGCCCTTCTAGTGATGTGGGTTCACATCTTTAATCATTCATCCATTCACTGAATAAATATGTATCTATTCAGTGGGTACTGTGTCCAGGCATTATACTGACGATATAATGGTGAGCGAAATACTTATATTTCATAGAATTTGGCTCTAGTAGGGAACACAGAGATGTTGAAAAACACACATGCACAAACAAACATGAACATAAACTGCAACAAGTGACTTGAAGAAAAGGAGTGTGATGCTGCTAGAATTCTAAAACAGGGGTTAGTACATCATAGGTCCCTGAGGCAGTGACATTTAAGTGGAACCCTCAACGGTTTGGAGAAGCTAATTCAGTGAAGGGGGCTGATAGAGGAAGAAAAGTGTGGGCAGGAGGAGGGGCACACTTGAAAGTCCTGAGGCCAGAGAGAGTGGAGAACTAACAGAGCCCAGAGAATTAGAAGGGAGGCAGGTGCGTGTCAAGGCCAGAGGCGTGGGCAGAGGCCGGGCCATGCAAGGGCTTTTAGGCCACATTAAGGACTTTAGATTTTTATCTTAAGTGTGTTGGTCACTACAGCAGGGTTCGAAGCAGATGAAAGATACTGTCTGAATCGTGTCTTTTAAAAGTGACTGCAGCCACTGTGTGGAGCATACACTTCAGACGAGACAGGTAGGAGGCTTTGCAGTGGCAGTGAGAGATGATGATGACCTAGACTAGGCAGGGGCAGTGGAGGTGGAGAAGCAGACAGCTTCAAGACCTGGGGATGGGTTGGTGACGGCATAAGAGAGTCCGCAAGAGAGGAAATGTGTTCAGAATAACCCTGGGGTTTCTAAGTAGATGGAGGTACCATTTGTTGAGAAGGGGAACAGAGTGGGAAGGGGGAGCCTGAACACAGCAAACAAGATACCTCCCAAGATTTTCCTCTGAATACATCATGCGAGGAACAATCTGCCAGACACTCTCATAAGTCAAGTAGACAGAATGTCCAACCCAAAAGCCAGGGGCTGTGAGCAACAGCAAATCTAGCTGCTCATCAGAAACATCTGGAGGAGGGGGCTGTTTTTAAAAGAATAGATCCTTGGACCCCATTGTAGACCTCTTGCATCAGATTCTCTCCTTGTAGTGCCAAGAATCTTAATTTTAACAAGTTTCCCAGGCGACTCTTATGCAGCCAGCACCACACAAGTCCTCCCCATGCCTAGAAACCCCTGGAAAGCTTTGCAGAGCAAGCATCGTCATCCCTGTCTTTACAGTGAGGGAACTAGAGTTCAGAGAGGTTCAGTACCTTGCCCAAGATCACACAGTTAGTAAATGGTAGAGTCTATCAAACACCACATTTGGCACTCAATAAACATTCATTATATTATTCCTATTGTTAGTACACTTCTTCTCCAACATTTGTCTGAGATCTGGCACCCAGAGATTTTACTGGCTTATGACGAATCAGAAAGTTAGGAAAATGCTGTGTTCTTTTAAAAACTAAATGTATTTCATGTAAATGATTCTTTTTCTTCTAAAGACTGTCTTTTCTATTTGGGGACACTGAAATAGCACTTCTTTGATGGAACGATGGTAATTAGTGGCAATAGTGTGTGAATGTCTCTGTGCGTGTGTATGTGTGTGTTGATATCCTACTTGGCAAAATTAAAAGTTAGTACCCTATGTCAATCCCTTTCAGAAATTTTTTTCAAACTTTACTGAGTCTCCTAAAGTCTTGGAATCACAGAAGACACCATGGCGGCTAGACACAACAAATATTTGTGAGGAAAACGGGAGGGAGGAAGGAAAGAAGTGACGGCAAGAAAGAAGGAAGGAGGGCTGGGTGAATGAGTTAGCCTCAGCTTTGATGTGAGATTCGGAGATCTGGGGCAGAGGGGCAGGGAGGGGAAGAATGATGTGTGAAGAGCTATGCCTGTCAGGTCTGACAGGATGACGGGGCCAGTCGTGGTGGCACCCACCCCTGCTGGAGCAAAACGGCTCACAGAAATGCCAGCAGGTGCGTGTGTAGCTGCAGTGCCATCACGGATGCATCTATTAAGATATGTTATGCAGGAAATGCCTTTACCTGAGTGTGTGTGTGGCTAGTAAAAATAACTGATGTCTGCTGGGCAGCACTGGAAATTGCTTTCTGCCATATCTGCCGAATGTTTCTGCAGTCACTGTGCTTCCTAACCACATTTGATAATAGTAATACTAATAGCTACCATTTATTAGGTCTCATCGAGTGCCAGGCTTACTGTGCTCTCCATGCTGGCTAGGAGTTCTTTCTCTGTATTCCCTCATTTATACCTGTCCACAGGATTGTGAAGTGGGCACTGGTATTGTCCTCATTTTACAGATGAGGAAACAGAAGCTCAGAGAGATTGAGTGATTTGCCTCAGGTTACCCAGCTGATCAATGACAGAACATGGACTCTAATGCAGGCAGTCAGATGGGTTCATCATTGGAGCTCTCCTAGAGGTGGGGCTCTGAGCCAGATTTAAGAAAGTGCAGGAAGGAAACTGGGGAAGCCAGAGTTTATTCTAGAAGGAGGAAAGAAAAAGCATGTGGCTGCCCGTCATTCAGCAACCAAGAGGCACCATATCCTGGTGAGACCATAAAGAAGATAAAAATAATTGGGTCGTTCCTCTAGGAAGATAAGTCAAAATTTCTCTTGTATTATTGATGCTTTAGAAGACTTTTTTCAGCTTCACAACTTATTATTGGTAATGTCACATACGGTTTTCAGATTTTTATCAAATTTGGAGAAACACATAAAATTTAGAGGACTTTTTTACAGTTTAGTTTCTGGCTGCATACATTTCAGACCCGGATTCACCACCACCCACCCACCTACGTGTGGTGCCAGCACCATGGGGACACTCTTCCATCATGAATCTGCCTCTGGTCCTGCCTCTTGATGCCACAAGATCAGGTGAGTTGGCATCGTGGGCGAGAGAGTATTTCTAGAAGCCGTTTTTTCACTTTGGAGTTACTGTGGCTAGTGGTGACCTAGCTATACAGAAAGAAAAGACTGTAAACCACATACGTATATTCAACAGAACCCACACAAAATCTGTCTTAACTCAACTCTTAGCTGGTTCCCAAAAACGTCCATGGCCCCTGTATTACCACCTGCATACGGAGAAATAGGAATAATATTTAAATAAGGGGAATAACCAATTGCATTAATAAACCTTACTTCTGAAAACTTTGTGTGGCCATGGTGGGGGCATTGCAGGGCCCCTGCTCAGGTCGTGTAGGGTCCCATGAAGAGGGAAGCCCTAAGGCTACTCTCCTCAGGGCTCTCTCCAGCAACCTCGTGACTGCTCTTTCTCCTCTACCTACTGTGGACGTCTAAGCAGTGACCAACTCTCTGCCGAACATGGGTGCTCACACAAGCTGAATGAATGAATGAATGAGTAGTACAGAGCCTAGCAGAAGAATTAAGAGTGCACTCAATTGAAGTAAAATTATTTGCCACTTCCCAAATACACTTTGCATTTTCTTTTTTTTGTGCATTTGTTCCCTCTCCCACCAGTGTGTTTCTCATACCCTCTGAATATCCAGTTCCTGCTCGTCTGTAAACATGCGGTTCTGCTGACACCTTTCTCGCGAAGTCTTCCTGGATCCCACCCTTTTCCCCATCAGTAATCACTCCCTTTATCCCTGGTTTATGGTGCTTGTCATGTTTCTCTCTGGGGATAAATATGGATGTGCACAACTTTTGCAGCACTGCCAGGCTGCAAACCTTTGCAGGGTCCAAGTTCAAATTGTCTTCTTGTCCTTCGTGCCCAGGGATGTGTACATAGTAAACTCAATAAAAATAGCAATGACCAATAGGATTCATACAGCGTGTACCAGACTTCTTCTAGTATTTGAACCTCCCACGGCCCACCAGATAGGTATTCATGCTCTGCCCATTTTATAAATAAGGAAATGGGGCCAGCCATGGTGGCTCAAACCTGTAATCCCAGCACTTTGGGAGGCCGAGGCGGGCGGATCACTTGAGGTCGGGAGTTCGAGACCAGGCTGGCCAACATGGTGAAACCCTGTCACTACTAAAAACACAAAAATTAGCCGGGCGTGGTAGCGGGCACCTGTAATCCCAGCTACTTGGGAGGCTGAGGGAGGAGAATCACTTGAACCTGGGAGGTGGAGGTTACAGTGAGCCAAGATTGCACCACTGCACTTCAGCCTGGCAGACAGAGCAAAACTCTGTCTCAAAAATATTAAATTAAATTAAATTAATAAGTAAACAAATAAGGAAATGGGCTCAGGGGGGTTAAGTGGCTTGTCTCCTTCCTCAAAACTACCACAAGTTCATTAAAAAGAGACTGTCATAGACTGGTATTCTAAAACCAAAATGCCAATCTGGGCCTGGTCATGAAGCCGGTGAAGCGAGATTGGCTAGGTCAAGACCCGTGTGGACACAAGGTAGGATCTTGAAAATGGATGGCCTCTTCATTCTTTATCAAAAGGCTGCCGTTCCACCTGCCTCTGGGGGAGATTGTCCCATTGCCAATTGGCCCTTACATTCCCTCACCCTCTAGCCATGGTCACCTGCCTCTCACCTCTGAGAGGGATATGGTCAGAGTTGATCCCTGCAGAAGCAGGAAAAGAGGAAACTATTCCAGTGACTTTATAGCAGAGCCAGATAGAGACCTCTAAAGGCCTAAGGTATTGAAAAGGGAATAATAAAATTATAAATTAAAACATGCACACACACACACACACACACACACACACACACGTATGCATAGAACCCTAAAAAAAATGTAAGGAAGGCCAACAATATTCTGATTCTTTCCATGGAGGTAACTTTGATTTCTTTAATATCAGATTATTTCACCAAAAATACAGGTGCCCCAGCTTTGCGAATGCTCTGAAGACACACTGGGTCTTTCTGTTGGGTAATATATCACTGTTTTCTAATAGGGTGACCATATGTCCCATTTCACTGAGATGGTCTCCTTTTATGCCTATTATCAAAGCATAATTATACTTATTATAATAACCCTTTCTTATTTTCAAAAGTGTCTCAATTTGAACAATAAAAATGTCTCCCTGTTTTAAAACCTGGAATAAGGGTGTTTATAGTGCAGACGTCCAATAGTACACCAGTTTCACACCAGAGCCTCAGATGGGGAGGAAAGAGAAACTGGCACTAACAGCCTCAACAGTCCAGGGAAAGATTCATGATGAGAGAGCAAAGCCATCATCCGTTTAAAAAGGAAAAATGTGACTTACTATGTGTGTATTTCGTGGGAAGCAGGAGTTTTGCAAATGTGGGCTTGAAATTTTTAAATAAAGTGTTCATTTATTTTACTTGCCGCGATGACATGAGTGAGTGGCTGAGCTAAGATTTGAATCTATGGCTGGCCAGCCCTAAATACTTAGGGAATAAATGATTAAATGAAGGAATGGATCAATTTCAGCACAAGCTAAAAGGTGCCATCTGAATGATGGGTGTCTTCAGAATGCAGAGGAGACAGAAAGAAGAGTGGGCTGAAATAAGATTTGGGGGAGGAAAAGGAAAGTGAGCTGTGTTTTAAGGACTTGTAAGGCTGGAATCAGTGCAGGGGGAGGGCCATCTTCACCCCACCCATCATCACCCCTCCTGGCATGACAGCACCATGAGTCAGCTCAGGATACAGTAGAATCTGTCCACATTGGCAGGCTCTGCTCTTACGACTCTATTGACAGCACACTCCTGGCCACACTCACCCGCAGCTCATCTGACCACCCTTTGAACACTCAAGTGCCCCTCTCTGGTGCGAGCACAGGAATTGTGCTATAAAAGTTGCACCAACGAGCAGTTCAGTTTAAAGTGTTCAGAAACAGAATGTTCTAGCACATGTAAGTGGCCCATTCCTCCTAGAGCCCCATTTAACTTTTTCCAAGTGTGTCTGCCTACAGTGTCTTGCTCCCCGCTAAGCTTTCTCTCTCCTGTTGGGATGAATTTGGGGCTTGGTTTTGCACAAGAATTTTTTGAAATTCTTCAAGACAGAGTTTCCTGCCAGGCTAATGTGCATTGCTTAGAGGCTGAGCTTAGCACCCTGGCCGTGCCCCAAAAGGAGGTTAAAATGGGACCAAGGGCAAGCCGGGCTCACTGTCATTCGCAGGCGTCAGCCCCAGGGCTCACACCACCAGCACTGGGCCGGGCGGAGATCCAGGGAGGCAGCTGGTTGGGGAGGAGGAGGATCCACCAACTGGAACAGCAACAAAAAATTGCATCTCCGATTCATATATTCAGGCCATTAATCAGCCCCCGGCATCAAGAGGAAGCAGTAGGGTCCCTTCTCCCAGCTTCTAGGGACACTCCCCACAGCGCCCATTTGTGATTCCTTGTCCCCAGCCCTTTAGCATTTACCTTAACACCAAGGTTCCTTGGCTCCATTGTTTCGCGGACCCCTTTGGCAATCTGATGAAGCCCCTTCTCACAGTCAACACATCAAATAAAAGACACAGGATTTCAAAGAAAACCAATTATATTGAAATACAGTTATAATGTTGAAAAAACAAATTTATTATAGAGTAAAAAAAGTCCTTTAACATATTAAATAAACAAGATCTAGCAGCAAGTCAAATAAATAACTACTATAATTTTGAAGTACTGACAAGTGGAAATATTTCAAGATATCTGCAACAAATGTAATGTTATATCACAGATCTGATTTCTATTGGTGACAAATCCTGCTGACTCTAGTGTGGCTGCTTGCCCACTTTCCTATCAAAGGAAATGCAAACTTTCAGCCAAAGTTTAGTTTGGGTTTTTTTTGGTTTTTGTATTTTTTTTTTTTTTAAAAAGAGGGTTTTTTTTCTCACCCAAGTTTATGGACCCTCTAACTCCAGAATAAAAACCCTGCCTCGGGACATTACAAAGATGTACTTCAGGATATGAGATTTTCTATACTTTTTTTCTTTACAATGTTTTGTAAAGAATGCCTGTTTTTAGACTTAGGACCACAGGGAACTTGGACCGTGCCATCACGCCTTGTAACTATTTTGCATGATTACTTGTAGCAATTTTTAAAAATCAACTAGTTTATTTTTTAATGATGCATAGATTCTTATTTGAATCAGAAAAAAAAAATGAAAAAATTATTCTGCTGTTACCTACCCCACATTCACACCCAACACTCTCAGTATTTTTTCTCCTGAAGTAAACATTGTTACCAGATTGTGTATGCTTTCCAAAATAGTCTATTTATTTGTAAGCATACATATCCACATGCGTATATGTATGTTTGAGTGTTTTTGCATGCAGAATGTGTGTGTTTTCACTCTGTTTATTTTGATTCGTGGTGTCATTTTAGAAACACTTCAGTGAAAGTTTCATTTTTCACTCAACAGCATAGCATATCTTAGACATAGTTCTGTGTCAGAATGCATAGAGTTACTGCTGGTTTTCATGGCTGCATAATAATCCATTTTACAAAGTGTCCTATTTTACTTACCAATTTCCCAGTTGATTGACATTTAGGTTATTTTTGGTCTTTTACTACAAACAATGTTGGATGAATACTCTTGTATATATGTCTGTGCCCACATATTCAGGATAAATTCCTAAAAATGTAGTTGCTGGGGCAAGGAAGATTTGGTATTTTAGGTTTAACCTGATTATGCGTAATAAGAAATTTAAACTACAGTAAAATGTAAAGTGGTGTTAAAACAAATAGGTTAGGCCGGGCGCGGTGGCTCATGCCTGTAATCCCAACACTTTGGGAGGCTGAGGCAGGTGGATCACCTGAGGTCAGGAGTTCAAGACAAGACTTCCAACATGGCAAAACCCCTTCTCTACTAAAAATATAAAAATTAGCCAGAGAATCGCTTGTACGCAGGAGGCGGAGGTTGCAGTGAGCTGAGATCACACCACTGCACTCCAGCCTGGGTGACAGGGTGAGGCTCCATCTCAAAAACAAACAAACAAACAAAAAAAATAGGTTAGATATACATCTACTAATCTGTTAGGAGGATTGCTCATAATATCTAAGTAAAAAAGCAAGTTATAGAGTAATGTCTAACCCAACTTTTAAAAGCTATTTATTAGTTTAGTTACCTCAAGGGATACGATGGAGTGAGGAGGAGTAGATTATTAGCTTTTTTATAACCTCTGTATTATTTCACATGGTGCAATAAGCAAATACTCTATTTGTGATTAAGAACATCAAATTAAGAAAATGTGATAGAATACAAATTGGGTTTCAGTAGAATTATGGTGGGGACTATTAAACATTTTTATAATTTTGGAAGAAAAACTATCAATGGCCAAAAAAGAAGATTGTTGTTCTTAGTCATTTTCAATCTAATTTAACATATATATAATATATATATTTTATAATATTTATTATATATATTTAATAATATATATATTATATATATTTAATATATCTCCCGCTCTGTGATTACCAGCCCCGGAACACTTAGAAATTGCTTTGGCCCATGCTGGGAGCAGTGACTCATGCCTGTAATCCCAGCAATTTGAGAGGCTGAAGCAGGAGGATCACTTGAGCCCAGGAGTTCGAGACCAATCTGGGCAACATAGGGAGACCCCCCATCTCTACAAATAAAAAATAAAAATTAGCCTCATGTGGTAGCACAGGCCTGTAGTCCCAGCTACTAGGGAGGCTGAGTGGGGAGGATCCCTTGAGCCCAGGAGGTCAAGGGTACAATGAGCCATAACCACACTACTGCACTCAAGCCTGGGCAACAGAGTAAGACCCTATCTCAAAAAAAAAAAAAAAATGAAGAAATGACTTCAGCCCTTTCCTCTGCTGGTTACAGCCCTGCTCATTCCCCCAGTTCAAAATCATGCTGTCAAGTTGTTGATTTTTTATTCGTTTCAAAATGAGAAGAATTTTCTCTTTCTTGGTAGCAAAAGGTAATTTATACGTAACAGCAAAATATAAAAAAGAAAGGAAAAATCATCCATAATCATATCACCTGCCTCAGTCCATTCAGGCTGCTGTAACCAAATACCTTAGACTAGGTAATTTATAATAAATGACAGAATTTATTGCTCACAGTTCTGGAGGCTCGGAAGTCCAAGATCAAGGAGCAAGAACATTCAGTGTCTGGTGAGGACCTGCCCATAGATGGTGACTTCTATGTGTCCTCACATGGCAGAAGGGGCAAACAGGCTCTCGAATGCCTCTTTTATAAGTACACTGATCCCATTTATCAAAGTTCTGCCCTGGTGACCTACTTGCCTTTCACATGACCCACTTACCAACAACACTGCACTGGGGATTAAGTTTCAACATATTAATTTTGGGAGACACAAACATTCAGACCATAGCACCATCGATATAACCATGTTTTAGTATTTGCCTATGCAACTTTGCAGAATTTTCTGTGTGTGTTGTTGCGTGTATTAACACAAGTTGGATCACCCAGTGCTTTTTTCACTGATCAGCAAGTCATCCTGACTGACTTCTTATCATATCGATGAAACTGAGTCTTTTCATTTTTTTGTTTTTCCTTTTTTTCTTTTCTTTTTTGTTTTTAAAGACGGAGTATCACTCTGTCACCCAGGCTGGAGTGCAGTGGCACAATCATAGCTCACTGCAGTCTTGAACTCTTGGACCCAAGCGATCCTCCCCTTACTTCATCCTCCCAAGTAGCAGGGACCACAGGTGTGCACCACCACACCCAGCTAATTTGTAAATTTTTCTGTCGAGATGGGGTCTCCTCATGTTGCCCAGGCTGGTCTCAAACTTCTGGCTTCAAGCGATCATCCTGCCTCAGCCTCCCAAAGTGCTGGGATTACAAGCATGAGCCACCCCGCTCAGCCTTTCCCATCTTTTTAATGCTGCACTGAATTCCATAATAGAAGGTATCGTAATATACTTAACCAATCCAGTTATGTAAACAAGCCATTTACACCAATAGATAAGACACACACAAGGTATCACTTTACAAGGTACAAATGTGGAGTGAAAAGTCTGTCTCTCTCACTTCCTTGGCCCCAGTCATCCAATTCCCCTCCATGGAGGCAACCACTATTAACAGTTTCTTATATATCCTTCCAGATATGTTCTATGCATATATAAATATATTTATATGATATTTTTAATGGAAATAACTTAAACACTATTCCTCATTTTGCTTTTTTCACTGGACAATGTATCTTGAAGGTCTTTCAATTTCAGTGGAAATTCCATTTCCAAATAGAGTAGCTTCATTCTTAGTAGCTCCATAGCATTTCTTTTTTTCAGATAGATCTCCATGGAAAGACATTGTAGGTTATTTTAAATTTTTGTTACTACAAAACAATATTTTTATACATCACCAATTTCCACATGAGTAAATATATCTGTAAAATTTTGTAAGTGGACCATTCTGAGTAAATGTTTTCATGTTTATAAATATTACCAGATTGTCTTATGTAGAGATTATATCAATTTGCATTTCAATAACTGACATTTGAGGGTGCCCACACATTCACTAAGAGCTGTTATCAAACTTCTGGATCTTTGCCAACTTAACAGGTGGAATTTTTGTGAATGAGGTTAAGCATCTTTTCATATGTTTAAAATAATCCATTCCCTCTTGATGTGCAATATGTTTTCAGTTTTTAGCTGTGATAAATACTCTGTTACACACATTCTTTTCCTTAATATCTTTAGGGCACTTGCTTTTTAGGATTTCACTGGGATAAAGTCCACTTTGAATGGTTAGATGAAAAGGCAGACTCCCGGGAAAGGCCTCAGATGTATATTGTCAAATTACTCTCTGGGAAGGGTGTAGCAATTTGCACATCCACAAAGTCTGTTTCAACATTGATGAAGAAGCCAGTTTTTATGCTGATAGCGTCTCACTGCCTGAGGCACAAGAAGTTTCAGGCATCTACGTTGACTTCCTCCTGAGGTGATAAGATGTCTTGAAAGCTTCAAATCCTTGCAGCTAATTTGGTGTCAGTTTTCCAGAGTTCAGGGCTAGCTAGCTGCCCTGTTGGGATGCAACACCCATCCATCAGAGGAGCCAGAGGAGACAACAGCCTCAGAATGTGTGTATTTTATCCAGGAGCTAAGAAAAAAAAGCAGTCAGCCACAGCGTATAAACAGATTTGATCTTTCACACGTGGTGGGCCTGGCAGCCCACATCAGTGGTTTGAGGCTCCAGGACTGACGTCCCAATTTAAAACCATAACAAAATAAAAGAAAACACTGTTGCCATCCCCAGGAAAACAATCCAGTTGGAGGCACTCAAAGGATGAGTTAATAAGGAAGGATTCCTCTAGGCATCCAAGCTCACCCCTACCCCACCGTGGGGGCCTGTGTGGATTGAGGGAATGCAGTAGACAGCGTATATTTAGATCAGGGCATGGCAAATGCACCACATTTTAGTTGCAAAATTCGGATTGGCCCTGGAAGATGCCAGACTCACGAATTGAAAACTCAATTGAGCACCACTCAAGAAGCAAGGAGCTGGCTGCTTGAGCAGATTCTGCCAGGGAAGGAGCCCTTTTGAGAGGGAGCCAATGGGCCCTGGTCAGTCAGAGGCATAATTTAATCCTACCCTTGAACTACTGATCTAGAGGGAGAAGCTGGGTTATCTTTAAACTGTACTAAATCTAGAGGTGTTGGAACCAGCAACTAGGACAAGGCAGGGGCTGGGTGAACTTTGACCCACTTGCCACAGGGTTGGGAATGGCACTAAGCCAGAAGCCTGGGCTCACCAAGTGATTCCCAGAATCTGACCAGGAAAGCCCTTCCTGTCACCTGCCTCTGTCACCGCCTTCCCACCCCCTCGTCTTGAGGAAGACGGCTGGCACCTTCTCTTCTCTGAGACACCCTTGTTAGCTCTTCAAGACTCCTGCTTGAGTTGCTGTACTAGAAGGAATAGGGACTTGAAGGCCAGGTGGTGGCTCACTCCTATACTCCCAGCAAGCACTTTGGGAGTCCGAGGCGGGCGGATCACTTGAGGTCAGGAGTTTGAGACCAGCCTGGCCAACATGGTGAAACCCCGTCTGTACTAAAAATACAAAAATTAGCCCGGTATGGTGGCAGGCACCTGTAATCCCATCCACTTAGGAGGCTGAGGTAGGAGAATCCATCGCCTGAACCCAGGAGGTGGAGGGTGGAGGTTGCAGTAAGCGCCGAGATTGCACCACTGCACTCCAGTCTGGGAGACAGAGCCAGACTCCATCTCAAAAAAAAAAAAAAACAGGGACGCTGAAATCTGACATATCTGTCTGGCTCTGCTGCTCAGCTTGCTAAGCCTCAGTTAACTCATCTGTAAAACGACACCAAAATCATCAACCTCAAAGAATTGTAGTGAGGAATAAACAAGAAACGGATGAAAGGGACTCAGCTGGGTGCAAAACACTAGTAAATATTTCATAAACGTCAGCTATTAATATACACGAAGCCTCTAATCTGGCATCCACTTCAGAGGAGATATTTAAGTACCTGTTAATATTATGATCATGACAAATTCGATGAATGGGCTATGTGTTTTGAGGAAACAAAAATGAGATGGGTTCCTTCTCACTGAATAGTCGGGAAAATTGTCTGTTAAAAAAGGGCAAAAGAGTAAAAAGCTAAAGTTTTTTTAGAGTGCCAGGTATGATGTTCACATGGTCAAAAATATCAGATGACTTTACCTAACATTTACGGTCATGTTTCTTTCTTTTTAAAATTGTTTCAATATTTAGATTTGTGATATTTCAGTCATTCCAAAAAGTACAAAAGTAATTTGGGACACCCATGAGTCTTCCATCCAAATTTAACATGTTGCTGAATTTGCTATACATCTTCTTTTAAGAAATAAAAATGTTACAAATATATATAAAAGGCGCCCCACCCCTCATCTCATTCACCTCTCTCCTTCCCAAAGGCAATTACCACAATGTCTGTGATCGAATGGACTTTCTTCTATACAATTTTTTTTTCTTTTGAGATAGGGTCTCGCTCTGTCACCCAGGCTGGAGAACCGTGGCGCAATCTCGGCTCACTGCAATCTCCACCTCCTGGGTTCAAGCCATTCTCAGGCCTCGGCCTCCCTAGCAGCTGGGATTACAGGCATGCACCACCACACCTAGCTAATTTTTGTATTTTTAGTAGAGACAGGGTTTCGCCATGTTGGCCAGGCTGGTCTCCAACTCCTGATCTCAAGTGATCCGCTCGCCTCAGCCTCCCACAGTGCTGGGATTACAGGCGTGAGCCACCGCACCTAGCCTCTTCTATACATTCTTAAATGTATACTCTTAAGAAGCAAAAATAGTGGTCGAGACTGAGGCTCTGGATTGTCAGTCCTGGGTTCAAACTCCACTCCTGCTTCTTTACTACCTGTGTGGCTTTCAGCAAATTGCTCAACTCTCTGATCCTCTTTTCTCCCATCTCTAAAATAAACAAATAACAGCTAATTTTGTTGGGTGTTGCAAAGATGAAATAAGACTCTTCATGTAAATCAGTAGTTCTCAACCAACAGCAATTTTTCCCCAGGGGACGTTTAGCAATGTCAGGAGACATTTTTTATTGTCACACTGGGGGTGCTACTGGCATTAACTGGGAGAGGCCAGGTATGCTGCCAAACATCCTACAATGCAAAGGAGATCTCCCACAACAAAGAATTACCCAACCCAACATGTCAATCATTGTTGAAGTGGAGAAAACCTGACATCAAGCATTCTGTCACTTTATAAGGGCTCAATGAACATTTGTTCAGTAAACACAATAACATAAATTATTATAATTTGTTCTTTGAAAGACATTGTGTTAAACAATTTTACATAAATTATCTCACTGGTATCCAGTGAGTTGCACCTTCTTGATGAAAAGAATGATGGACAGCAAGCACTGTTTTTTCTGCATGTCTGAGGATGTCTATACCATTTGTTAAATCAAAATGATAAGCCTATTAATAATGTAAACTTTCAGACTGATAGATTAATTGGAAGTTGTTACTTGGAGCCTATCTTCTCTTTGCTCTCCGTGAAAAACAAATTGTATCAGTGCTTTTAGCCAAAAATTAGTTTATTCAAACCACAAAAAAAAAAATCCCTTCAACCTAAGCAGGCCCAGGAACTGGCGTGGCTGTAAATAAATAAATAAGGCATCAAAATTAAGAGAATATTTTTGGCCCCTGTTCACAAGGACTGGCTCTCAAGGACTCAGGAAGCCACAGAGGCAGGGTAGAAAATGGGAAAGAGGAAAACAGCCAGAGCTCTGCTTCTCTGACTCACCCCAGGCTCAGGTGGACTTGGAACACTCTGTCCTGGAGCTGCTGACTGTGTTGTCAGAGAGCATCCACTGTGAGTGGCCTTATCCAGCGGGTCTTCAAGTGGGGTCCTCAGCGCAGCAGCATTGACATCACCCAGAAACTTGTTATAGATGACAAATCCTAGATCCCACCGCAGAACAACTGAATCAGAAACTGGAGGTGCAACCCAAGCAGTCTGGGTTTTCCCAAGCCCTCTGGGTACTACTGATGCATACTTAAGTTTAAGAACCACCAGCCTAATAAGAACAGACCTGAAGTTCCCTGTATGTGTATTTCCTGTTTTCCCACTATAGCCATGAAGCACTCCAACACCAGCTCAGATGTGGAGGAATCCCTGCTCGCTGGCACTTGCCTGGTGTCAGATGCTTGGCACATATTCCATAACTCCCAGCAGATTATGAGGAAGTTGCTATTATCTCCTTTCCCGATGAGAAAAACACAGCTTAGGGAGTTTAAACAACTTGCCCAGGGTCATACCTGCACAAAAAGGCTGGAACCAGGATATGTGAATCTCAGTCGGCCTCATGCCAGATCCTAGCCTCTCTTTTGTTTTTTTGTTTTTTTTTTTTGAGACAGAGTCTCAGGAGTCTCACCATGTTGCTCAGGCTGGAGTGCAATGGTGCGAGCTCGGTTCACTGCAACTTCTGCCTGCCAGTTTCAAGCAATTCTCCTGCCTCAGCCTCCCGAGTACCTGGGACTACAGGCGCGCACCACGTGCCCGGCTAATTTTTTGCATTTTAGTAGAGACGGGGTCTCACCGTGTTGGCCAAGCTAGTCTCGAACTCCTGACCTCGTGATCCTCCCACGTCGGCCTCCCAAAATGCTGGGATTACAGGGGTGAGCCACCATGCCTGGCCCAGATCCTAGTCTCTTAATGATGACATCATACTATGACATCACACTGCCCATTGAGGATGAAAAGAAACAGAACAAAAGAGATCAGCACTGCTCAGGCCAAGTTGTGAGCCCTGTCAAGTTTGTCTTTAGTGACCCATAGTCACTGGTCCTGGGGTTTGCCTGGCCTCAGGCAATCCTCTGAAGTTGTTAACCCCCCAGGTCATGACACTGCCCCACTGGAGGCCAAAGCTTCCCACACCTCAGTGCTCTCCTAGGCTTTTCCTCTTACTAGCTGTGTGATTTTGAAGCTGACTCTTCTCTTCTTATTATCAGTGATAATAATACATTCATATCAAGGTTGTTAAAAGAATTAAATGAGATAATATATGTGAACATATCTAGCCCAGTGACTGTTGCACAGCAGAAACGAATTAACTCTTGGTTTTCTTTCATCCTCCTCTACACACCAGCAACTATCAAAACTCCATCCAGAATCCATTCTGTTGAAGTATCTTGTATTGACCAATTAGCTAATATGATGAGCTAATCCTCAGGTGTTAATTCATAATAATGGTTTTCTGCATTTGCCTCCAAAATGACATCTGCATTTCAACCAGGGGCCCTTATCCTCAAAGTCTTCCAACCATGGAGTGATTAATGATGGAAACGTTAGGGAATATGGAAGACCACTGGGGAGAGATTTCCTAGCCTTTCTCCACCCCACATATCACTCCAATATCAAATCATTAGCGTAAGTGGATGGGGAATCCCAGAGAATGGGTAATGAGACTAGAACAGAAAATATGCCTTCAAGGCTGCACCTGGCTTCAAAGAGGAAAAATGAACTACAGGCATCTGAATCTCAGGATAGATGTGAACAATGCAAAAAAAGAAGTGAAATCAAAGACTAATGGGTCATTTGCCAGCATTTAATACAATTGCTTAGGATTTGCATAGTTGAATGTAATAAAGCTTCATTGAAAAGTAGTTATAACAACTAATAAGACCCTAATTAAATTAGCTTTCACTGGGCAAGCTGCTTGCGAGGTCCTAATTAGGTTATTTGCGGCCATTGGCCTAGCCTGAAAACCAAAGAAGACTCTTAAGTCCTCAGCGATGCCTAGAAAATCCAGTCTCTGGCCTTATGCAGGAAATGCTAAGAGACTCTATCTAAATTTGGGGGCAGCCAGTCCGAAACTATCTTAGCTTTCCAAAAGTCACAGTATGTGGCCAGAGTGAAATCCCTTAATAGGTCCCACCACTCTTAGGAATCAGACAATTTTAAAGATGGAAAGGGCATGTAAAGGTGGAAATGCCAAGAATTTCATTTTACAGATAAGAAAACTGAAGCCATGTGAGAAGCGATTAGTCCAAGGTCCCTCAGCAAGGGGCAGTGTCCCCAGCCCCTCCAGTCTTCTTCCACTGTGATCTGGAATAAACATAGAACTCAGAGCTACTGGTTTTCATTTGAGAAGGAAGAGGGAAACAAAGAGTGCTGGATTCTCAGAGGCTCCTTTCTTTGAAGGAGAGAGAGAGAGAGAGAGAGAGAGAGTGTGTGTGTGTGTGTGTGTGTGTGTGTGTGTGTGTGTGTGTGTGCGCGCGCGCGCGCACACAATGCACTGAGGATAGTTCAGCCCAAGGTAAATTGCTGACCTGCTTACAAATTGTCTTTGCAAAGATCTTCCTAGAGCACAGATCTGCTCAAGCTGGTACCCTGCTGAATTACCCCAGGGTGACTTCTGAACTTCTGAGTGTGACAGAAAAGACTCTTCACAATTGGAATCTAACCTACCCCATCTCCCAAGATAGGGCTTTGTGCTCAAACAGATCAGAATCTCAGCCCTGTCCCTCACTAGCTGTGCAACCTCAGGCAAGTTACTTAAGTTCTCTCAGCTCTCATTTTTTCTGCCTGTAAGACAGAGATGACATTTTACTTACCTCGTTGGGGTGATAAGAGAATTAATAGCCAGTAAGGCAGGCAATCACACGTGGCCCCTGCTGTTGCTCCTCCAGCCACACAGGAGCAGTCTCCCTTCCCTGAACACACCTGGCTCTATCATGCCCCAAGCCTTTGCCAGTGCAATTCCCTCTGCCTGTAACACCCTTCCTTCTCTCCTGTGCACTGTGAGTTCCTCCAGCTCAAATTTAATGTCTCCTTTGCCATCTTCCACGATTCCCCAGGCAGTGGCTACTGTCTCTCTTGTGCGATCTCTGTCCTCACTCCATGCCCATCAGAGCCTTGTCACACTGGGCTTCTTGATGTCCATCTCTCCCGGGAGACTGGGTCTCACCTAGCATGGGCCTGGCACAGGGACAACTCAGTAAGTGAATGAAATCTGATCAGAGCTGTGAAGAGGAACTGTGAGGGTGGAAAAAGATCGATTCCAATGTCACTTCTGCTCTTCTACCAAAGCTGAAATATAGTTGAATTCTGTGTGTACTGGCAAAGACTTTGCTTGACCAAACTTTAGTCTAGCTCCTGAATCTTCTTCTAGACTTATCTGTGCACTTCTTTGTAAAACCCAGTTTTAGGAAGAACCATGGTGAGTCAGTTCAGAAAGAACCACCCACATCGATATCTAATCAACCTCAATATCTAATCACTCTCAATATCTGATCAGGCCTCTTATCCTCCAGTATCCCCCCTCCAAGTGACATGTGATTACCCTGGCCTGCCTTCAGCAAGAACCCTGTTAGTTCGGTTTAGCCAGAATCACCCTTACTCCTGATGTTTTCTCTTAGTAATTTTCCATCCACTGCCCCCAACCCTGCTCCTTGGCCATAAATTCCCTCTTGCTTATTCTATATTCATAGTTGAGCCCAGTTTGTCTCCCCCACTGCACAGCCCATTGCAGTAGTTCCTATACCTGTCTCAATGGTTCTAAATAAAGTCTTCTTTACTGTGCTTTAAGAAGGATCATTAAATAACATTTTCTTTAACAGTATATATACACACACACAAATGCATACACACACATGCATATACACACACTTACACATACACACACACTCCCCCTCAAGATTTTAGCAGCAATTATCTGTGGTAGTTTTTATTTTCTTTTCCTGCTTCTCTGTAGTGAGCATGAATTGCTCTTGTACAAAGAAACAAAACAATACAAAGACAGTTCTTTAAACTGGTGAGCTAAAAGGAGATACATGAAATGCCAGCTTTCCAAGCATAACTCTGCAAAAGTTGGGAGTTACCTGAATTTCAATGTGGTACAATTCTGATTTAACGCATCACAATCTCTGAATTTCTTCTCTGTGTTGTCTGTGACAAGAGCTAACTTGGAGTTGCAAGGTGCATCCTAGAAGGTGGATCACTTCTCCGATAACTTTATGGGGACCTCTTGGGTACTGTCAGTCTTTACACACAGGAGAGAATAAGTACTGTGCTATCAGATACAGTAGCCACTGGACACATGAGTGTAATCATATTTAAATTAATTAAAATTAAAAATGCAGTTCCTTGGCCACAGGAGTCACCTTGCAAGTGTTAAACAGCTACGTGTGGCTAGTGACTGCCATATTGGACTGCACAGATTTAGAACGTTTTCATCATCACAGAAAGTTCTGCTGGACAGTGCTGAGGTGTTTTTCAGCTTGTTCCAAATATGGCTGAGATGTCTCAAGAATAAACACATCCATTTGGCCCACGAACATGTTCTTCCTTGTTCTTGTTCTAAAAACTCACATTTATGGCAATGTAGAAGGGCACAGCCACTTTGAAAAACAGTTTGGTAGTTCCTCAAAAGTTAAACAAAGGGTTGCCTAATGACCCAGCAGTCCGACTCCTAGTATACACAGGAGAGAATTGGAAACATGTCCTCACACAAAAACTTGCACACAGATGTTCACAGCAGCATTATTCATAATGGCCGAAAGAAGGAAATAACTCAAATGTCCATCTGCTGAAGAACAGATATGCAAAATGTGGTATATCCATACAATGGAATGTTATTTGGCCAAAGAAAAGAGAACAAAGTATGGACACATGCTACCACACAGATGAACCTTGAAACCGATACGCTAAGGGAAAGAAGCCAAACACAAAAGTTCACATTTTGTCATATAATTCTATTAAAACAAAATGTCCAAAATAGGCAAATGCACAGAGAGAGAAAGTAGATGAGTGTTCGCAGAGACTGAGGAGAAGGGGAAATGAGATGACTGCTAATGGGTACTGGGTTTCTTTTTTTTTTTTTTTTTTTTTGAGACAGAGTCTCGCTCTGTCACCCAGGCTAGAGTGCAGTGGCGCGATCTTGGCTCACTGCAAGCTCCAACTCCCAGGTTGACATCATTCTACTGCCTCAGCCTCCCGAGTAGTTGGGACTACAGGTGCCCGCCACCACGCCCAGCTAATTTTTTGTATTTTTAGTAGAGATGGGGTTTCACGGTGTTAGCCAGGATGGTCTTGATCTCCTGACCTCGTGATCCGCCCGCCTCGGCCTCCCAAAGTGCTGGGATTACAGGCGTGAGCCGCCATGGCCGGCCGGGTACTGGGTTTTTTTAGGGGGTGATGAAATTGTCCTGTAATTAGATAGTGGGGTTGGTGTACAACTTTGTGAATTACTAAAAACCGCTAAATTGTACACTTAAAAGGGTAAATTTATGGTATGGGAATTATATAGCTCAATATGACTTTTTGTAAAAAAAGTACTGTTCTAATTGGGAAACAACCTAAAAGTCTATCCGTAAGCAGGTAAGGAAATAAACTCTCACACATTCATACAGTGGACTGTGATACAGCAGTTAGAAGGAATGAATTAGATCTGGATACTAATTAAGAAAGATCTTTAAGATAAATTGTTGGCTGGCCACACCTGTAATCCCACCACTCTGGGAGGCTAAGGCGGGAGGAACACTTGAGCCCAGGAGTTCCAGAGCAGCCTGGGCAACACAGTGAGACCCTCATCTCTACAAACACACAAAAAAGACAAATTGTTGGGGGGAGAAACAAGTTTCAGAGCATTGCATATAGTATGAAATGTTACATTTTTTAAATCCCAAATATTCTATTTTCTATGAGTATGTGTATGGAAATACATAGAAAAAAACTGGAAGGTAATACACCAAAAAGATGAAAATAGTTCCCCATAAAGTAGGGATACGAAATTAGGGATGGTAGTCAAAAAAAATTGTTCTTAATTTTTAAAAGAAAAAGTATTCATTTATTACATGTGTAATTAATAATTTGTAATGCTTTCTTTATTAAAATAAAAACATAAATTAGATCATCTTTGGGAGGCCAAGGTGGGAGGATCACCTGAGGTCAGGAGTTCGAGACCAGTCTGGCCAACATGGTGAAACCCCGTCTCTACTAAAAATACAAAAATTAGCCGGGCATGGTGGCGTGCACTTGTATTCTCAGCTACTCGGGAGGCTGAGGCAGGAGAATCACTTGAACTCAAGAGGCGGAGGTTGCAGTGAGGCGAGATTGCGCCACTGTACTCCCGCCTGGGTGACAGAGCAAGACTCTGTCTCAGAAAAAAAAAAACAATGAAAAATGAAAAATAAAAATAAATAAATTAGATCATTTCAGTGGAGGATAAAGAGAAATATAATACAGAACAAGTTTCAATATTATAAACTACCTAACTATAATGAGGTACTTTTTCTGTTTGTAAATCGAGCTCTCATATTCTCCCAGAGAAACAAACTTACCTCTTAAACTTTGCTTAGCTCTGAACTCTCTAGGGCTGAAAGTAAACCCACGGGGCCAGTTCCTCTAGTTTAAGACCCTGATGAAAGAATGCCACACATGAATGTCCCTAACTCCACAGCTCCAACCTGATTAAAGATCGTTAGTCTAATGACTTCCACCCTGTGTAACCCGTCAGCATCTCTCCCTAACCAGATCTATCTAGGTAAAGCCTCGAAATTCTTTTATGCTTGCTGTAGGCTGAGCCTCCACTGAGATGATTGAGAATACTGTGTGTGACCTACTTAGGGGATTTCAGGGGTTGGGGAGAGAAAGAGATTTGCTTTTCATTTGATTTTTTCCCAATCTTTTCTTCCTCAGATCATAGGAAGAAAAGATAAAATTTTAAAGGAACACGATGAAACATTTTCTCATTTTGTAATTAAAATTTTGTGATGATTTCCTTCCAATCAGTATATTGTTACCTGGGTGACTGACTGACTACCACAATTGGCTCTCATTCTCTCTCTCTCTCTGTCTCTCTCACACACACACACACACACACACACACAAACACACACACACACACATTCTCACTCCCCAGTTTTATTCTTCTTGGTTCTCTCTTCCTTTAAAACCAATACCTCTTTACCATTCAATGAGGTACCTTACCCAAGATTTGCTCATTTATTTGTATCACATCTTACAGAGACCATTTTCACCTTTACGAACTCAGATTCTTAAAGTGGCAGGCCCTGTTTCCTTCTGAACCTTTCATGCAGAGTTTTTTTTGTTTTTTAACAAAACTCTTCTAAAGATACCAATTTACTCAGGATGCCCCAGGAACAAATGGCCCCATTTGTCACAGTGGAGAGCCGTGGCTATCAGCTTTCTCGCTGGCCACTGGCTCCTGGCCAGAGTGTCGTGCTCCTGTGCTTTCATTTATTACCTGTCTGACCATGGTGCAGTGTCCTGCAGGCTACTCATTATTCTAGATACAAATTCCATCTGCAGTGCCTTTTAAAGAATGATCTGAAGTAGCACAAGATCTCTGTTAATCAGTTAATTATTGTACATCACACAGAGAAAGGCTAACACTTAGCCAAAGAAACATCAGAATGATGCTGTGAAACCTGGTCTCTCGACAGGCTGTGTTACCATTTTGTCAAAGGGCCACTAATAAAAGATGATTGCTTGCTCATGATGAATGAATGAGAGAAACTAACAATGCCTTACAATTAGCACCCAGGGAACACAGCCACCATTTACCATGTGCCAGGCACTGTGCTAAGTGCCTCATATATGTTACCTCCTTCAATCTTTACAACAACCCTGGGGGAGATGGGGGGTTGGGGGAGAAGCTTGTTATTAGCCTAAATTTACAGATATGGAAATTGAAATTCAGACAGTGAGAGGCTTGTAAAGATCACACAGCCAGATATCTATTAAGTACCTTCCCTGTCTCGAGTACTCTTCAAGGCACTGCAGATACAAGAGTGAAAAAAACAGGCAAAGCCACTGCCTCCATGAAGCTTACAGTCCTGAGGGGTGGGCATGGACAAATCGTACATATAAATAAGCATGTGATATCAGATAATTGCAGGTACTATAGAGGAAATATGGAGTGGTGTGCTAGAGAGGAGCAGGGTGGTGATGATCAAGAAAAAGCATAAGCTCAACCTGAGGAAGCTGATCGAAAAAGAAAATAATTAATTTTAAGAAAAAAGAGGGCCGGGTGCGGTGGCTCACGCCTATAATCCCTGCACTTTGGGAGGTCAAGACGATCACTTGAGGTCAGGAATTTGAGAGCAGTCTGGCCAACGTGGTGAAACCCTGTCTCCACCAAAAATACAAAAATTAACCAGGCACAGTGGCACGAAGGCTGAGGTGGGACAATTGCTTCAACCCGGGAGGTGGAGGTTGCAGTGAGCCCAGATTGCGCCATTGCACTCCAGCCTGGGCAACAGAGTAAGACTCTGTCTAAAAAATTAATAAATAAATAAAAATAAGGAAAGAAAAAAGAGAGAAAGCTGCTCGTTGAGATCATGGGCTGAAACTTGAGTGACTAGAAGGAGCCAGCCCTGCAGGAATCTGGGGGAAAGCATTCCAGGCAGCAAGGACAGTAAATGCAAAGACCCTGAGATAGGAATGCATTTGACATGAGTGACATGGAAAATGGCAGCCAGAGTGCTGGACTGCACAGAAGCAGGAGGAGAGAGGTGGCAGATGATGTCAGACAGGAAGGAAGCATGTATATCCTGTGAGGCCTTGTAGGTCATGATAGAAAGGTTAGCATTTTCTCTAAATGCTATTGAAAATCATGGGGGGGTTTTGGAAAGGGAAATAATGTAATCCGATTTCTGGTGGGTTTTTTTGTTTGTTTGTTTTTTTTTTTTTGAGACGGAGTCTTGCTCTGTTGCCCAGGCTGGAGTGCAGTGGCGCGATCTCGGCTCACTGCAAGCTCCGCCTCCCGGGTTGACGCCATTCTCCTGCCTCAGCCTCCCAAGTAGCTGGGACTACAGGCGCCCGCCACCATGCCTGGCTAATTTTTTGTATTTTTAGTAGAGATGGGGTTTCACCATGTTAGCCAGGATGGTCTTGATCTTCTGACCTCCTGATCCGCCCACCTCGGCCTCCCAAAGTGCTGGGATTACAGGCGTGAGCCACCGCGCCCAGCCCGATTTCTGTTTTTAAAGACTTCATTGGGTAAGTGGAGGATGGATTGTAGAGGCTTAAGGGTAGAGACAGGGAAGTCAGTTGTGAGGCTGAGGCCGTGGTCCAGAAGAGATGATGGTAACTTTCGATTGCATTCTGTTCTTACCTATAAAAATCTAGACCATCCAGGAAAAAGCCTGATCCGGGATTTACAGAGAATTCCCTGGTAAATTGACATGAGGCTTCTCCAGGATTTATCCCACCTCATGCTGAATGCATACAAACTGTGTGACACTTATTTCTCTTTAAATAAACTTTTTATTGAAGTATGACATGCATACAGAAAAGAGCACCAATCAGAAGGGATGGCCGTGTCAATATTCACAAAATGAACACATCCCGGTAAGCAGCACCAAAATAAGAAAGAAAAGATTACCAGTACCCGCAAAGCCTCCCCATTTCTCCTTCCAGTCCATCTCTGGCATTCCAAGTGTGTGTCTGTCACATGTTTTGCCAGAATGACGTGCTGTAAATCCATATTCTCAGTCTTGCTTATCTCATGACCTCTTTTTCTAAACCAAAAGTTGCATGCCTTCTGCAATCAGAGATTTCTGATACCACCAGCCACGATGATTTGAATTTTGTATTCTGTGATGTATATTATGAAAACAATTAAAATTATAGTATAATATTGAATATGCTTAGATTCTATTGTTCCCTCTCTTAAGAATCAGAGCTCATACATAAACATGGCATAGATTCTGGAAAGCCTGCAGGTTACCTTGTCTAGAATCATCTGGAATCCAATGGCACAGAGTGTAGGACCACGACACATGAGTTTGCAGCATAGAACAAAGACATGATTTCAGGGCTTTGTCCAGAAGACAAGACACTGGTGGAGAACTAATATTGACTGAGCACTTATGATGTCCCTAGCAGTGAGCTAGGTGTTTCAGTACGTTATCTTATTTAATCTTCACAACCCTTTGAGGATGGCATAATTGTTTCCATTGTACAAATAAGAGAACCATAGTTAGCTGGGTGCGGTGGCTCACATCTGTAATCCCAGCACTTTGGGAGGCCGAGGTGGGCAGATCACCTGAGGTCAGGAGTTCAAGACCAGCCTGGCCAACATGGCGAAACCCTATCTCTACTAAATAATAGAAAAATTAGCGAGGTGTGGTGTGGATGCCTGTAATCCCAGCTAGTCCAGAGGCTGAGGCAGGGAGAATTGCTTGAACCTGAGAGGCAGAGGTTGCAATGATACAAGATCGCACCACCGCACTCTAGCCTGGGCAACAGAGCGAAACTCCATCTTAAAAAAAAAAGAAAAGAAAAGAAAACCATGGCTCAGAAAGGTAAAATAATTGACCCAAGTTCTCAGGGCTCATAAGTGGCAGAGCTGAGCTTGCAACTAGCTCTGTCTGCCACCAAATCCCATGCTTATTTCACTCAACCAATGCAGCCTCTATAGCATTTTTTTTCATTTGATCTGCATGAAATAGATTGAAGTATTGGCCTCAATACTTGGTTGTTGCAATAAGCCTCATTTCTTTTAATGGTTTCCCTTTTACATTCTTTTTTTCAATACACTGGCTTTCAAATTAACGCTAAAGCTATTCATAAATGAAATGGGGGACCTGGCTATGACTTTGCTTCTTTCCAGAAAGCAAAGGCTCTTTAAGCTTGAAGACGTTGAATGCTTGCTGTAAATCCAGGAAAGAAATGAATGAGCACAATTTAAATCTCTCCAGCCTAGAGTCTGGCCACGTGAGGGACACGGGAGCTACATTGCATCACCATATTATCCGTTATTGAGAAAGGAGCCAGCAATTAGCACAAAAATTTAGCTTAACCACGTTAACATCTCTGGGAGAGGGATTCACATTCTCTGGCTTTCTGCAAGCTCTTCCAAGCTCCAGCTGTCCCTGGATTCTTTGGCTTTGCGTCATGAAGGGAATTGATTTGATCAATTACATTGCTGCTGTCTAATTAGTAAGCATGGCCACACTGGCCCATCGGTTTCACAGAGATTAAACTTGGAATCCTGACTGCAGACCGATTTTCATAGCTGAAAGTCTCTGTACCTTCATCCTCAATCCATACCAGTTCCCTGGAGTTAATCATAACAGGACTTTGACCCAGGGCTGGAGGCATGTTCTCTAAGTCCAGACAACAGGGCTTCTGGAGTCCTCCTGCATTACAGCACAGATTATTTTGTGAAAGCTCCGCAGGTTAAGAAGCTGGACCTTTTCACACATGCTATGCACTGCCCTTCAAAGCACTTTATGCTCACCCTTTCATTTGAGTTTCCTGGTATCTCAACAAGGAAAGAAAATATAACTCTCATTTCAACATGAAGAAAGGAACCTTCACAAAAATGATGATTCAAAGCCACAAAGCGTTTTTCAACAGAAATCAGTCATCATGTTTTCAAAAAGTAACTTTTACTGGGTTAGTTAACGTTTTATTACAAGAAGTTATATGCGTGTTTTCATTGTAGAAAATTTAAAAGAATCAGAAAAACAAAAAAAGATAGTAAAAAGCCACCCCTTAAACATAACCACTGAAATGTTGAAAACATATTTATTCAGCCATTTTTCTATGGCATATCAAATGTACTATTTTGTAACCTGTTCTTTGTCTCTTGACGTATTATGAACACGTTTCTAATCATATTCACTTAGTTAATTTTTACTGGTTGAATTGTATGTGTCATTAAGCCAGTCACTTATGTTGAATATTTGGGGTTGTTTCCAATTTTTAGTTATGATAAATAATGTGCCAATAAAATCCTTATATCTAAATAATAATAACATTTATTGAGTATTTATTTTGTCTCAGATACTGTACTAAGTGTTTTACATGTATTATCTCATTTAACCCTTCCAAGAACCCTATGGATAAATAATATTATCTCCATTTTATAGATGAGGGAACTGAGTCCTAGAGAGAGGTTAAGTAACTTACCCACAGTGACATAGATAATAAGTAGTGATGTTAAAATTTAATTCAAGTCAGCCTGACTGCAGAGCTAGCACACTTAACCACTAAGACAAATTCTTAAAATTGTAATTTCAGGGAAACTAAATACATAAAACTGTAAGGCTTTTGAATCACCTTACTCAATTACCCTCCAGAAAGCATATTCCAATTTATACTCCTACCCTCAATGTATGAATGCCCATTCATTCACATCATCATCAACATGGGGTACTACTCAATTTGTATTGTTCATTAGGGAAAAATGAAGCCCAATCTTCTGATAGCTCATTCACGCTTTTAGAGCATGCATGCAACATGGTTCCTGATCAAAACAGTGATTTTCTCTAAATCAATGGCTCTTATCCTTTTTTTGGTACATGGGCGCTTTTGAAAATCTGAGGGAAGCTATGAAACAGCTACGCAGAAAATGTACATATGCACATCAAATAACCTCTTATTTTTCAGTGGCTCACAAACACCATTAAGAACTTCTGGGCTTGCCAGAGGATTGATGCATCAACAACATGAAAACTAAAACTAAAAGCAGGACTAATACACTCATTCTTCAAATGCTGGTCTTGCCAGATTGTTCTTTTAAACAATCCTGAAGCATAAGAAACCAGATCAGGAGACACTGGAATGAAATGCCCAGGCACTATAACAGTGTATTTGCCATGTAGTAGGAGGTACTAGGTCAAGACTCTCCTGAGGTCATGCTGTCCTCCACTAAGATCAGCAAGATCTCAGAGCAGATGGACCGGCCGGCACCAGCCTGCCTCCATTTGTGCACTTCAGCAGCCTCAGAAGAATAAGTGTTGGATTCTCTTGCCAAATGCACTTCTTCACACGCTGGCGTTTTTCATTATGTCCTCTTGCATCCTGTTCCTTTATGGCTTGCAAAGCCTCATCCCAGATAAGTCAAACCTCCACCAACCCTACCCACTCCCCTCCTGTCACAAGCAGTGGATCAGGGCAAGCAGGGAAGAGAGAGTGAGGTCCAGGGCCTCGCCTGTCCATCTGCTCTGAATGCTGTTGTGCCAGGCAGATCTTTCTGTGAGCCCTCCTTGACCAGAGCACGTGCTCCCTGGGAGGAATGGGGCAGTTTTTTGTAATGATCCATCAGGGAAGTTTTCTGTAATAATCCATTGAGGCTCAGTGACATTTCAGGATTAGGGGTGAAACATCTGGTTCCAGCTTGCAAGGAAGGAGGCGGACAGAGGAATTAGCAAGCTTAAGTGATCTGCCCTTTTGGGTGACCCTAGTGGAGAATTTTTTCTTTTTTTGGCTGAGCACAGGGGACTTTATTGATAGTACATGACAAGGTGGGGCTCCCTAGGCCCCTCCCTCTTCAGGGGGTCTGTATGGAAACTGTGAGGAGGGGAGAGTCTCAGTGTCATGGGGGACTGTGTGTGGCAGGGACTCCCCATCAGTGAGGGCTTCTCGCTTCCTCTCATGCTCTCACTGGGGCTGGTGGTCCAGGGGTGTTACTCCTTGGAGGCTATGTGGGCCATGAGGTCCACCACCCTGTTGCTGTAGCCAAATTCGTTGTCATACCAGGAAATGAGCTTGACAAAATGGTCTTTGAGGGCAATGCCGGCCCCAGCATCAAAGGTGGAGGAGTGGGTGTCTCTGTTGAAGTCAGAGGAGACAACCTGGTGCTCAGTGTCGCCCCAGATGCCCTTGGGGGGACACTCCAATGCTCACTTCACCACCTTCTTAATGTCATCATATTTGGCAGGTTTTTCGAGACGGCAGGTGAGGTCCATGACTGACACGTTGGTGATGTGGACACAGAAGCCCATGTCAGTGAGCTTCTTGTTCAGCTTAGAGATGACCCCTACCCACAGCCTTGGCAGTGCCAGTAGAGGCAGGGGTGATGTTCTGGAGAGCCCCGCAGCCGTCGCACCACAGTTTCCCAGAGAGGCCATCCACAATCTTCTGGGTGGCAGTGATGGCGTGGACTGTATTCTGGAATCTTTCCACAATACCAAAGTTGTCATGGATGACCTCGCCCAGGGGCACTAAGCAGTTGGTGGTGCAGGAGGCATAGCTGACGATATTGAGTCTGTTGTCATACTTCTTGTGGTTCATGCCCATCACGAACATGGGGGCATCAGCAGAGGGGGCAGAGATGATGACCCTTGTAGCTCCTCCCTGCAAGTCAGCCCCAGCCTTCTCCATGGTGAAAGACGCTGGTGGACTTCACAACATATTCAGCGCCAGCATCGCCCCATTTGATTTTGGAGGGATCTTGCTCCTGGAAGATGGTGATGGGATTTCCATTGATGACAAGCTTCCCTTTCTCAGCCTTGACAGTGCCATGGAATTTGCCATGGGTGGAATCATACTCGAACATGTAAACCATGTAGTTGAGGTCAATGAAGGGTCATTAATGGCAACAATATCCACTTTACTAGAGTTAAAAGCTGCCCTGGTGAGCAGGTGCCCAATACATCCAAATCCGTTGACTCCAGCCTTCACCTTCACCACGGTGTCTTGGGGATGCAGCTGGCAATGCACGAGAAGATGCAGCTGTCTGTCGAACGGGAGGAGCAGAGAGCCCCTAGTGGAGAATTTAGCACGGTCTGGATGGATAGACGAGACCACTGTGAGACAGGGGCAAAGAATGCAGTCTGCTCCTCGGGCCGGAACCTGAGCTGCCCTGGCCTGGCTACCCACCCATAGCCACCTTTGGGGTCTCACTGTGCACAAAACCACCTCATCCTAGTCAGAAATACGGAGCAGAGTGGTGAGGGGAACAAGGGCTGTTGTGCCCTTTTATTGTCTGGCTTAGTTCTATCTTTTCATCCCTGCTTATATTTTCCATCCTTTGAAAACTCACTCTTTGCTCTGTCCTCTCACTTTTGTTGCTGGCATTGCTCGTCCACAGATCATGGAAGGATTTGTGAGTTAGGCATCTCTTCTCCCTCCACCTTCTTGGAGGCCCAGAACTGACTTTCACAAGGCCTGGAGATGGCAAAAGGATGACTTTTCAATTCTAAATTATTACAGTTTCTCCTGGATTTGGCTGGGAAAATGAGTCATCTGAAAACTAGTGTATTCACAGTCAAACGCTTATCCCCTACACTTTTCAGTCCCCTGTGTAATCTGCTATACTTTCTTAAATTGCCTTTTGGTACAGGAGGCCCTTCTTATTCTTGGGGGATATGTTTCAAGAACCCCAGTGGATGCCTAAAACCGTAGATAGTACCTAACCCTATATACACTATGTTTTTCCAACGCATACATATCTACAATAAAGCTTAATTTATAAATTAGGCACAGTATGAGGTTAAGAATAATAATAATAAAATAGAATGAGTGTAATAATATACTGTAATAAAAGCTATCTGAACGTGGTCTCACTCGCTCTCTCAAAACATCTTATTGTATGTAATATAATATTTTTGGACTGCAGTTGACCTCAGGTAACTGAAAGCATGGATGGCGAAACTGTGGATATGGGGGAAACTACTGTCCTTGGCTTCCTAGTGGCCTGCCTCACCAGGTTAAAACAGCAGCACATGGGAGAGCAGGAGCTCATGGGTTGTACTGAGATAGCTCCATGACTGAGTAAATTACTTCTCTTATAAGTGTCGATTTCAACATCTGTAAAATGGGGGCAGTTAATTGCATCTCCCACCTAGAATTGTGTTGGGTATGAATGAGAGGTGCATGTTAGGGGTTATTACAGTGCTTGCCACCTATAAGCTCTCTGTACATGATAACTACTCTTATTGTCATTGTTATTGTTATAAAATTCAGATCCCCACTATCTTCTGTATTTTTCTTTGAATTTTGTCATAAAGACAGAGTCCATTTCTAATTATTGTGAGAATCAGCACACATTCTCCACCTTCTCTGTAATCAGGACACTGCGTAAGAAGCCAGGCCTCCCCTCTCAAGAGCTGAATAACCTTCTTACATTATAGGCTTTCTGAAACACACTTGCCCTGTTGCAGTTACACAGGGGGGATGCTATTTCCTGCCCTTCCAGCTCCTATGTCCTCAAAACATGTGAATATGGAATCACTTTTATAGGAACGTTCTTTGAAAGTGACAATGTCAAGAGCTGGATGTGGTGGCTCACATCTGTAATCCCAGCACTTTGGGAGGCCAAGGCAGGTGGATCACCTGAGGTCGGAAATTCGAGACTAGCCTGGCCAAGATGGCAAAACCCCATCTCTACTAAAAATACAAAATTAGCTGGGAGTGATAGCACACACCTGTAATCCCAGCTACTCAGCAGACTGAGGCAGGAGAATCACTTGAACCTGGGAGGCAGAGTTTGCAGTGAGCCGATCGTGCCACCGCACTCTAGCCTGGGCAACAGAATAAGACTCTGTCTCAGAAAAATAAAAAATAAAAAAAAAGATAGTGGCAATGTCAAATAATGCCTCCTTTCCAAACTATCCCCACCACACATCTCTCCATCCCTGCGTGTAACCAGCACCTCCCCATCTTCTTCTAGACACCCCCACACTGAGTGTTCCAAGGGAGTCACAAGTCTCCAGTCTGTGGCAATCAGCACTGGGGTGTGGAAGGGCCAGTAGCTCTGGGTCGGGCCTCAAATTGAAGCCTGTCTCTACCACTGTGTAATCTTGAGCAAATTCCTTAATCAGGCTGAGCTGGCATTGTTTCATCTATAAAATGGGCTAATAATTATACCCATCTCAGAGGCTTGTGAGGACTGAATAATTAGTGAAATCTCCTTGCTTCCTGAATCAGTGTTAATCTCCTTGCTCAGATGCAGGCATCTAAGAGATGTTCAATACAGACTTGCTGTGAAGGGGAGCAAAGCTCGGGGACCTCCTGCTGAGGGCGATAATCCAAAACCTATGCCAAATTGAGAATGGAGCATTTATCTATGTGAAAAGAGCTGGTGAAAAAAAAAAGAAAGAAAATGAAAGCCATTTTCTACCATCACCATTCCCAACTCTCTCTCCCCGGCTGCCTCTCAACAAGGCTGACACCAAAGCTGCCAGGAGACAGGACAGAAATGCTCGCCTGAAAAGAGACATAAGAAAAGTGACAAAAGACATTTATATGAATTTGGAACTCCTGGAGCAAACTGGGAGGGAAATGGAGAGGAACAGAGATGGGAATGGACAAGGAGGGGGTCAGCGAGATCCGCATCAATAGTTCTCCTCCATGCTTGGTGTCTGAATCAGCTCCGGCTGCTGTAACAAGGTACCTTAGACCAGGTGGCTTATCAACAACAGAAATTTATTCCTCACAGTTCTGGAGGCTGGAAGTCCGAGATCAGGGTGCTGGTATGGTCAGGTTCTGGTGAGGGCTGTCTTCCAAGTTGCAGACAGATGCCTTCCTGTTGTGGCCTTACATGGGATAAAGATGGGGAGGAAGCTCTCTGGGATCTCTTTTATAAGGGTATGAATCCCATTCATGAGGGCTCCACCCTCGTGACCTAATTACCTCCCAAAGGCCCCACCTCCTGATACCATCACCTGGCAGGATAGGACTTCAACAAATGGATTTTAGGAGGACAATCACTCCATTGCGCTTGGTATGAGTGATTTTTCTCTTATGGAATCACTGCCTCTGTGTGGTGCAAATAGAGGAGGCCACCAAGGGAAATGGAGCCCATGAGTCAGGAGAGGCCACAAGGAAGGTAGTGTCCCTGCCCTACAACAGGAATCGGGGGACTCCAAGGGAGGATTTTGAACTTCCAGGGTTATGGGAAAGGGATACAGGAGACAATCTCACCTAACTTTCAAGGAGTAGGAAGGCCTCCTCCACCTGGCATCCAAGCTACCATATGTAGCCAGCACAGGCAATAACACCGAACACATTCAGACTTTTATCATTGAGATTCTCAGAAAACATTCTTGTATGGCCACAGTAAGCCCACCCAGCTGGGTGTCCTACAGGACATCTTCAAGTTGTACTGCTACCTGGAAGGTTTCCCCGCTGTAAGGAGACTTTGAGGGCTGGAATTTCGGGGTCATTTATGGCATGCCGGTAGACCTAGACTGAGAAGCAAGATAAGGGTTCATCTTGCTGGAACCTGGAGAATGGCATGCATTCAGCAGCAAAGACTAATCATTTCATTATACAATATTTATGATGCCAGGCAATGTGCTTAGCCTTCAGGATACCGAAAGACAAGAAAGGGCTCTGGTGAGAAGACAAGACACCCTGGAGATGGTGTACCAGCGTCATTCACTCTGTATTGGAGAAGTCCTGAGGGCTGCGGGTGTCAAGGAAGGTATGAGTCCCATATGTGGCCTCCTCAGGGAGGAATGTGTGCCAGACTGAGCCAAACAAGCGAGAGGTGACACAGAGCCATCCAGGGGTCCAGACATAACCTTAACCTGTCATATCAGTTTGGATGCAGGAAAAGTTTTGATGCACACCAGCGAAAGGACAGAACAAAGGGATGAGTCAGAAAGAAGAGGGCAGGGAAATCAGCGAACAGCTGCTGAGAGGAGAGATGAAAGGGACTGCATGGAGCCTAATGGTCTAAGTGGCCCAATCTCAATGTTTTACCATCTGATTCCCCAAGGCTGGAAATTGTCCCTGTTCTCTTGTAGAGCCTTTCATCCTAAGACACCTGTGCCTCTCTGCCAGCCAGCAGGTTCATCTACTGCTTAGGAAGGAAGGATTCAGTGCTGTGTGGCCTGTTTGTCCTAGGCTCAAAGAAACTCTGGCTGGAGAAATATCTGCACCTTTTTCCCTAATTTCCATTCTACCTCTAAAAGCTGAACACAAGGCTAAGAGTCAGAGAAGGAGGGGGCCCTGGTAGCTAATGCGACCCCCTTGTTTTGTACATGGAGAAGCTGGAGCCCAGAAAGGCCATGACCCAGCTTGAAGGTCTACCAGCTACTAGCCCTCTTCTAGCTCTTTTCCCATCCCTATATTTTTGACCTTTGTCTCTCCCTCAATCTTTCTCTTTGTCTCTCTCTCTCTCTCTGATTACCAAAGAAATATTTGAGGCCAGGCATAATGGCTCCTGCGTGTAATCCCAGCATTTTGGGAGGCTGAGGCAGGAGGATCACTTGAGCCCAAGGTTTTGAGACCAGCCTGGGCAACTTAGGGGAGATCCCATCTCTACAAAAAAGTTTTCAATTGGCCAGGCCTGGTGACACTGAGTAGTCCCAGCTACTCAGAAGACTGAGGCAGGAGAATCTCTTGAGCCCAGGAGTTTGAGGCTGCAGCAAGCTATGATCACATCACTGCACACCAGCCTGGATGACAGGAGGAGACCCGTTTCAAAGTAAACAAACAACAAAAATGTCCATTGCAAAAAGAATTTTAAATACAAAGTGAAAATGTTCACATAAACACATTCCAGAGATAACAGCTATGAACAGTTTGGTGTATACTCACCCAGATTTCCAAATTTTATTTTTTTGTTGGCTGTAACTATACCAAAACACACACACAGAGGTTTTTTTAATAGAAATCCAAAGCATTCTAAGCATTCTTCCCTGAAATTTGCTTTTTTGCTACTTAATTTTGTTATGGACATCATCCCATTGTTGACAGCTTACCATTTTAATAAATGTATGGTTTTTCATTATGTAAATGCTACATGATTTCACAATCCCCTATTGTTAAAAATTTTAATTATTTCCTATTTGTGGAAAGCATTACTGCAATTTTTTATACTGTCATCTTTGCTGTCTTTCAAGAATACTTACGTAGGCTAAATTTCTGAATGTCAAATACTTAGATCAAAAGCCATGCTCATTTTAATTTTATTAGGTAATGCCAGTTTTCCACCCAAAATTTACATCTCCGCCCAGAATATATGACAATGTCTGTTTTCCCACACACTTGCCAAATTGAGCATAAGCACTTTTTAAAATATCTTCCACAAAAATATACCTAAAATATTTTAATATTTTGCTTTTTTTTTCCTGAGACAGGGTCTTGCTCTGTCACCCAGGCTGGAGTGCAATGGTGCAATCTCGGCTCACTGCCACCTCCACCTCCAGCGTTCAAGCAATTCTCCTGCTTCAGCCTCTCAGGTAGTTGGGATTACAGGCATGCACCACCACGCCCAGGTAATTTTGTATTTTTAGTAGAGATGGGGTTTCACCATGTTGGCCAGGCTGGACTCGAACTCCTGACCTCAAGTGATCCGCCCGCTTTGGCCTCCCAAAGTGCTGGAATTACAGGTTTGAGCCACTGTCCCCAGCCTTATTTTGCTGCTTTTTAATTTACATTATTTATTTTGTAAAGAAATTTCAGGCCAGGCATGGTGGCTCACTCCCATAATCCCAGCACTTTGAAAGACTGAAGTGGGCAGATCACTTGAGCCCAGGAGTTTGAGACCAGCTGGGGCAACATGGTGAAACTCTGTCTCTACCAAAAAAATACAAAAATTAGCTGGGTGCCATTGTGCGCACCTTTAGTTCAGCAACTCTGTAAGCTGAGGTGGGAGGATCACTTGAGCCCAGGAGGTGGAGGCTGCAGTGAGCTGAGATCATGCAACTGCGCTCCAATCTGGGCAATAGAGTGAGAGACTCTGTCTCAAAAAAAAAAAAAAAAAAATTATATTTTTCATTAATTCATTGGGTGTCAATTATACTTACTCTTCTTATTTGTTTATTCATATGATTTAGTTTTCTATTGAGTTTTCTCTTATTTATTTGAAAGAGAGCTTTGTGTGTTAGAAATATCATTCCTTGGCCAGGATCATGCCTATAATCCCAGCACTTTGGGAGGCCAGTGCAGGTGGATCACCTGAGGTGAGGAGTTCGAGACAAGCCTGGTCAACATGATGAAACCTCGTCTCTACTACAAATACAAAAAATTAGCTGGGCATGGTGGCAGGTGCCTGGATTCCCAGCAACTTAAGGCCAGAGAATCACTTGAACCCGGGAGGTGAAGGTTGCAGTGAGCCAAGATCACACCATTGCACCCCAGCCTGGGCAACAAGAGCAAAACCCCATCTCAAAAAAAAAAAAAAAAAAAAAAAGAAAAGAAAAAAGAAAAGAAAAGAAATATCATTCTTTTACTGTCATTTGAATTACACATATTTCTCCCAATTCTTCTTTTGTTTTTGAAATTTGCAGCCTTATAAAAATGTCTAGACAAATTCATCAATACATTTATTTACAGATCCTGGACTTTTAGCTGTGCTTAAAATGGTCTTTCTTATTTTATACTTATAAAAATATGTACCTATATCCTCTTCTAATACTTTAACAATTTTTCTATATTTAAGATATTGGATCTGTCTAAGTTTATTTTAATGTAAGAAATAAAGTAAAGATCCAGCCTTATTTCTTTCTTAAATAGCTATCCTGTTGCCCCAACTTACAGTCTGTTTTTTCCCACCACTTACAGTCTGTTTTTTCCCACAAGCATTGAAATGGCATGTAAAATTCTCATGGATATTTGGTTCTCTTTATAAACTACATAATTTCATTGATCTTTCTTCTGCCTTTTTCTGCACTTCCTGCCCTAGGATTTTTTTTAATTACTATGATTCTATGACAGGTTTTAATATTTACAGAGCTGAGTTTACCCATTTTCCTCATACCCACTCTTACCATTCCTCTTTATTTCCATTGATCTGGATATTTTTCTCATGGTTATTCTTCCAAATTCCATATTCTTCCATAAATTTGGTTTTGGATTATTTAGCTCTCCACACAACAAAAACAACAACAACAAAAACCTGTTGGGATTTTAATTAGACTGTTTTGAATTTTCAGATTAATTTGGGGAAAAGTGAAGTTATCTTGGATAGAGACTTCCTATACAAAAGCAATCTATGTATCTTCACTTATAGATGTCTTCTTTTATGACCCTTTATAAAGTTTTATAGCTTCTTCATGGTAAGTCCCACCAATGCTCAGTTTCTAAAAGTGTTCTGCAGGGAAATTACTATTTCCAATGAGGTCAAAGCATGGAACAAATTCAGTCTGGCATCAAAGATGGAAGCTTAGTGCTGCAGAAACCATTTCATCCCATCTGCTTTCAACTCTGGGCTTAAGCCAAAAGGTAGCTCCCCTACTGGAAGTTGGAATGGGTCAATCAGTTAATCAGTGGTAATCAATGGGCACTGACTGCATGCCCAGGCCTGTGCTAGAAGGGCAAGACACAGACCTCATCTTTAAGGAGCTTTTACAGTTCCCAAAGAGTTAAGAGGCACACCCCCTAACAATGGCATTTTATATTAACCCGTGTACTATGGACTCTCTTTGATGGTAAATAAAAAAGAAGAAGTCTGGAGCAGTCAGGAAGGGTTTTGGGAGGAGATGAAAACCGAGCTGGGTGTTGGCACATGAATGTCATTTAGGTAAGTAAAGAAGGGAAAGGAATCAAATACAGGCAACAACCATTTATTCAGCACCTATTATGAACCCGATACTGAGTTAGGCACATGAAAAGGACGTTATGTGCTCAACAAGTATTTTTACACATTCACTGTAACAGGCTCTGTGTTGGGTGCTAGAGAAACCAAGACAAATAAGATTGACCCTAGCCTTAAGGAGCTCATGAACAAGAAAGACAAACCCTTAAATAAGTTCAACTGTTATGATGGAAATCTGTAGAGAGAAGAGCAGAGACTTTTAATCTGGGGACTGTGTACTTCCTGGACATCCGTGGATGAGATTCAGCAGGGCTGTGAGCCCCTGAAATTACATGGCACTGAATTATCTGCTTAACCAGTATTGTCAAGTTAAAAGTGACACAAAATTCCTGGCTTCTAGATACTTGCATTTTAATAGCCAGATAAAATATATGTGAAGATATCATTACTTCTAGGAGTTGTCATTTGTAGAAGCAAAATAATATTAATTGTAATAAAAATTTTAAAAATGTAAAAAAAAAAAAACCATTACAAAAAAACCTAAGTACCTAGTTCTGGCCTTCCCCACCCCAGAAGTATTCTCAGAGTTTAGAAATAATATTGCGTATTATGGAAACTAATTTGAGGCCAGGAAGATTAGCGTTTCGATCATAACTCTACCACTTAATATCTGTGTCATATTGGGTGAGTTCCATACACTCACAGCTTCCATTTCCACATTTGTAAATTGGGAGTTACGGAACCCAAGGCGTTACACGAGGCACCCTCATGCCTATTGTGAAGATGAAAACATTAATAGGTCGGGTGTGTAAGTCATCTGGATCTTAGCGGGTCTTCTCAGGCTGTTCATTCCTGCCTTCTGCTTTCACACTTCAGAGGAAAGTGGTTATGAGAAGAAAGAATTTGAGCCAGGCCTGGAAAGGATGGAGAGAAAAGGGTATCTCAGACCAGTGTGGACAGCGTGAATAAAGGGAAAGGGGCCAGAAAAGTCAATGCTCTTGCAGAGAATCAGTCCATTGCAGCCACGTTGAATAGGTCTTATATTCTAACCTAAGCAGTTTGAACTTTATCCTACAAACTAGAGGAGTCACTGGAGGATTGGGGCCAAGGGGGTCAACCCCATAGTGAGGTGGCTCTCAGCCCAGCCTGTGCTCACCCATGAATCCCAAGATACACACAAAAATAGTTCTTAAAAGTAAAATTGTAATGCGGGCTAAGGCAATACTTCTCACCTCAGGATCTTGTTAAAAAGTAGATTTTGAACTGAACATGGGGACACCTGCCTGTAGTTCCAACTACTCAGGAGGCTGAAGCAGGAGGATCACTTGAACCCAGCAATCAAGGCCAGTCTGGCCTGGGCAACATAGCAAGTTCAGATCCAGCCTGGGCAATACAGAAAGACCCCAGCTCTTAAAAAAAAAAAAAAAAAAAGCAGATTCTGATGCACTGGATCAGAGATTCTGCATTTCTAACCAGCACTCAGGTGCTGCTTATCCATGAACCTCATTTTGCATAGCCAGAGGCTAATGCATTTTGGTTTTATTATTTTTATCACTATTATTCATGCAACACCTGCTGGCTGAGTGCCTTTCACGTGTCAGGCACTGTGCTAGGTAGGCCTTGGGCACAGAGAGAAGAGTCAGACATGAACCCTCTTTTCTAGTCATTCACAGTCTAATCAGAGGAGATGAGAATATAGACCTAAGCAATTGTAATCCAAGGTTCAAAGGGACAAATGCCACATTTTAGTTTCAGAAAAAGTGCTTTGACAATTCAGCATTCCCAGTTAAGGGAGAAATTCCCTAGTGTTTAAGGAAATGAATAAATGCTCCTTTTCCTTATTATTAAACGAGTAAAAACCCACACTTCAAAATTGGATTTTAATTAGAGTCCACCACATACTAGGCATGTGACCTTGTTAACCTCTTAAGCCTTAATTTCCTCCTCTGCAAAATGAAATACATAGTAGCAGGGCTGTTGGAGAATTACAATAGAGAATGTTTGTAAATGTGGTACCTTAATAACTGGTTTTGGAATGGAGTTGTTGCAAAAGGTGGCTGTGGTTATTATTGTTTTCAGCATTTGTTTTAAAACTTAACATGGCTCTATTGGCCCAAAGATATTGTATTCACTGGACAAGTTTATGATCTCATTCCAGGGTTAAGTGGCAAATAAAAATGGAAAAACCTTGAAGGGAATTTCCAAATCCAAGGAAACCTTCTTTTACAAAGCTGGTGCTGACAGAAGCAGCATATTATTGTAAATTTTTCCAGTTTTTACTGGACCAAATTGTTTCAGCTGAGGAGATGTGGTTTGCCTGACGGTGTAGCCAAATGCCCCTAATAAGAGCCACACTGCAAAGGAGTTCCACTCCATTTACAAGAGGATCAAAACAGTTTCTCCACCCACTGACTCCCCTGAGGTCATTGGCTTGTTTGACACTGACTGTGAAATAAATCAAATCAAATTTATAATCCCAGAGTCCCAGAATGTCAGGGCCCAGAGGGATGTTAGAAACCACCCAGCCCATGGCTGGCATTTTGTAGACCAGATAAATGATGCTTTAGGTCCCCACGCCACACTGCAGTCTCTGAGCCTGCTCATTGCCTCATTTCTTCAGCCAATATTGAGTGAAGGCCAATGGATTTAAGAATATGTAAAGTCAGCGCTTTGGGAGGCCGAGGCGAGGTTAGGAGTTCAAGACCAGTCTGGTCAACATGATGAAATCCTGTCTCTATCAAAAAATACAAAAATTAGCCATGCGTGATGACATGCACTATAGTCCCAGCTACTCGGGAAGCTGAAGCAGGAGAATCACTTGAACCTGGGAGGTAGAAGTTGCAGTGAGCCGAGATTGCACCACTGTGCTCCAGCCTGGGCAACAGAGTGAGACCCTGTCTCAAAGAAAAAAGAATATGTAAAGAATAAAAAGATTCCTCCATTTATGCCCCACAGTAAGGAGATAGGGACAGGGGACCACAGGCACATCAGGAACTAACGAGGGGGCTGCTGGGGGCTTAATAACAAAAGATTTCATTTAAAAACTGTCTTTCTCAGGGACCTCAGACTGGTGCTGCCATCTGTCTGAGTGGTGCTGCCATCCGTCTGATTTCATTTCAAACCTCTCAAATCATCAGGTTTCATTTTCATTTCAAATCTCTCAAATCATCTCATTTCATTTTAAACCTGTCTCTCACCTGTGAGGGACCTCGCACTGGTGCTGCCGTCTACCCATTTCTTCATCTGTAAAATAGGGATAATCCCACCCTGCTCAGGGAGCTGTTGTCAGGATTAAATGAAACAGGAGCTAAAAAAGTTGGCGGCACATAACAAGGACCCAATACGCACAGCATCTTTTGGCTTGTTTTTCAGCTTTTTTTTTTTTTTTTTTTGAGACAAGGTCTCGCTCTATTGCCCAGCCTGGAATGCAGTGATGCGATCATAGCTCACTTCAGCCTCAACCTCCTGAGCTCAAGCAATCCTCCCACCTCAGCCTCCCGAGTAGCTGGTCCACAGGTGTGGGGGCCACCACACCTGGCTATTTTTTTTTTTTTTTTTTTTTTTTACTTTTTGGCTTGTTTGGTTTTTAGCTTTTATTTCTTTTTCTTTTCTTTCTTTCTTTCTTTTTCTTTTCTTTTCTTTTTTTTTTTTTTTTTGAAACAACGTCTATGTTGCCCAGGTTGTTCTCAAACTCCTGGACTCGTGCGATCCTCCTGCTTCAGCCTTCCAAAGTCCTAGGATTATAGCCATGAGCCATTGCACCTGGCCTTTTAGCTTTTAGATAACATTCATTGGATTTTCCCCAGTTACAGAAGGAATTTGTGTTCATGGAGAACATTTTGGAAAACACCAAAAAGCACAGAGAAGGAAAATTCACCCATAATTTCCCCACACTCAAAGATAAGCACAGTTGACATTCCAGTACACACCCTCCCAGACCTTTCTATACATGAGCATTATGTTGAGACTTGACAGTGAATAAACAAAAAAAGTATATATATATATATATATATCCACACACATAAGTATGTATATTTTGTTTTCCTGTGAGCTGCATTGTGGTGATTAAGAGCCTCTGTCACAGCTGCCTATATTTAAATTCTAACTCTATTACCTACTAGCTCTGTGGCCTCGGGCAACTTACCTATATCAAATTTGAGTTTCTGTTCCCCTGTGTGTAAGAATCATGGCCCCCCAGGCCAGCCATGCAGGTTGGACACAGTCATCAAGAATTGTTGTAAAGGACAGTATGAATGGTGCCTTCTAGAGCACAGTCATGATGGACTGCCTTGGGAACAGTGGCTGTTGAAGGAGTAACTGGCCCAACAGTGGTTAAGCACTTAGCCCATCGCCTGGCACAGAGTCAGAGCTTGTTAAATGGTAGCTGCTATTCTACAGACATGCCCTGAGGTTTTGATGAGTGGCCCTCAGGTTCACGGAGTGTTGAGACCTCCACTGTTCATTGTTCACTGTTCAGATTTGTTGAATGTCAGCTTAAGGATGACCTGCTGGGGCCATGTCCAGCCAAGAAATGTTTTTCCCTGTGTATATCCTGCTCAATGTGAGCCTTTGACCCTTGCACTTCTCAGTCCCTCTAAATCGCCCTTGGGCACTCAAAGACTAAGTGATGTGGGTGGGCTCACGGCAACATCTGTTCCTCGATTTATCCCTCCTCCCCTCACCACCCCACCCCGGAAAAAAAAGAATAAAATAATAGAAATGCTTCCCACATGTGGTTTCCCAGGGCTGCACCTACATAGCAGGAGAAATTCACTATGGATTTGGGTGGTGTGCAAGATTGAAATGACATCTAGAGATAGCACAAGAAACCGTGAGTCACATATTCAGTCAGTCCATCACTGAGCAAATATCTATTTCAGCACCTACTACGTGTGCCAGGGCCTGGGCTCTCCAGAGACAAAGTGGTTCCCTGTTCACTTCTCTTTCAATCCTTTAGGTTCCTCAGAGAGCAGTGCCTCTCAGTTTAGGGCCAAAATGTCTTCAGCACCTCTCAACCACTGCTAATCTCCCTTTTCGAGAAAGAGGGAGCAGGCCTCATTCACACCACAGTCTGGAGCTATCCAGGAGGTACAAACATTGTTTTGTTTTCATCTTATTTTCTCCACCATGATGTTTTATTTATAGTAAATGATGCAAGTTTTAAAATAGTGATAGAAAGCTTCCTTCAAAAGAATTGAGATACCAAAAACTAATTGACGCAAAGAAAAGCGCTAAGTAAATGGTGGTCCAGGTGGCAGAATGATGAATGCTTAGCAAGCTTTAGACCTGGGATGGGGGAGTCTCAACCCTTTGAGGGTTACTGATCCCCTTGAGACCATGACGACAGCTATGGACCCTAACCAAGAAAATATAGGAATGTTGCCCACAATTTTAGCAGGTTCAGGAACCACGTGGAGACCATAATTCAGCTGGTATTGGAAAGAGCAGTAGGGTAAGTCTCAATGCCCACACAGCACATAGACCTCATCCTCTTCACCACCTTCTTCATCTTGGTAGCAGTGGTACTGGTGGTAACAGCGGTGCTGGCAGTTGTAACAGTAGCAGCGCTCAAAGCAGTCATCATAGCTATACTTATTGAGTGCTTTCAATGTGCCAGGTACTTACCAAGCCTGAGCTCACCTCATCCGTACAGAAAATAATTATTACCCTCCCAATTTTCCAGGAAACCAAGCCTCACCAAACTTAAGGATCTTCTCCAAGGTCGCCCAGCTGAGAATGCCAGGGCTAGGGTTTGAACCCAGATCTACCTACCTGTGATGTCTGAGCAGGTCCTTAACCACTAAACTCCACTGCCTCAATAAATATTTGCTGAAGCAAATGAATGGCAACTTGAACAGGTCGTGGTGGCCACTCTGCCATTCACCAGTTGAGTGACCTTGAGTGAGTCACTCCCCTCACCCTCACTGGCCCTCCATTAAGGAAGGAGGCTTCCCAGGCCTGGCGAGCCATGATTCCAAGAGGCAGGGCAAGGAGCATCAGGAACATTCCATGAGCAAGGGAAGCGGAGGCAGGCTCAGGGCCAGGCTCGGGAACATGCACAGGGGGTTAGTGGCATTGTTAAAGAGCCCAGCGCAGCCCTGACTTCCAGCACAGAGTGTCCAGGCCTTCCAGGAACCCACACTTCCTGTTGTATTTACTCCCCTCACCCAGCAGCTTCACCCACCACACTCTTCTCCAGTGACAGGTCTGTTTGGCTGCCCAGGGGAAACGATCCCTGCCACACATCCTCTTACATGCCTAACAGGCTTAGCATCTTGTTACTTAACGACAGCTTCTTGGTTTCCACCAAGGCAGGCCAGTGCAGCAAACGGGACCCCCCTAATCCCAGCAGCTACTGTGCTGGCAGAGGAAGAAGGAGGAAGGAGGGGGTCGAAAAATTTGTGGCATCTGTGGCAGCCTGGCGGTCCAGTCCCTGACCCACACTGCCCCGCTGTGGTGAAAGTCTAGGGAAGCAGGCACGCCCCAGCAGGGATGGGCAAGGCTTTGGTCTCTGACTTCATGAGGGATCTGAATTTATTTATTTATTTATTTATTTTTTTGACACAGACCAGGCTGTAGAGCAATGGAGCGATCTCAGCTCACTGCAACTTCCACCTCCTGGGTTCAAGCGAGCATTTTGGCTAATTTGTGTATGTTTAGTAAAGACAGGGTTTTACCATGTTGGCGAGGCTGGTCTCAAACTCCTGACCTCAGGTAATCCGCCCTCCTTGGCCTCCCAAAGTGCTGGATTACAGGTGTGAGCCACCATACCCAGCCAGAACTCTGAATTTTAAGGCTGAAAAAGACCCAGCTCACACCACTCAATTAAAGAAAGAAAACAGGCACAAAACTGGAAAGCAGTTCACCCAAAATGATACATGTAGTAAAATAGACCCCAAATATGTTTCCTAAAATTAGATTTCCAGCCCAATCAGGGATTTACAGGGACAATAATTATTATTTAGTTAATTACTATTCATGCAGAGTTGACTGAGTGACAGACACCTGGGATCCAGAGTGCTCATAAGGACTCTACATGTTTTTACCTTGCTTAATCCTCACAACAATCAGAGAGGTCAGTACTATTATTAGCCCATCTTACTGATGAGGAACTAAGGCTTAGGGACAGTATGAAACTGGCCCAAGGTCACATGGCCAGAGCCAGGATTCTATTCCAGGGAGTCCCATTCCAATAAAAAAGGGGACTCCCTGTCAGAAGTCACTGAGGACTTGTTCAGGGTGCAAAGGAGGACAAAATAAAATGAAATGCAAATGGAACAAGAGGGCAAGATCAGTGTTCACCTACCAAACAAGTGAGGATTAAAAAGGCTGAAAGAGCCCAGAGGTGGGGAGTTGTAGGGAAAATGTCAGATTCAGGCACAGTTGATAGGTGGGTAAATTAGTACAACCAGTTCAAAAGGCAATTTGGCTGTCAGGGCTTAAATGTGGAAATGACCCAGTGATTCCTCATGTGAATTTATTGCACAGAAACACCCAAATGTGCATGAAAAAGTGAATGCATGTGGCTTTTCATCACTGCAGTCCGTAATAGCCAAAAATTGGAAATCACCTATAGAGAAGGCATTAAATAAAACTACCATCTATCCAGACAGTAGGATGTAATGCAGCCCTTGTGGGGTGGGGAGAGAAGTGAAATAGCACCACGTACTTTGACAAGGAAATATCTTTTACATACTGTAAGCAAAGAGAGCAATTTGGGGAAAGGTATGTGCAGTATGACCCCATTTTTTTAAATCTGGAAGGATTCCAAATAAAACTGTTAACTCTGATCCCTTCTGCTTAAGTGGAGTATTTTCACTCTAGACTTAACAGATTTTTTGTAATACGTATTTTTTAAATTCAGCATGTATTACTTTTGAAATAAAAAAAATATACAAATCTGGAGGGGAAAAGAAAAGAAATGAAGATATAGCTCCTTTCCAGAAGGAATTTACAATCTGGGTGATGAACTAGGATTCAGCCAGACCTGGGATGGCTTAACATGAAAAAGCAAACAATAAAATAACAAAATATGATCTGCTTGTATGAATTCTATGGGGTACAGAATAAATAAGTCCATCTGAGTTGAGTGGGGCTAATCAGAGCTGAGTTCCTGGAAGAGAATGGGTCAGGATATAAAGTATATTTAGAAAATGGTCACTATTTATTATTTTCAAGATGTCAGACTCTGTGTCAAGTATTTTACATGGATATTTTCATGTGTTCACAGTAACTCTATGACATAGATATTGTCCCCATTTTACAGATGGGAAAATTGAGGCTGAGATGGCTAATTAACTCTTCTAAAGCTGAACAGCCAATAACTCAAGAGAGGTTTCAATACGGGTCTGTGTCATCCCAAGTTCTGGGTTCCAGCCACTTGACCACACTGCCTAATCAGCCAAGGGCAAAGAATGGCCCTTGGCTTCTTCTTCTCAGAGGAATAAACAGTGTAATGAGCCCAAACCCAAAATGTGGCAGTAAATGCCCATGAGAAAAGTTGGCATCACCCCCTCACCTTTGGCTGAACACTTCTCAAGGCCATGGTCCTTGGAGGGTACATTGTAAGAAAACAGAGGCAAAAATCTAGCCCATCATTGTCCCTGACATGGTGCTTCCAGTGTGATGAACGTGAAGAACAACCAAAAAACGTATGCCGCGCAGACATAGGGGGAAAGTAAAATTTATGCCCCCTTCCTAATGCTACATGTGTTCTGTTGAATGGCCTCTTAGCTGCCATGGTGCAACACCACACCCCAAACTCATCTCTGCATTCCCACAGCTTGTCCTCATGCCTAGCACTTAGCAGGAGCTTAGTGTTTGTGGAACGGATGAATGAACGAACAAATGAATGGACATATAGCAAGTTAAATAACTATGACTATCATATACTGGTCTCTTGATCCAAAAAAATGGGACCAACAATAGTACCTTCCTCACTGGTACCTTCCGATTATAATTATTAAATAAGCTAGTGGTGTGAAGAGTTAGCACAGGACCTGCAGAGCACACACACAAGATAAATGCTGGCTATGATGAATCTTAGCTATTAGCATTATTGATATTTTTGTAACCTTTAAAAGAGCCAGTTTCTCAGGTTGCATCCCCATTAATCCATTTATCGCCTATTTCACAACCACCTTCAATGGGGTTGGCACCAAACAAAGTTATAATTTTTTCCTCAACAAACATGCTTTCCTGCTCTAGATCCTGTCCATGGTTTTGCCATGTTGGCCAGGATGGTCTCGAACTCCTGGTCTCAAGCGATCTGCCCACCTTCGCCTTCCAAAGTGCTGGGATTACAGGATCCCACCTCGGGCCATGGCTCCAGCCTCCATCCTGGGCCCTGTGTGTCCTCATGCAAAGTAATGTGCTGCCTGTATACACACTCATCCCTGTGTAATGCACAAGGCTTCGAAACTTTACCTCCCTCACTCTACTTCTTCCCCAAATTTTCTTTTTTGTAGAGACAGGAATCTCACTATGTTGCCCCGGCTGGTCTCAAAATCCTGGTCTCAAGTTATCCTCCTGCCTTGGCATCCCAAAACGCTGGGATTACAGACTTGAACCACCATGTCTGGCCCTCTCCAAAATTTATTCTCCAGTTTCCCATTTTGTCAAGGCCAGTTTCCTATGTTCTTCAGACTCAGTGACAGAAATAAGCCCATCCCTGTGAACAGAGACAACTCCCCACATCAGGGAATACTAGGTGCTCATACACCATAGTTGCATTTCAGCTGGGGCCTTCTGTACAGAGTCTTAATCCAAAAGAGTAGCTCCAATGGTGAGACCCAAATCTAATGGTGTGAGTCTTGTCACAAATCGGGTCACAAAATAGTGCCCTCCCTTGTCTCACCTCGACCAAACCTAGAAAGTAGCCCACTGCCTCATTTCCCCCAACCTAAAAAGAGGTCAGTACTTACACTTGGCACTTACATCCAGGTATGGATAACCCTCTTTCTAAGTTGAACTCCTGGCTGACTTACTCCTGCACCAGGAGCCCAGCCATTGCCCCCCAGCAGCCACTACTGAGTTACTGGGCAGAGAATTAGGAGTCAGGCTCCTGTATTTCTTCTTCTTGATTATTTGAGGTTTGAAACAGGCCAAATCTCAAATAATCAAGAAAGTGAAATGCTACAGAGAAGAAATTCAAGAGCAATCCAAAATCAAAGATGGGAATCCTTGTGGCATCTGTGCCAACCACCTCAGAGATTTCCAGCTACTCTCTAGGTCTTGGTGTCTCCACCTGCAAACTAGTTGGACTTGGCAGTTGCTAAGATCCCTCCCATTCAGATATGCTCTAAGAGTGTTGGCTCTTCTTTTCACAAATAGATTCAGTGATGATCCCAAAGACCAGGCCCTTGGGAAGCTCAGTCTGAGAAGTCAGGAATACAAAATATGCCACAAGCCAAGTGGCAGGGACAGAGACATGGTTAGAAGATACAAAATGTTCTAGAAAGTATTCCATTTTTTAAGATATTTAAATTTGTATATACAAGAGGAAAAATCTGAAAGTATACACACCAAAATATGGTATTTTGGCACTGCAGAGTTTTATATGTGCTTTTAAAATAGTTTCTCTTTTTGCATTTTTATATTTTCTCATCTTTACACAGAGTATTATTAATTGCATTTTTTTAAAAAAAAAACACATTTTTATTCAAATAGAATTTAGTCTAAATCCCAGATATATTACAAGCATGCTGTGTGACCTGGGGCAAGTCATTTAACCTCTCCAAGTTTCAGCTGACTTATATTTAAAATGGAAATTGTTTTTAATTTAATATTGCCATAAAATGTTTTGGGATCTCACATTCAGAGGGGTGAGTTAATCATGTTTCTTATTCATAATGTCTCATCATCATGAGTCTATGCCAGGCCTCTCTCTTATTATATTGATTTATTTCCTTTTATTCCCATTCCCATTTCCCTCTGCCTCCACCCCTAGGCATTCTGTCTTTAACATGTTTTTGTTAATTTGAATGTGTTTTTCCAAAATGCATGTGGTTGTTTGGTGAGCTACTTAAATGGTATTATGTCATAAATCTCATTCTATTTCCTACTTTTTTCACAAAGAACCATGTATTTCAGATCTTTCCACGTGGTCATGCAGACATGTCACCCTGGGCCTCTAAATGCTGCATAATATCTAAGAATGCATCTACCCCATTCTACTTTTCCCAGGGAGGGACATCCAGGTTGTCTCCCACCTCCTGTCACTACAAACAATATTGCCATGAGCCCCCTCATATATGAACCCTTATGGACTTGTGTGAAAATTCATTGAGATCTGTGTCCTGGAGCAAAATGGCTGGGTCACAAGGTGTATGTATACTTAGACCAAGTGCTAGCAGAGTCATCTCCAGGATGTGTGTACAGCCTGTGCCCCCACCAGCCATGAACAAAGCTCCTCGTGTCCCCACACCCCACACCCCTGTGTGAACTTGGAACTATGCAGCTTCCTAATTTTTGCCAGCCTATCAGGTATGTCCCTTTGTGGTTTTCGTTTTCGTTGTTGTTTTTGGAGAGACAGGGACTTGCTCTGACACCCAGGCTGGAGTGCAGTGCCACGATCATAGTTCACTGCAGCCTTGAACTCTTGGGCTCAAGGGATCCTCCTGCCTCAACCTCCCAAGTAGCTAGGACTACAGGCACGCACCAACACGCCTGGTTAATGCTTTCTTTTGTAGAGATGGGGTCCCCCTGTACTGCCCCGGCTGGTCTCAATCCCTTGGGCTCAAGTGATCCTCCTGCCTTGGTCTCCCAAAGTGCTGGGATTACAGGCATGAGCCACTGCACTCAGCCTCTTTGCGGTTTTTATTTGATTGCCTAATATTTTGATTATCTTTTCATATGTTCATTAGCCCTTGCGTTTCCTATTTTGTAAATTTCCTGCTACTTTCCATTGCCCATGTTTCTACTGGGAACACTTTTTCTTGCTGATTTGTAAGAGTTCCTCACATATTCTAAATATCAATCCCTTGACTGTTTTGGTCATTGTAAATATCTTCTCAGATTCTTGCCTCATGATTCGTCCTTTTGAAGTATTGTTTTTCTTCACCCCTAGATCAAAAAAATAGTCTTTTATGTTGTTCTCTTTTACCTTTAAAACGTTACCTTTCACATTTAGGTCTTTAATACACCTTCTGTTTTCCACGGAAACAAGTCGGCATCTACTTCATGACGTTTTGTGAAGGATAAACTAATATCGGGAAAGCACCTAGCACAGTGCCTGACCCAAAAGAGATGTGCAATTGTGGGCGATTATTGTTATCACTTAGATTGAAGGTGGCAAGTGCTGCCAGAGGAAACTATAGGAGCTTAGATGCTGTTTAACTAGATCAAGAAAGGTTTCATGGACAAAGGCGAAGTTATTGAGGCTGGCCCTAAAAATGAATGTAGGATTCATTGATTTTGAAATGCAAAGGGAAGTATTCCGGGCAGAGGAACCGGCTCGGGGAAAGGCCTGGCGGCAGGAACGCTGCAGGTTGACAATGTTGAGGAGAAGCATATTGGGGCGAGAGCTTGACTACTCACAAATTGCTGTCTTTCTGCCCGTGCCCACCCCCCTCCCCACTGCAGGCTCCTTGTTCTCCACCCTGAAGCCCCCCGACGCCGTGTTCAAGGTGGTGTTCTGGCTGGGCTACTTCAACAGCTGCCTCAACCCCATCATCTACCCATGCTCCAGCAAGGAGTTCAAGCGCGCTTTCGTGCGCATCCTCGGGTGCCAGTGCCGCGGCCGCGGCCGCCGCCGACGCCGCCGCCGCCGTCGCCTGGGCGGCTGCGCCTACACCTACCGGCCGTGGACGCGCGGCGGCTCGCTGGAGCGCTCGCAGTCGCGCAAGGACTCGCTGGACGACAGCGGCAGCTGCCTGAGCGGCAGCCAGCGGACCCTGCCCTCGGCCTCGCCGAGCCCGGGCTACCTGGGCCGCGGCGCGCCACCGCCAGTCGAGCTGTGCGCCTTCCCCGAGTGGAAGGCGCCCGGCGCCCTCCTGAGCCTGCCCGCGCCTGAGCCCCCCGGCCGCCGCGGCCGCCACGACTCGGGCCCGCTCTTCACCTTCAAGCTCCTGACCGAGCCCGAGAGCCCCGGGACCGACGGCGGCGCCAGCAACGGAGGCTGCGAGGCCGCGGCCGACGTGGCCAACGGGCAGCCGGGCTTCAAAAGCAACATGCCCCTGGCGCCCGGGCAGTTTTAGGGCCCCCGTGCGCAGCTTTCTTTCCCTGGGGAGGAAAACATCGTGGGGGGGAGGGGAGGGCGGGGCGGAGGGGGGAGGGGAGCGTCCACGCCGGGTAGACGCGCGCCCCAAGGGGAACCGGGGGGAGGGCCGGGGAGAGGGGCAGCTGCTTTTCTGGCAGGGGCATGGGTGCCAGGTACCACGCGGAAAGCCGGGCCGAGCATGCTGAGAGCCTGGGGGACCCGACGCCGCCGGGATTTACCTCTCTCTCTCCCTCTGTGTATATATAAACGAGTCCCTCTCTACTTGTATTTAACCGTGGGTGCACGTGAGTGTGACTGTGCGGTGTGCGTGTGTTCCGCTTGTGTGTGTGCGTGGGGCCGCCCTGTGAGGGCGCGGCGACTGTGCGCCCAGGAGGCAACCGGGGGCGTTGTGTGTGTCGTGACTTCGTACCTCTCAAGCCCCTCCTTGTACTTCACTGAAGGATGGCACTTTGGTGGGGTTGGAAACAAAGTCGACATTAAAGGTCATTTCTCCTGTTCGGCTTTGAGTGGTTTGTGGACGAGCGGCAGGCAGAGCCTTGCGTTTCCTCTTCCTTCCGCTTCGGATTTGACCCGGTCCTAGGTCTTAGGGTCCTTCGCTTTCCATTCCCCTGCCCTCCAGTCTCCACCCCAGAAGAGCCGCTCTCACCACGTCTTGAGGACAATTAGTGCTGGCTCCCCTAGGTCCCATTTACGCCTTTGCGGTTACTGACCTACAGGGCTGCACCAGTCTGGCCCTGTGGCTGAACGTGACGCCCTGGACTTGCCTAATGAATCCTGCTTGCCTGCTTTTGACCCTTAGCAGAATCTGAATCCTCCTGCGGCTCCTTCCTGCTGTGACCAACACTGAGCAATGTCTGGCTTGGTCCTGATCCCTAGACCCAACCCCAGCTGGGGTTCCCCGGCCAGTCCCCTAAATGGGCCTGTTTCCTGAGAGATGATGAAGCTCAGGCAGAGAGAGGGGCTGGTTCCCTTCCCCTCACCTTTGCATTCCCAGGCCAGCACTCCACTGATTGTTTGCCTGTGCCCACAGAACTCGAAAAGACATCCAAACTGCAGACGTTTCTGGATAAGATATGGATCCTTGGGGCCCAGCAACATACAGGGTCACAAGAACCCTCCCAAGCTCTGCTGACTTGTGACCCTGCCTGGAAAAAAGCACTGAGGAAGGTCACACAGAAAGGTGGAGCATTCTTTGGAGTCGATAACTTGGGTTCTAGTCTCAGTCCTACTACTGATTTATTGTATGAAGAGCAGAGACTTACTTCCCTCTCTGGATCTTGGTTCCCCATCTGTGTAATGGTGGAGTTGACTCTAAGGTCTTTGCTGCCTCTGAAAGCCCCTAGTTTGAAAAGAGAATAAAGGACACTGAGCAAAATCTGAAACATTTTTCTTCAGAGATGCAGAAAAGCCTAGGAGGAACGCTCTTCCCCCATCCCATCCCTTTTTTTCTTTCTACTTTGCTTTTCTAAGTTGAGCTTCATAATTTTGCAAATGGCAAGAACCTCTTCCAATAATATTAGCACATCGATCATTCATTCTGTAGGTGATTGAGAGAGAAAATACTTAAAGGGGAAAGAGCCAGTGATTGATGTAGTTGAAAAGTATAGGGGTGTCAGGTATGGCTGGATCCAGGGGCACAAACGAGATTGTCAAGTTACTCACAGTCTCTTACTCCTTCCTGTAGCTTCCATCTTTTAGTTCTGCTTATCTTTGTGTATTACCCTAGTTTCCTTATTGCAAATGCCTTCCTCATGACATTCTTACAACTTGATATCCCCAAAAGGAGAAACAAGATTGCCCAGCAGTTCTGTCAAAAAATGAAAAAGAAAAAGAAAACCAGCTGGGTGCAGTGGCTCACGCCTGTATCCCAGCACTTTGGGAGGCCGAGACGGGTGGATCACCTGAGGTCAGGAGTTCAAGACCAGCCTGGCCAACAGGGTGAAACCTCGTCTCTACTAAAAATACAAAAAATTAGCTGGGTGTGATGGTGGGCACCTGTAATCCCAGCTATTCGGGAGGCTGAGGCAGGAGAATCGCTTGAACCCAGGGGGCGGAGGTTGCAGTGGGCCGAAATCACACCATTGCACTCCAGCCTGGGTGACAAGAGCAAGACTCCATCAAAAAAAAAAAAAAAAATCCTAGGAAGCCAGAGATTCTGTATAACAAACCCCCTTAAGACTTTGATGAAGGCTATAAACTGTTTCCATAAAAACGCACATACCAAGGAAAATTACATTTTCATTCAATTTTAGATGCCGTACCCTTGTGTAAGATCTCACTATCCATGGTTTATATGCTCTGAACTGGATTTTAGTAATTTTCTAGGCCAACTCCCTCAATTTTACACATGGGGAGACTGAGGTAAATAATTTGACTGGGTCACACCAAAGCTGTAGAACCCAGGTCTTCTGCCTCTTTGTCCAGTACCTTTTACATTCCCCTGTGCTTTGTCCAGTACCTTTTACATTCCCCTCTGCTACCATCCTGTAGTTAAGTACATCCTCCAACAGAGAGCAGTCCTCTTCTTGCCTGAATAGAGAAAAGGGGGCCCTAGGAAAAGAAAAGCCCCAACTCCATTCCCGGAGAACAAGGGATCATTTGGGGAAGTTCTGAAAACATTGTGTTAGGATCACAAATCTTCTAACAAATCTTACGCAGAAATCTGATATAAGATCAGCCCATAGTGGAGTGGAGAGAAGACAGAGCCTCCTCAGCCTCCTCCTCTTCCTGAGACACTTGCTCTGGCCTGCCCCAATCACCCTGGGGTTCCACAGAATGATGTTTAAAAATCACTGGTCTAGTGTAAGCAAATGGAATTTGGAGTCAGTAGGGCCTTGGTTCAAGTCTTGGCTCTGCATGACCTTGGGCAGTTCATCTTGCCTCTTCTGGTCTAGCAAATGGACATGATCATCACAGCCCACCAGGACACACAAAGGATTCAACGAGATCATTGTAGTATAAACACCGAAATGCAAATCACTGGGCAGATGCAAGTTATAATTTGGACCTTGGATATTTGAAGCCACAAGGCACCAAAGGCATTTCCTGAGCTGCTCAGTTCTGATGATCTCATTCATTACTGGTGTTTGGAGGTCACCCAGGCAGCATAGAGAGGCGGTAGCAGCCTCCTGTTTCTTTCCAGAAGGAAGACTGGCCAAGTAGTGGCTTACATCCCCTAGAGGGTGCTAGGGTCCAGATCTGGCCCTAGCCAGAGTCTACATTTTGCTGGCCTTTCCAAGTCACTTCCTTGTAGCCAGGCTCTAGGAGGACCCAGAGTTCATCAAGAGCCCCTCAGGCAGACAGGTCCTCTCTGTTCTGATCTCCCAACTAGCAGCAAAGCAGCCCTACTATTTCCTCTCCAGCCACCCAGACTGCTGGGTCATTGTCACCACTGAAGCATGCACAGGAATAAATCTGCCAACCCCAGTCAAGAGGCCAGTGGCTTGGCAAGTGGAATACTAGTTAATTTTCCAGACCTGGACTCAAATTCCACCTCTGCCAGTTAGTAGCTGTGTGACATTGGGCAAGTTACATCATGGGTCTAAACCTCCATTTCCTTAACTATAAAATAGAGATAATAATACTAATTACTTCATAGGGACATTGGGGGATCAAATGAGATCATGAGGCTAAAACAGTTGACACCATGCCAGGCACTTGGTGAGCATCCCATGAACAGTAGCTATTAACAGAGGTAGTCATTCTTCAATTATTTACTTGGATGTATGAAATTTGGAAAATCTGGTTATAGAGACAAAACAATTCAGGTTTTTTTGGTCAGATTCCAGGTTTTAGGACTTAGGGTCCACCGTGAAGAAGAAAGACATAAATTTATCACGGAGTAAAAGAATTTTGTTGGCTGGGTGCGGTGGCTCACACCTGTAATCCCAGCACTTCGGGAGGCTGGGTGGATCATTTGAGGTGGGTGGATCATTTGAGGCCAGCAGTTGGAGAACAGCCTGGCCTACATGTGAAACCCTGTCTCTACTAAATATATGAAAATTAGCCAGGCGTGGTGGCATGCACCTGTAATCCCAGCTACTCGGGAGGCTAAGGCAGGTAATCGCCTGAACCTGGGAATCAGAGATTGCAGTGAGCCAAGATAACTCCCAGAACGAGTTATCTCACTGTCTCAAAAAAAAAAAAAAAAATTGTCCTACAGCATGAAGACGCGTTACTTAAAAAGGTCATCAGTCCAAACTAAAAATAACATTTAAACATTTAATAAAAGTTATGGAACATTCCAGGTGACAAAACCAAAATGGGTAAGGGAAGCATACATGTGTTAGGATTAGCACATCCTGTGTCAGAAGAGATGGAGGAGGGGACCAGGACAGTGGCCCTGAGCATGCACCTGGATTCAAGGCCCAGCTCTCCTACCCAAGTCAAGCACTTACCCTCTTGAGGCCAACCACTTTGTCTGTAAATTGGGGATGCAGTTAGCACCTACTTCACAAGGTTGGGATGAATAATAAATGAGACAAAATATGAAAGAGCTTGGCACAGAGTAGACACTATTTTTATTAACTATGGGGGACCTTGTATATCCTCCATTCCAGCAGTTCTCAACTTTTCCTGAATCAGCAGTTCCTTTAAGAATGTAATAAAAGCTAAAGAAAAATGAACATAGCAAGCTCAGACTTCACCTATTATTCCCACCCCGCTAAATCTCCCAAAGGACACATGGAACCCAGGTTATAAACTTTTCAACAAATATGGCTTCCTCAATATATAGAAGAAGCCAGAGAGAACATACAAGAGTGATGAATCTTGCCCCGTGTTAGACATGTGAACACAACACGGAAGGAGACCAAGACCCAGGCTCAGGGAACTCAGCCTGGGTGAGAGGCAGCAGGTCAGCAAGCAATCCCTTCAAGTACATCAAAGGTAGAGGGTGGCCCACTGGAGTCCTCACTTGGTGAGACCCCAGTGTCAGGCTCCATCTCCCATTGGAGGGATGGGGGTGATGGTGAAGTGCTCCAGGCTCTTGCAAGGAGGTTGCCCCCCAAGATTGGTTGGATTTGGAAGAATTAGCATCCTTCCACGGTTTTCCCAGCATATACCTGGACCTGCCTTTTGAAAGTTAAGAGCCAAGAATTTGACACTTTTTTCTTTAGCTTCCCGTTGACAGCCATTCCCTTGGGCAATGAGTGGCTGACTTCCAGCCGACTTGGCTGGAGTCAGAGGTTAAGTGTCCAAGCTAATTCACTGAAGTGTGGGTGTTGGGGTGAGGAGGGGGCACACAGGTATGACCTGCCCTTATTCCCTCTCTGATCTTCTTTCCTACCATCCCAGTTTGCTACTCTTCAAATGATAGGAGCAGGGGGAGCCTCACAACTCCCAGCTCAGGGACTTTGCACTTGTTGTCCCCTCTGCCTAGAGCCCCTTCTTTCCATGTGGCTTCCTCCATCACCTCCTTCTCCTCTTTGCTCAAATGTCACCTTCTCGGTGATCATCCGATTTCTCTGACTGTCCAGGTTAAAAGTGACTTCCCTACTGCCAACACTGTCCAGCACTCCCTATTGCCCTTTCCCACTTAATTTTTCTCCATAGTACTTATCACCACCTGACATATATTTTTTAAATTTATTTATATGTGTATTGTCTGTTTCCCCACACACACACTAGAAATGTATATTCCATGAGAGTGGGGATATTTGTCTGTTTTGCTCACTGTTGTGTATTCTCAGCACTTCATGTAGTACCTGACACATTGCAGGTGTTCACTAAATATTCTTGAGTGAATAAATGTGTACTACCCTGCCATGACTGTGAAAATGCTATAATAGCAGAATAGAGTGCTATGGGAAGCACATGGCAGGGGGTCCTACCTCTAAATTGATGGAGCAGTTCTGGTCAGGGAGGGCTTCCTGTAAGAAGTGGCATCTGATGAATGTCATCTGGGACTCATTGCCTGGCAACCCTGGTGTTTCCATAGTTAGTGCTCTCCCTTGTGCTCCTAAGTGGGGATGGAGTCTGAAGGCCTGCCGTCTGATTCTGGCTCAGCCCCTAAGTCCCTGGCCCTCTCTAGGGCTCTGTCTATTATCTGTACTAAGCCAGAGACAATAGCTAAGCTCTGTGGATCTGTCACTCCAGCTTTTGTTCTCCCCTCCTCGTTGCACAGTCCTCAGATAAGCTATCTTTGGAGACAACTTCATTGGGATTAGTAAGACAAACAGCTTTGGCCCTTGCTCATGGCCTTATTCAGAGAAACAGCATCTTCACAAGAGATTTACAAAACTGCTTGGGAGCAGAGGAAAACGCTAAAACCTAGTGAATGCTCTCAAATATTGTGTCAGCCACTACTGTCAGAAGCATGCTATGTCCTCACCAAACAGCACCTGAAACCCAATCAAGCACGGACACCCGTACAGTACTTCATGCACTCATTTGTTTTTTCATTCATTCATTCTACAAGCTATTCTTAAACACCTACACAAAGCTTGGAGCCAAGGACTTGAGCAAACCCTGTCTTTGCTCTCATGAAAATTTCATTCTGAAAGGGGAGCTTGTACAGTCATTCAAAATGGCCAGACGTAGTGGCTCACAACTGTAATCTCAGCACTTTGGGAGGCCGAGGCAAGAGGATTGCTTGAGGCCAGTACTTTGAGACCAGCCTGGGCAACACAGTAAGACCCTATCTCTACAAAAAAAAATTAATTTAGAAAAACCTTACATACAAGGTAGAAAGACGTTTGTGTAACACACGAGTTAAGTATTAGAACCATAGAATCAGCTAGAACTGGGTGACAATCCTGATTTTCCCATTTATTAGTTGTGTCTTCTTGGGCATGTCTCCTATCCTCTGAGAGGGTCAGTTTTCTTATTCTGGAAAATGAGAATAATACCTATCTTAAAAGGTTGTCATGAAGATCAGTTACACTTGGGATGTAGCATGTTTAGTACAGTACCTGGCACATGGTACTTGTTCAGTAGATGGAAGTTATTAAGCACCATTGTAGGCATACCAATAAAGGGCTTTGGGAATCCAAGGGTTCATGTCCATTTGCACAGAATCAGAAAGACTTCATGGAGGAAGTGGCATCTGAGATGGGTCTAAAAGATGTGGCTGGCTGGGCATGGTGGCTCACACCTGTAATCCCAACACTTTGGAGGCCGTGGAGGGCGGATCACCGGAGGTCAGGAGTTCGAGACCAGACTGGCCAACATGGTGAAACCCCATCTCTACTAAAAATACAAAAATCAGCTAGGCGTGGTGGCACCTGCCTGTAAACTCAGCTACTCTGGAGGCTGAGGCAGGAGAGTCACTTGAACCTGGGAGAAGAAAGTTGCAGTGAGCCAAGATCGTGCCACTGTACTCCAGCCTGGGCAACAGAGCAAGACTCCGTCAAAAGAAAAAAAAAACATGTGGCCAAGTAGAGAGGGCAAGAAGGAGAGCAGAGGAGACAAAGCATGATGAGGAAGAGGAGAAGATGGGGCTGGGAAAGGAAGCCAGAGGCAGATCAAGGCAGCAGAAGGAGCCCCACCAATGTAAGCGGACCATCGTGTGTGGAGAGCCTAAGATTTGCCATAGAAGAGGGAAAGTCGTGTTTCATGGGGTCCACTGGGCAGCAAAAGAGAAAGGTGGAAGGAGGGACTCCAGGCTAGGAGGGTGGTTAGGGGGCCCTGACAACTGGCCAGAAATGAGGATTCAAGCAGGGAGTTTCAAGGTGAGATCTGTGAAAGGTGGCTGGATCGGTGGTCACAGAACTGACCCAAGAGTTTCCATGTCCATAGAGTTGCCCCATTACGGTTTTCATGTGACAGGCTGAACAGGTACAATAATCTCCACCCGAAAGAGGAGGAAAATGACACTCTAAAAGATTTCTTTCTTAGGTCACATAGCTAGTGTGAGGGAGAGCCCGAACAAGACTCCACACTGCCTGGCCCCAAATGAGAAATGTTTTCTCTTACTAGATCTTTCTATGTGACAGATGTGTTCCAACCCCAGATTATGATGCCCAAAACATAGCTCAGATGAGTAGTAGTACAGCCTGGTCATTAGGACTTGGGCTTGAGGTCAGAAAGAACTGCACTGAAATCCTGGTTCTGCTACTTGCCAGCTATGTGGTCCCAGACAGGTGATTTAACCTCTCTCAGCCTCCGTTTCCTGATTGGTAAGACTGGCAGAATAATAGAATCTTCTTCACAAAGTTGCTATGAGAAATAAATGAGCCAATGCATGGAATTGAGAAGTACTGGGCATATAGGAAATGCTCAACTAATAGCCAACAGTATTAGTGATTAGCATTATCTAGTGTGAGGAAACGGGGAAAATGGAGACTTAGAATTAGCCATCAGGAAAGCGCAAACCTCTCTGAACCAGGGGTAAGAGGTATTAGAGGACTCTCTCTCGAGGGTAGATTATGAGATGCTTCAACTCTCCTGAGATAAGTACTATTTTGGGAGACCTCACAATAAAAAAAACCAGAAGAAAACAAATCATAAATCCAAATCATCTGAGCAAGGGCAGATACTAACTGGGGCTAATGAGCAAATGTTGGGGGCAAAACAAGGTCCAGGAGCTGGACTCATGAAGAGACTTCTAGGCCAGGGGCTCTCAAACTTTCCAACTGCAACCCACAGGATGAAATACATTTTACATTACCACCCAGTATACATAGAGAAATACAGATATGCAGATATAGATACAGACATAGATCAAGATTTCTGAATCCCGGCACTATTGAAATTTTGATTTGGAGAATTACTTGTTGGGCAGGGGTGGGCACTTTTTGCAAATTGTTGAATGTCTAGCAGCATCCCTGACCTCTACCTACTAGATGCTAGCAGCATCTCCCACCATCAGCTGTGACAATCAAAATTGTCTCCAGCCAAATGCCTCCCGGGGGGTAAAATAGCCCCCAATTGAAAACCTCTGATGGATAGACACGTAAGAAACAAAAGTTTCATGAAGGTTACCCATATTTACAAAATGTACTCTAATAGTTCCCATTTTGTATTATTAGATGTCACTTTTTGTTTGTTTGCTTGTTTTAAGATGGAATCTCACTCTGTCACCCAGCCTGGAGTGCAGTGACGCGATCTCGGCTCACTGCAGGCTCCGCCTTCCAGGTTCACACCATTCTCCTGCCTCAGCCTCCCGAATAGCTGGGACTACAGGCACCCACCACCACGCCCAGCTTATTTTTTCTATTTTTTAGTAGAGATGGGGTTTCACCACGTTAGCCAGGATGGTCTCGATCTCCTGACCTTGTGATCCGCCCGCCTCGGCCTCCCAAAGTGCTGGGATTACAGACGTGAGCTACCGCACCCAGCCTAGATGTCACTTTTTTAAAAGTGCTAATTTGGGGCTGGGCACGGTGACTCACGCCTGTAATCCCCAGTGATGCATACTTAGAAAGGTCTGGTGGTTTTAAAATATTTCTGCAGATTCTTTGGCACTCCTGTCATTAAGAGGTGAAGCCTAATCACCCATGCCTTGCATGTAATGCAGCAGAAGTGACCTGTGGGACTTCCAAAGTTACATAAGGTGATTCTGTTTCCACCTGTCTTTCTTTCTCGGAATGCTCACCCTTGGAACCCATCCATCATTCTATGAGAAAGTTCAAGCCACATGGAGATGTTCCTACCGGCTAAGGTCCCGGCCAACAGTCAGCCTCAACTGTCAGACATGTAAATAACTCCTAAGTGAGAATCAACTAGCTGAGCCCAGCCAATCCCCATAATGGTGATGAAAGTAACAATAATAAATGACTGGACACCTAACAGGTGCCCTAGAAAAGTCCATTCTGTCTTGACAGAGCTAATGAAATGATGGGAAATATTTGAGGTCTGGTATCTTCTGGTCTTGACTTGCAAAGGAGTCAGAGGGCATAAAGCCAGGAAGAGATGTGCTTTCTTGTTTGACTTTTTTCCCATCCAATTTAGGTAGGCAACTTTGTGTCTCGGGGACCTCCAAAACTTAATATCAACAACCCAGAACACTGGGACTAAAACCACAATGTTAGAACAACACATCAATGAGGTAGACATTATTACTGTCTCATTTTTAGGCTTAGAAAAGTCAAGGTAATTAGTCCAAGATAACATGGTTTCTAGGTGGCAGAGCCAGGATTTGAGTCATGCAGCCAACCAACCTTGTTCTGTGCACCCCCAGCCTGGACAATCCTCCTTTGTACCTGGAAGGAAGCACCTCTCATCCTCCTGCTCCTCCAAGCTCCCACCTACCTCTATCCTCTTTCTGGTCTCTAGCTTTTAGAAAACAAAAGCCAGGAAAATTGCAAGTTTCTCCTGCTTCCCTCCCTCCGCAACACCTCACTTGAAGGAGGGAGGCACGAAGCCTGCTACCTGATTGAATCCAGGGAAAGGATGGGTGGGGGCAGAAATATGAATGAATATCACAAAATATTATCCAGTCACTCACTACCTAAATGTTTCATCAGTCCCTATCCGAAGGCAGTTACTAAGATGCTCTGAACGTGCGTGCACACACATGCAGGACGTGGCTCTGACTCAATCTGATGTGGATGATGTTCAGTTAATCCTGCTGAAGGCCACTCCTCAAAATCTTATGTAGTGCAGGGATTGATGAGGACGCACCTGCTGCAGAATTCAGGGTTGAAAGTAACCACCTTCCTTCCCCTTCAACCTGACCCAGGATGAGCCCAAAGGTTTCTCATGAAGGGGTTCCAAAGGCAGAGGCTGGTGGCTTCCCCACAGGACAGAGTGAGCAGGACTTCCCTATCCCAACCAGATCCCTCTGCTGCTTCAGAAAGCCCCAAGGGCCAGCTAGTCCAGGGCTGTGATCTGTCCAAGAGAATACCCTGGACAAGGCTTTCCTCTCCACCATCCCCCATCCCCACCCGGAAAACTCCTGCAGAGAGATGTCAGAGAGCACCAGATGCCTTCTGTTAGGATTCACCCCATTACAAGCCTTAAACCCCATGTGTTCTGGCACCACGGTCTCTCACTCTCATTACTAAGGTAACAGAGACAGGTATTCCTTCAACACCCGCTCACCGCGTGCCATTGGGGCCTCTTCTCAGCCAGACACGCTTAAGATACAGTGATGAACAACGATCTTCATCACCGTCTTAGCCGTGGGAATGTGGCAAGGGTGCCAGCCGAACCGAAATTAGGATTTGAAGTTTGATTGTGTCTGCTGCATTAGTGACTCCCAGGTCCTCCCAATCATCTGTTTGCATAAAATGGCATGCATGGGTCACAGGATTCTGCAAGAAGTGGAATTTTGCAGGTGGGTCTCTGGGGGCAGAGAGACAAGATTTTTTTTTCTAGCATCACTGATCTCTCCTTTTCTTCCTCTGTTGACCCATGTTGGCTTCCAGTTACCAAACTACTCTGGTATTTCCCCTAATTAAAGCACTCCACGTTTATACTCCCTGACTCCACTTTCCCTCCCCGCGTTCTTGCTGCCATCCACTGAAGATGGCTTTCATCCTTACTTCTCCTTGAGAACCCTGCTTGTCAAGGTCATTAAGGGCCTTGATGCTGCCAGAGCCAAGGCCTCACCTTCCTGCACCTCTCAGCAACATTTGGTGTGACTGATACACTGCTTTTTATTTTTGAGCACTTCTTTCATACTGCTTCCAACCTCGCTGACCACTCCTTCTCAGTGGAGAAACTTCTCCTCTTCCCAATCTCTAAATGTTGAGGTTTCTAGGACTCAGTCCTTAGGCCTTTCTCTTCACTCCCTGGTTACCTCCTCCACTCCCATGACTTTAAGTTTATCCACAATGGTGACTCCCAGATTATGTCACCAGCTCAGGCTTTTCATAGGCATCTCAAACTTAACATGTTCCAAACTGACCTTTTGTTTCTTTCCCACAATGGCTGCTCCCCCATCTCAGGAAATGGACCAATGTTCCCCTGATTGCACAAAATAAAAAATCCTAGAGCATTCTTGACTTCTGTCTGACCCTTAAACCCCACATCAAGCATCAGAAGCTGCCCAGAATCCATCTATTTTGCACCACCTCCACTGCCACCACCACTGCATCTTCTCCAGCCTGAACAACTGCAGTTGCCTCCTAACTAACCTCTGTGCTTCCACCTCAGAAAACTGTCAATTTGCAGCTCCTCCCCAGCTACCAGAATGATCTCTTTGAAAAGTAAATGAGGCCGGACGTGGTAGCTCACGCCTGTAATCCTAGCACTTTGAGAGGCCGAGGTGGGTGGATCACCTGAGGTCAGGAGTTTGAGGCCAACCTGGCCAACATGGCGATACCCCATCCCTACTAAAAATACAAAAAAAAAAAAAAAATTAGCCAGGCATGGTGGCGAGTGTCTACAATCCCAGCTACTTGGGAGGCTGAGGCAGGAGAATTGCTTGAACCTGGGGGGCAGAGGTTACAGTGAGGATCAGGCCACATCACTCCAGCCTAGGCAAAAGAGCAAAACTCTATCTCAAAAAAAAAAAAAAGAAAAGAAAAGTAAATGAGACTATGCCTCTGCTGGAACCCTCCAGTGATTTCCCATCACAATAAAATCCACACTTTGCAATGGTCTGCCCCTCTCTGATTGCTCTCCCACCTCCTCTTCCGACACTACCCCCTCCCTCACTCCACTTCAGCCACATGGGTCCCCTTAATGAACACACCAGGGACAGTCCCTTCTTAGGGCCTTTGCTCTTGCTGTTTCCTCTGCCTGTGCTCATTCCAGATATTTACAGGTTTCACACCCTTCAGGACTCAATAAGTGACCCCCTAAAAGAGGCCCTGATTACCCATTCTAAAACAGATCATCTGTCACTCTGCAGCTCTTTACCTGGTTTTACCTTTTAATTATCACATGTAATGAACTGATCTATTATTTATTTCTTTATGGGTTATCTCCTCCATTGGAATATGAAATCCACCTTAGCAAGTACTTTAATTACTTTGGTTACTTCTGGATTCCTGTATCAGGGAATAATAACTGGCACACAGCAGGCACTCCTTAAATACTTATTGAATGAATGAATGATGTCTTAATATCTGGTCTCTGGCCAGGCCCCAAGTAGTAGCATGCTAAAGCTGACTTGTACCGGCTCAGAGCAGTTTATAAGCATCTCTGTTCAACTTTGTGTTCAGTGACATTGTACCAACAGCTTGAAATATGCTGATGGGAATATGTACACCACAGAAATTGACAAACACTACACATCAGGGCTCCTTTTTCTTTTCTTTTTTGTAGAGCTATTTACCAGCACACCAAAGGGTCTGGAAAAGGACTGGAAATAATCTTGGAAGAAACTCTTTCCTCAAAGGACTCTGGATCACTGAGAGGCCAAGCAGTGCTGCCTCTGGGACCTGGTGACAAAGCCTGATCCTGCATTGCGAAGAGGAGCATTCTGCTTGGAACAAGGCACTGTGGGACCTGAAGGGAAGAGAGTTCCGTCTAGCCCTTGAGGCTTTGCAACTTTGGGAGGGCTGGGACATAGCATAGCCCTGAAGGAGAAGGAGAGCTCACAGAAGCACCAGAAGCATCAGCAGCAGTGACTACTCTTTAATGCAACTTGCTGAAAGCAGTTATTAAGAAGGTGGTGGGAAGAAAGGAACCCACAGGGCCCCCAGAAATATCTAGGGAGCCTTTTTAAGAGGGCCTGAGTTTCACAGGTGAGGACTAATAGACAGATTTTCTTTTAAGAGACAATGCTCACCCAGGCTGGTATGCAGTGACACAGTCATAGTTCACTGCAGCCTCGAACTCCTGGCTCAAGGGATCCTCTCACCTCGGCCTCCCAAGTAGCTGGGACTACAGGTGCATGCCACCATGATCTTCTAATCTTTAAAATTTGTAGAGACAGAGCCCCACTATGTTGCCTAGGCATATCTCAAACTACTGGCCTCAAGTGATCCTCCTGCCTTGGCCTCCCAAAGCACTGGGATTACAGGTGTAAGCCAGTATATCCAACCTAGACAGAAAATATTGATTATTCACACTCACGTGACCTAATTTGCACCCTCTGACTTGTGAGACTAGAGAGAGTCATCTTGGAAAAGAGGTGTGTGCTCTGAGGCTGGCTCTTTTATTTGAACCGACAGCTTTTAGTACCAAGAGCTGGAGCTGTGATTCTCAAACTCAGAGAGGAGAAGAATCACTCAGTGAGCTGATTAAAAATACCGACTCACAGTCACCTCCAGCCCCGTCTAACGGATTTAGCAGATAGAAATAAGACCCAGTAATCTGCGTTTTAAAGAAATGATACAGTTGGTCCATGGACCAGATATTGAGAAGCATTGCACAGATGGTCAGTGACTCAGGAGGGCTCGATTTACGATCTATCCACTTTACGATGGGTTTTTGGAGACGTTAGCCCCATCGTAATTCCAGGGGCATGGGTGATCCAGCTTACATTGCCGGGTAAGGGCTAGGTTTTACTCCCCCCTCAACGGCGCCTACTGTCTTAACAGGGTCCACTTTGCTAAACACCGAGTTGGAAAAGCAGCTTCCTCTCTTTCCCAATCTCTGATGGTGCTGCTTCCAGGTGTAACTTCTACCTGCCCTCTGCCTTAAGGGTCCCTAGAACCCAGGATGGCTCCAGAGAAAGTAAGCTTGTCATCGACCCGTCACTTCCCAGGTGGTTAACGTCCACACCCTGCCCCCAGCGGCGGGGGAGCCGGGCCTACGGGCTAAAGGACGGTGTTGTAAGAAGCTGGACGAGCCCGGTTCCAGAAACCAAACAGCAGTTGTTATCATGCCTTTTAAATCACGCGTAGAGGTTTCAGTTTCTTCCTCTGCAGGCCCGTAAATATTTGCCTTCGGGTTTCTGTGTTTTCTGCCGTTGCCAGGAGCTCCGATCCTCCTGCGGCGGGGGCGCCCAGGTGCGCGGGTCTCTCCTGCGGGCTCAGCGGGCCGGCGCCGCGGCGTCTCCAGCAGAGCGCAGCAAAGAAGACGAAGCCTCCTGGGGCCTTTCCTCGCCGCCTGGAGCGGGGCATCCTTCCTCCTTACGTGCAGAGACTGGGAAGCAGCTCTTTAGACACTGCAGTGACCGAGCCCGCTCCACGCCCCTTTCCCCTGAGCAGGTGCTTGACGTGGGGCAAGCTCGGCGTTGAGGTGGACCCGCGCGCCACCCGCTGGCCAACGCGCCTAAGCGACAGGAGTGCAAAGAAACGAGGCTGCTTGGCAATTCAGCTGGTGCGGCCCTGCGGCACTTCCCTTATTCCTTCATAGATGCAGTCAGATATTCTAGAATTCTAGGTTAGGAATGCTTTAACCTGGGGTCCGTGCGCTGGCTTCAGGGAATCTGGGAGCTCTCTAAAATGCTATAAACAATGTAATATTTTTCTGGAAAAGGGGTGCACACTTTTCATGAGTCTGACTAATTTTATATGGTCTATGGACCAAGTGCCAGGCAATGTGCAAGCCATTGGTGGTAAGTAGTGATCAAGCAGACGTGTCGCTTCTCCTCGTGGACTTTGTAGTCTTTGTGGTAGGCTGAAGAATGCCCCCCCTCGGCCGGCCGCCCAAAATATGTTCACATCCTAATCCCTGGAACCTGTGAATGTTACCCGTTATGGCAAAGGGGACTTTGCAGATCTAATCAAGTTAAGGATCGTGAGATGGGGGGATTAGCCTGGATTATCCTGGTGGGCCTGATATCACAAGGGGTCTTATAAGAGGAACACAAAAGGAAACAGACAGAAGACAATGTGACAACAGAAGCAGGAGAACAAAGGGACGGACATTTTAAGATGCCACACTGCTGACTTTGAAGATGGGAGACTTTGAAGATGGGGAAAGGAGGCCGTGAGCCAAAGGATGTGGGCAGACTCTGAAAGCTTGAAAGGTCAAGGAAACAGCTTCTCCCCAGGAGCCTCGGGAAAGAATCCCACTGCTGACACCTTGACTTTAGCCCAGTAAAACTGACTGTAGACTTCTGACCTCCAGAACTGCAAGAGAATCAATATGTTTGTTGCTTTATGCCACTATTTTGTAATGCTTTGTTACAGCAGCTTTAGGAAGCTAATATGCATCTCAGCAGGTGTCAGACTCTAAAAGTGGTAAGAGACCACAGTCCTTTACAATGCTGAGATTCTCTGTATCACTGGCCCTTCCCCTCTCCAGGAGGAGACAACCAAGAGACAGAAAGTCCAACTGACACTACAGAAGTAGATTTACTGAACTCACCCATGCCATAGAGGTACGTCTACACCTGAGTCTCTTTCCTAGAGAGTTTCAGAACTAGTTAGGGAGATAAAATTCAAATTACATCTGTGGCCGGGCATGGTGGTGCATGCCTGCAATCCCAACAGTTTAGGAGGCTGAATGGGAGGATCACTTGAGCCCAGGAACTTGAGACCAGCCTGGACAACATAGCAAGACCCCATCTCTACAAAAAAAATTTTAAAAATTAGCCAGGTTTGGTGATATGCACCTATATTCCTAGCTACTCAGGAGACTAAAACAGGAGGATTACTTGAGGCCATACATTGATGGCCATTTGGGCTGCTTTCTACCTTTTGGCTATTGTGAATAATGCTGCTATGAGGATGGGCATATAAATATCTCTTCCAGACACTGCTTTCAATTCTTTTGGATATATGCCTAGAAATGGATTTTTTTGAGGAACTCCAATACTGTTTTCCACAGTGGCTGCACATTTTACATTCCCACCAACAGTGCACAGGGGTTCCAATTTTCACCACCTCTTCACCAACTTTGTTATTTTTCTGGTGTTTGGTTTTTTTGTTTCTTTGTTTGTTTGTTTGTTTTTGAGATGGAGTCTCGCTCTGTCGCCCAGGCTGGAGTGCAGTAGTGTGATCTCGGCTCACTGCAACCTCTGCCTCCTGGGTTCACAACATTCTCCTGCCTCAGCCTCCCGAGTAGCTGGGACTACAGGTTCCCACCACCACGCTTGGCTAATTTTTTGTTTTTTAGTAGAGACGGGGTTTCACTGTGTTAGCCAGGATGGTCTCGATCTCCTGACCTCGTGATCCACCCGCCTAGGCCTCCCAAAGTGCTGGGATTACAGGCGTGAGCCACCGCACTCTGGTGTTTGTTTTATAGTAAGCACTCTAATGGGTGTGAGATGATACCTCACAGAGATTCTGATTTGCATTTCCCTAATCATTAGTGATGTGGAGCATCTTTTCATGTGCTTATTGGACATTTACATATTTTCTTTGGAAAAACATTTATTCAAGTCCTTTGCTCATTTTTTAAATCAACTTATTTGTGTTTGTTGTTGATTTTCAAGTAAGTCTTTTAAGTCAGTTTTTTTGGGGGGGTAAGATTTATATAAAATAAAATTCACTATATAAAATGAATTTCACTATTTTAAGTGTAAGATTTTAAGTGTATGATAGGTTTTGACAAATGTATGCAATCATATAACCAACACCACAATCAAAATACAGAACATTTTCATCACCCCAAAAATCTCTCTCAGGCCCCTGTGCTGTTAAACTCCTCTTCCTTCATCAGCCCTGACAACCACTAATCTCCCCTATAGTTTTACCTTTCCCAAATGTCTTATAAATGAAATCATACCCTATGTATCCTTCTATGTCTGGCTTTCTTCCACTTAAAATAATGCCTTTGAGATTCATCCATGTTGTTGTATGTGTCAGTAATTCATTCATTTTTATCAGTGAGTGGTATTCCAGTGTATGGATATACTACAATTTGTTTATTAATTCACCAGTTTATGGACATTAGATTGTAAATAAAGGTGCCATAAACATTTGCATACAGGTCTTCCTTTCTCTTGAATGAATACCTAGGAGTCAGATTGCTGGGTTGTATGGTAAGTGTATGTTTAATTTTATAAAAGCTGCCAAACTGCCAGGTGCAGTGGCTCACGCCTGTAATCTCAGCACTTTGGGAGGCCAAGGCAGGCGGATCACCTGACTTCAGGAGTTCTAGACCAACCTGGCCAACATGGTGAAACCCCGTCTCTACTAAAAATACAAAAAAATTAGCCAGGCATGGTGGCAGGTGCCTGTAATCCCAGCTACTTGGGAGGCTGGGGCAGGAGAATCACTTGAACCTGGGAGGTGGAAGTTGCAGTGAGCCCAGATCATGTCACTGCACTCCAGCCTGGGCAACAGAGCCAGACTCCATCTTAAAAACAAAACAAAACAAAAAAAACCCTGCCAAACTGTTTTCCAAAGTTGCTGTGCTATTTCATGTTTCTCCAAACAATGCATGAGATTTCTGGCTGCTCCACATCCTTAGTAACACCTAGTATATTATTCTGTTTCATTTTTAGTCATTCTAATTGGTTTGTAGTGCTCTCTTGTGGCTTTAATTTGTATTTCCCTAAAGCCTAATAATGTTGAACATCTTTTTATGTGCTTATTTGCCCGCTGTACATCTTTGGTGATGTGTCTGTTTAAATCTTTTGCTCATTTTTATTGGCAATTTTGCTCTTCTTATTGAGATGTAAGTTATTTATTTACATTATGTGTAATTCTTTTAACGTATATATGCTTTGCAAATATTTTCTCCCAGTCTTTTCGTTTCTCCTGTCTTTTCATTTCTTTAATAGTGTCTTCTGAAAAGCAGGCATATTTAATTTCAATGAAGTGCACACTTTTTATTGTCCTATAAGTAATTTTTTTATTTAAAAAGAATGCAGGCTGGGTGTGGTGGCTCACGCCTATAATCCTAACACTTCAGGAGGCCAAGGTGGGAGGATTGCTTGAGTCCAGGAGTTTGAGATTAGCCTAGGCAATGTAGGGAGACTCTGTCTCTATAAAAAATTTAAAAATTAGCCTGGCATAGTGGTGCGCACCTGTAGTCCCAGCTACTTGGGAGGCTGAGTCCAGATAATTGCTTGAGCCCAGGAGTTGGGGGCTGTAGTGAGCCATGATTGTGCCACTGCATTCCAGCCTGGCTGACAGAGCCAGACCCTGTCCAAAAAAAAAGGAAAGCAAAAAACCCTGCTTGCTTGATGAAGCTTGTGGGGAGAAACAGTTGGTCTTTCAGTTAAGGAATGCAGAGTAAGGAGAAATTAGAGTGAGCCTGCATTGGACCAAACGGAGAGGAGAGGAGACAATTGTTTTAGGTTCAAACAACTTCCAAGCCCTCATTGTCTCTCTCTGCCTCATAAGCGGGGGAAAGTGGAGCTCCCCCACATAATCAATTAATGGCGTGAATAAATGTATAATTGCAGACAAGAGTAAGTATTACAAAGGAGAGATGCACAGTGCTCTGAGGGCTGATCACCAAGTCCCAGGCCTAGTTGGAGGTGGGGAGGGAGGAGATGTTCAGGGGTGACTTTCCTGAGGGAATGGAGCTTGAGCTGAGCTTTTTTATTTTTATTGTTTTAGAGATGGGGGTCCCACTATGTTGCCCAGGCTGGCCTTGAACTCCTGGGCTCAAGCAGTTCTCCTGCCTCAGCCTCCCAAGTAGCTGCTACTATAGGTGTGCACCATTATGCCTGGATTGAGCTGAGCTTTAGAGGTGGGGTGGGAAGGGAGCATTGCAGTCAGAGGAAACAATTCAGGCAGTGGCTTTTGCCGGAGGGTGCTTTCTGAAAGGCCAGTGTGGATGGTACTGATTGAAGGAGAGAGAGAGAGTCATAAGGAGGCTGGGAAGGTAGGCAGATCTTGAGAGTTTTGGGTGTATTTTTGTCTTCATCCTAAGAAATAGGGAGGAAAATTTCCAGTTTTGCAGGTGATGTGATCCAGGTGGGCATTTTGGAAAGCTCAATCTGGTTGGGGGTGGAGGGATGATGGATGAGAGAGGGAGTTTGTGCTGCATTAAAGTTAATTTATCCTCCTCACTACGGTGGGTGTAATTTTTTTTTAATGAGAACAAGTCTTGACAATGATGTGGAGAAATTAGAATCCTTGCACACTGCTGATGGGGATGTAAAATGGCAAATCCACTACAAAAAAACATTTTGGCAGTTCTTCAATCAGTTAAACATAGAATAAGCATTTGACCCAGCAATTCCACTCCTAGGTATATCCCCAAAGGAACTGCAAACAGGTTACTCAAAAACTTACACACAAAAGTTCATAGCATCTGTATTCATAGTAGCCAAAAGGTAGAAACAATTCAAATGTCCATCAACTGATAAAGGGGTTTTTTAAATGAGGTATATCCATACAATGGAATATTATTTAGCCATAAAACAGAAAGAAGTACTGATGTATGCCACAACATAAACAAATCTTGAAAGAAGAAGCCAAACACAAAAGCCTACATGTTGTAGGATCCCATTTATGTGAAATATCCAGATTAAATCTATAAAAACAGAAAGCAAATGAGTGGTTGCCACAGCGGGGGAAAGGGAGAAATGAGGAATGACTTAATAGGTACAGAATTTATTTTTGGAGTGATAAAAATGTTCTGGGACTTGGTAATGGTGATGGTTGCACAACATTATGAATGTATTATGTGTTACTAATAGGAAATTATATGTTATATGTATTTTACTGCACTAAAAAATTTAAGTTATTTTGTCCTCACCTCCCCCTTGGGACCCTACTTCCCTCATCTATGCAAGAAGGAAGTTGAGCTCACTGTGCCCTTCAGGTTCTAACTTTCTAAGACACCATAAACTGCCCAGGTAGTGTACTTTGCACTCTGCCTACCTATAGGATAACTTAAGTAGAGTACCAAATAGGCAACGATAATACTAAACCACAAAATTAAAAAGTTACTCTCTTTTCAGTCTCTTTTACTCTTTCTGATTGTGTCAAGTTGAAAGTCTTGCTTTGGTGCTAGTGCAAAGCAGGTTCACTGTGCACCAATTGCTTGCCAAATTGAGATAGAAATTCACACACGCAACCCATTACATGAAATGGGCTTATTACTCACAGATAGGCAGCAAGGGACAACAGAAGCCCAGGATTCACAATTAGCCAGTCCCTCAAGGCTCAGGAAAAGCTGCCTGGGGCAGATGAATGCTCTTCTGCACATGCCCCTCTTGCACCACAGCTGAAGGACCTTGGAAAGCAGCTCATCCTGGGTTTTATACCAGGGGATATGGGACTCGCTGAGCTAAAGCATTGAAGGGCATCCTGTTTCTAGGAGGGACTGAAACAAAGCCCAAGCTGTTCCAGTCAGCTCCTCCAAATCTTAGGATATTATATTCCCAGCACATTCTATAGTTATTCTTGAGAACTATAAGTAAGATGAGGGGGAGAACTGGGTCCAAGGCTACCCAGAGAACTGTCTTACTAGTAGACACCTAACACCCCTCTAATACTTGCTAATCTCTTTATGTGTGGGTTTTTTTTTTAATTTTTTACTTTTTTACCTTTTTGTAGAGACAGGGTCTCCCTATGTTCTCCAGACTGGTCTCAAGCTCCTGGCCTCAAGGGATCCTCCTACCTTGGCCTCCCAAAGCACTGGATTACAATCCTGAGCCGCTACCCCCAACTTGTTTATTTCTTTAAGTAAAGAGATATCAGACCTCAGCCTCGGAAATTTAGGCAGACAACCTCAGAGCTCAATTTTAATAACATTATTTTGTTTCTATTTTACTTATTTCTACTAAAAGCATCCCTTTAGCACAAGTGACACTAGTATTTCAACTGTACAGATGACATAATATTTTTCTTCTTAAAGTAAATTTTACTGAGTCAAAAAGTGATAGAATTATTTTTAAATTTACTTAAATAACAGAAGATTGCAGAAATACAAAAAATCATAATGTAGATATGCTAATCACTGACGTTTGAGAAACAGTACACTATTCAATTACTGATGCTACTACTTGGGAACTGAAAGCAGGACTTACAGCCCATCAATCCTTTAGAAATTATAGGCTGTTGGCTGGACACAGTGGCTCACGCCTGCAATCCCAGCACTTTGGAAGGCTGAGGCCTGCAGATCACTTGAGGTCAGGAGTTCCAGAGCAGCCTGGCCAACATGGCAAAACCCCGTCTCTACTAAAAATATAAAATTTAGCCAGGTGTGTTGGCAGGCGCCTGTAATCCCAGCTACTCAGGAGGCTGAGGCAGGAGAATCACTTGAACCCAGGAGAAGGAGGTTGCAGTGAGCCAAGATCATGCCACTGCACTCCAGCCTGGGCAACAGAGCAAGACTCTGTCTCAAAAAAAGAAAAAATAAGAAATTACAGGCTGTGGACAAAGCTTTGGCTAAGAACAGATCACACCTGCTTCATCCACCCCACTGTGTCACTTTATGGAGCAACAGCAATGGGCCAGGGAGGCCTGCAGTTTGGAAAATAAAGCTGAGGAGACAGAAACTGGCTTCAGGTCCAAGACCTTTTGTGTAGGCCCTAGGAGTAACTGGGCACACTGATGTGACTCAATCACAGAAGCCCTCAGCATGGAAAGGGACAGCAGGGAAGAGAATGCCCAGTCACTCTCACTGCCTCCCATATTTCACCTATCCTGCAGGGGTGAGAGAATCTTCTAGAAATAGGCCTTCATAAGTTGTGCTCACACCGCTGGTCATACTCAGCCTTCCAAGGGGATGCTACTGGCGGTGTCAGTTCCTGTAAGAAATAAGCATGGTCAAGATGACTCTCAGAGCACCCCCCACAAGACTTCATATTCCTTCTCATCATTCATCTTGTGCCAAGAGCCGTCCAGAGCAGTAATTACTAAGGAATCCCAAATGAACATTATTTCTAAATCTAAGATCTAAAGGGCTGTTCATTATAAGGAATAACAAAAGCAACTCACTGTGCCTTAGCCCTTAGGAAAATCTCCCTAGATAAGAAAATGGAAATTTGAGAGTTTTCCTCATGTCCGTCGAGCTGATGCCTTGAGAGCTCCCACATTTTCATATAGACAGCTGGATTAAGTAGCAAAACAGAGCTCCCTGGGGTGGTTGTGGGGAGAGGAAAGGAGAGGGAGAATCTAAATAAATGCTAAAACATCGCTGGGATAAATTACAGGAAAAGTTCATTGGTCTCATTCCTGTTAGTATCACTTCTGGAGAGTGGTACTGGGGCTCCAAGTTAGTCCTATTTTAACGCTTAGATTTTTTAAATTGTGTTATTTTTATAAAGATGATGATGATAAAGGGATATTAATTAGAAGGGATTCCAAATTTTAGCCTGCCCAGTGTACTTCTGGGGACCCAACCAGCCCCCAGTAGAGAAAGACATGTGCCTCACTTCTAAGCCCGACATCTAAGGAAGCCACTTTGGCAGGCATTAACATCTTCGGTGGTCCCTAACCATCAGTGCTAAGGAAGTAGTGTCAAAGAAAACAAAAGAGCCAGGTAGATAAATGGCACCATCCTTCGACAGAACTGTAGGCCAAGTGTGCCTTCGGGAACCACAGGCCATCCTTGCCCCTTGAACCCTTGTAAGTCCTACGGGCTCACGCATGCCCCGCACGACCCACATGGCCCCAGCTCATATGGAAGAAAGCCTAGCAGAGTGGTCACTGGAACAGGGAAGGCATCTGGAGTCCAAAGCTTCTTCACAGCTCCTACAAACTCTCCACCACTTCTCATCCCACTTTCTTCCTGTAAAGTCAGCACTGCTGGCAGAAGAAATATCTCGGAGGCTTAGGCAAAACATTTGAGGAATAAAAGAGAAGTTGCTTTAGTCCCCTCAATTTACACAACCCTCTTAATTGCCTCCATGTCTGTGGTTGTTAGCCACTAATTATTAGGTGTTTCGTCTGTGTCAGCATTTTCATAAACTGTTCCTCTCCCTGGGACATGGTAAGTATTTCCTCAGGCTGACTTTGAGGCAGTGGACCAAAGCTGCAGCTGGAGAAAGCGGGCTGGGGTTGGGGAGGGCTTAATGGGATTTTGAGTCTGTGTGAGTGATTTTTAAGCTGTGAGTCAATTTGGTAGAAAGAGCACTGAACTGCAATCCACTGAAACAGTAATAATAATAATAGCTGCTTTTTGCTGTGCCAGGCACTGCCTAAGTCCTCTGTATCTTCTAATCCTCACCAAAAAACCTTAAATGAAGGACTTAGGGCTCAGAGAGAGTAAGTCACCCAGCCAGGAAGAGCTGTGTATCAGTTAGGGGAGTGAGTTTGGCTGCACATAACAGAACACACATAACAGTGGCTTGAACAAATCAAAAAGGGCTGTTTGTTTATTTTTTCTCTCATATGAGAAGTCTGGAAGTAGGCAGTCTGGGGACAGTGGGGATAGTATGGCAAATCCACACTGTCAGGAGAGGCCCATGGCCCTTCTAGTGTTTCCCTACTCTGTCCTTAAAATGTGGCCATAATGTCCCTCTTCCAGGCAGGAAGAAATATGGCAAAGACAAAAGGCACATACAGGGCCAGGTGTGGTGGCTTATACCTGCAATCCCAGCCACTCAGGAGACCAAGGTGGGAGGGTTGCTTGAGCCCAGGAGTTTGAGACCAGCCTGGACTGCATAGCAAGATCCCCTCTACAAAGAAATTTAAAAACAAAAAATTATCCAGGCATGGTGGTACGCCCCTATAGTCCCAGCTACTCAGGAGACTGAGGCAAGAGGATCACTTGAGCCCAGGAGCTGCAGGTTGCTGTGAACTATGATTGCACCACTGCACTGCAGGCTGGGCAACAGAGTGGGACTCTGTCTATAAAAACAAACAAACTGGCCAGGTGTGGTGGCTCATGCCTGTAATCCCAGCACTTTGGGAGGCTGAGGCCAGTGGATCACCTGAGGTCAGAAGTTCGAGACCAGCCTGGCAACATGGTGAAACCCTGTCTCTACGAAAAATACAAAAATCAGCCGGGCATGGTAACGGGTGCCTGTAATCCCAGCTACTTGGGAGGCTGAGGCAGGAGAATCGCTTGAACCCAGGAGGCGGAGGTTGCAGTGAGCCAAGATCGTGCCACTGCAATCCAGCCTGGGTGACAAAGTGAGACTGTCTAAAAACAAACAAACAAACATTCTCCTCCAGTGTGGCAAAAAGAATTTTTGAAATCAAATAAAAACAAACAAAAAGACACATACAGCTGAGTTTGCCCTCTGTTACAGAGATTTCCAGAAAGTCTCATCTCTCTGCTTCTACTGTGTTGTGTGGCCAGTTTTCTACAAATGCCTATTGTGTCACTGGTACTGTGCTAAGATTTTACATATATTGTTACATTTATTCCTCATAACAGCCTTATAGAGAAGGAATTACCAACCTCTGGGTTCTAGTTTATTCCCTGCTATGTGGCTAAAATGTCTTAGATAAATCACATTCCCTCTCTGGACCTCATTTGTTCATCTGCTTTATGAGGGATTGGACTAGATAAGGAGTTCCTAACTTGAGATCTACAAACCCCTAAAGGGACAATGGATAAAATTTAGAGGGAAGGGTCATGACTTTAGATAGGGGGAAAATTACATTCTTATCTTCACTAACTTTTTTTTTTTTTTGAGACAGAGTCTTGCACTGTCACCCAGGCTGGAGTGCAGTGGCCCAATCTCGGCTCACTGCAACCTCTGCCTCCCAGTTTTAAGCAATTCTCCTGCCTCAGCCTCCCAAGTAGCCAGGATTACAGATGACCACCACCCCGCCTGGCTAATTTTTGTATTTTCAGTAGAGATGGGGTTTCACCATGTTGGCCGGGCTGGCCTCAAACTCCCGACCTCAGGTGATCCTCCTGCCTCGGCCTCCCAAAGTGCTAGGATTACAGGCGTAAGCCACCGCGCCTGGCCTCTAACTTTTAACTGAAATTTAGTTTTTCCTTCTTTTATGAACTTAGCCAATAGAACATAGTAATATTAGCAGAGCTTTTGACTTTATCACCAAAAGAATATCAGATATTTCATAGCATATTACAGTTGTTTCAGATGACTTGAAATATTGAATATACTCATCACTACTTCAAAATTGTGGTAGTTATTACACCTGCTATACTTAATGTGTTAATAAAAAGGAGTGTGTGTGTAGACAAACAGAATATGTAGATACGTAGATATATATATCTTGCTAATTTTATTGTTAGTATTATAGGAACTGTATTTCAATATAATTTATTTCCTTCATATTCCAGTATATTTTGTTTTATGCATTTAAAAAAATTTCTCTGAGAAGCGATCCAGAGGCTTCAGCAGCCCACCAAAGGAGTTCATAGAACAAATGAGATGAAGAACTGGACAGAGATCTCTTTGTCCCTCCGGCTATAAATATAACTCTGTCATAAGCTATCGTGGTCTTCCTGATCAAGTCCTTTCAGCTCTCAATTTCCTCAGTTTCTCTTCGGTAAAATGGAAGTAATACTTGCTTTGTCTAGCTCAGAGCTGTTAGGGGAACCAAAGTAATCTTCATGTAAGCACACACGAATGCAGAGCTTACGCATTTTCAATTACACAGGATCGGCTTCTGTAGTGCTGAGTGAATGTTGAGTCTTACTATATTCTTCAACTTGAGACCTATTTCCCAGAGACGCTGATGTTTTTCTGTCACTTCCATGTAAGTGTCCTGCTACAACCATATATTATCTTTTTAGTGCCAGTTTAGGGCTGAATTCATATAAAATTCAATAATAAAGGGGGAACTGCATCTTAAGTGCACTTGGATGGAACTACTTACGAAAATAGAAGATAAAATGAGATTTCGCCAATGGGTCTTGTAGCTCCAATTATCTTAGGCTCTTTGAAAAGCTTGAGTCAATGTACTGTGATTTTAAGTTATAGATCAAACACAGTTCATTTTGTCTACAACTTCTAAACCGGGATAAATGGACAAAGGACAGAAAAATAAGGAAGGTTGGTTTGTCTTGTTCATAATCTGTGTCTTTGGATATCTGTGAATACTTATTAAATATTCATCTAAAAGTCAGCTTAGGTAGCCATAATTAATGTTTCAAATAGCCAAGTAAAGATCTACAAATATATTTTGTTTGTTTGTTTGTTTGTTTTTAGGACAGAGTCTTACTCTGTCACCCAGGCTGGGGTACAGTGGTGTGAACACAGCTGTATTAATCCGTTCTTGTACTGCTATAAAGAAATACCTTACACCCTCTACCTTTGTAGCAGGGGATCTTGCTATGTTGCCCAGGCTGGTCTCAAACTCCTAGGCTCAAGCAACCCTCCCACCCTGGTCTCCTGAGTGGTTGGGATTACAGGTGTGAGTCACCACACCTGGCCCTGTATATGCCTTTTATCTTTGTCACATTTCTTCCTGCCTGAAAGAGGGACATTATGGTCACATTTTAAGGACAGTGCAGGAAAACACTAGAAAGGCCATGGGCCTTATCTGACAGTGTGGATTTGCCATTAAAAAAAAAAAACGTGGGTATGCCACACACTTTTAAAGAAGCAGATCTCACGAGAACTTACTATTGTGACCACAACACCAAGGGGAGATGGTGTTAAACCATGAGAAACTGACCCCATGATCCAATCACCTCCTATCAGGACCCACCACCAGCACTGGAGATTACACTTCAACACGAGATTTAGGTGGGGACACAGATCCAAACCACATCAAAAGCTCACTGCAACTTCAATCTCCTGGGCTCAAGTGATCCACCCACCTCAGCCACCCAAGTAACTGGGACTCCAGGCACATGCCTCCACACTTGGCCAATTTTTCATTTTTTGTAAAGATGGGGTCTATGTTGCCCAGGCTTGTCTTGAACTCCTGGCCTCAAGTGATCCTCCCACCTCAGCCTCCAAAACTGCTGGGATTAGAGGGACGAGCCACCATGCCCAGGCTATGAATATCTTATTTGTTAAATTATGTTTAAGAAAGTACTTCAAATTATGTTTGAAGTACTGCTGAATGCTTTCATAGTCTTTAACTAAAAGACACAGGGTACTGTGAGTGAAGTAGTCTACATGGACAAGCAAGATAGTTCCTAAACAAGCTACTATTTTGATCAGTTTCTCCAAATATTTATGGAAATAGTCTGAGATATTTATGTTGGGGAGGATGTTTGATTTGCACACTGGAAGCTATTCTTTTTTTTTTTCTCGCTTCAAGAGAATTTCAGGATGATGTTGGGGTTTGAGTCATATAAATAATGCCGCTAAAAGTCAGGCTTGAGGAAATTTCTATGCTACTAAAAAAGAAAAAAGAAAAGCCCATTTTTTTTTTTTTTTTTTTTTTGAGACAGAGCGTCTCTCTGTCACCCAGGCTGGACTGCAATGGTGCAATCTTGGCTCACTGAAACCTCCACTTCCCAGGTTGAAGCAAGTCTCTTGCCTCAGCCTCCCGAGTAGCTGAGATTACATACGCCTGCCAACACACCCAGCTAATTTTCATATTTTTAGTGGAGATGGGATTTTACCATGTTGGCCAGGCTGGTCTCAAATTCCTGGCCTCAAGTGATTTGCCCGCATCGGCCTCCCAAAGTGCTGGGATTACAGGCACGAGCCACCATCCCGTCCTGAAAAGTCCACTTTTATATGTATTTTTTAAAAAATCAACTGATTATGCTGGGGGAAGTGGCTCACACCTGTAATCCCAGCACTTTGGGAGGCTGAGGCATGTGGATCACTTATTTTCATTTTCCTTACACAGGGTCTTACTCTGTTGTCCAGGCTGGAGTGCAGTGGCTCAATCATGGCTCACTGCAGCCTTGAACTCCTGGGTTCAAGTGATCCTCCCGCCTCAGCCTCCTGAGTAGCTGGGATTACAGGCATGTGCCACCACACCCAGCTGTTACTTTTTAAAAGACAGGCTCTGAGTATTCTACATATGTTAATTCTCTTATGCATCCCAGTAGCCCTGGGATGAAAATACTGTCATTGTCTCCATGTTACGAATAGGGAATCTGAAGCTTACTTAAGTTAAGGAGCTCGTCCAAGGTGATAGGACTTGTTGGAGCAGAGCTGGGATTCAGTCTTGGCCAGTCTGATATCACAGTTCATCTCTAAAACAGGAGTCAGCACATTACAGACCACAGGCCAAGTCCCCCCTGATGCCTGCTTTTATAAATAAAGTTTTATTGGAACACAGGCATTCTTGTTCATTTATGTGGTGTGCATGGCTGCTTTTGTGTGACAACGGCGTTTGAGCAGTTGTGGATAACTGGAGTGGTGGAGGGTAGAGTCATCCTCTTTAAAATGTGAGCCCCCAGAGTGGGAACTTCCAAGCTGAGATCTCAATCCCCAGAGTGAGCTTGTTGCTGAGGAATTTGTAGTTTAGTCAGCTCCCCAAAAACCCACTATCTCTGCTTTGACCTGAACAGAGGATGACAAAGAAATCTGTCTCCTTTCTGGAGTGAAAATATTTCCTTCCCCTTCAAAATGAGTCTAAATGACAGCTGAAGGTGTTCTGTGCGGTGCTTGGCACCCAGTCAGCACTCAGCAAATGTCCCCTTCCTTCCGACACCTGCCCTTGCCACCAGCTGGACCAAAATTGGCCACCTGCCTAAACTTGCAATGGTTTGTATATCATGGGACACAATGCTTTATGCTTTAAAACCAACATTGACATTTCATATAATAAAGTGAGGGTTGGAAGTAAGTTTCACAACTCAGAATAAACTGTTTGGGTCCAGCTGATGAGTGCGAGGGTGGGGGGGTGCAGTGAGGGGAATATGCTAGGTCAGCCAGGTCAGCCATTCCATTATGGTTGAGGCAGTGAATTATCTTTGTCCAGAAGACCAAGGTGGAGGGCAAAAGGGGAATGAGCACTCAAGTGAGTGGGAGCAGAATGCTTGCCTGGGCAGCCTCTGGATAACTCTTTCGAAGACTGTGTCAGTCTTGGTCCCTCCACCCATCCAACACCAGCATTAAAAGCCTAATCTTTAACCAGGCTCTGAGCCATTTGCCTGACACTGAGAAACGGCTGAGTTTTCCTGCCAAATATATATCCACATTTTTTTTTTATAGATATAAATCACCTTCAAGTCACTTCTCCTCTTTGCAGTTAAGGTTACTAAATCTGCCCAGCACTTTTGTTCTTTAGAAGAATATAGACTTTGTGGTTAGACTGGGTTTTAAGTCCCTGATCCATTCTACTAACTGTGTGACCTTGGGAAAAACTTTTAACCTCTCTGAGCCTCTCAGTCTTATCATTTGCAATAACAGTACTTACCAATTTCATCCACCTGCATAACAAATATTTGAGTGCCTATTGTGTGCCAGACACTGTGAAAAGCTATAAATTTCACAGCAAATAATACAGACAAGATCCTTATCCTTGTGGATCTTACCATCTAATAGAAGGCACTATAATAATCAAGTAAATAAGATTATTACAGATGGTGATAAACGATACGGAGGGGATATAGAGGGTGATGTAATAGAGTGAGCTACTTAAGTGACATTGAAGACCTGAAGTGTGAGAATGAGCAATAACCATGGGAAGAGCTGTTAATGGTATCAAGCCACAGGAACATGGAGCACAGAGGTGTGGCGATGGGAAAAGAGGTGTTGTTTTAGGGCCGGGCGTGGTGGCTCACGCCTGTAACACCAAGACTTTGGGAGGCTGAGGCGGGCAGATCACTTGAGGTCAGGAGTTCAAGACCAGCCTGGCCAACACGGTGAAACCTCGTCTCTACTAAAAAAAAAAAAAAAAGTACAAAAATTAGCCGGGTATGGTGGTGTGCGTCTGTAATCCCAGCTACTTGGGAAGCTGAGGTGGGAGAATCGCTTGAACCTGGGAGGTTGCAGTGAGCCAAGACTGCACCACTACACTCCAGCCTGGGCGACAGAGCAAGACTCCATCTCAAAAAAAAAAAATGTTGTTTTAGGAACAGAGAGTAGTATAGTATCAAGAGGGAAGGTGGTACGAGATGAGGTCAGAGAGGGAGGCAGAGGCCCGATCACATGGGCTTTATGCATAATGGTAAGGATTTTAGATTTTATTCTAATCAGGGTGGGAAGTCAATAAAAGAATTGTACAAGGTTCATATTTTCTTTTCCTTTTTTTTTTTTTAAATCTCTGAGACAGGGTCTGGCTGGAGTGCTGTGGTGTGATCATGTGGCCCACTGCAGCCTTGACCTCCTGGGGTAAAGGAATCCTCCTCACTCAGCCTTCCGAGTAGCTGGGATGACAGGTGCGTGCAATGGCACCTGGCTATTTTTTATTTTTAGAAATAAGGTCTTACTATGCTGCCCCGGCTGGTCTCGAACTCCTGGCCTCAAACACTCCTCCTGCCTGAGCCTCCCAAGGTGCTGCGATTACAGGCATAAGCCACCATGCCCAGCCATGATTCATGTTTTGAAAAGATCAGTTTTGATGCTTTGTGAAAAGATTATAAGAAACAAGAGAGGTCAGGGTTATTGTAAAGATTACCTGCAATTACAAATGTAATGGGCACAGCCCCTGATGCACGTAAATTCTCTATGAATAATAGTTAGTTGTTCTGGAAAGTCTAAGCCTGTCCTGTCCAGTACACCAGCCATTCTCCACATGTGATTACTGAGCATCTGGAATGTGGCTGGTGCGACCAAGGACTTAAATTTCTGATTTTATTTAATTTTAATTAATT